>NC_000017.11:17763838-18066868 GCF_000001405.40 Homo sapiens | reverse complement strand
ACAAGTGCCCACTGGCTACTTTCCCAAATACCTCTACCTTAAGGCTTCCCCTAACATTCAATCTCAGTAACATACAGTACATATGTCAATAAAATTAAAGTCACTTCTTAAGAACAGAAAAGGTTTCCCATTGCTCGTCTCGTCTCACTGAAGGGCTTCACATTCTCTTATGCTGCCCGCCCATGGATATGCAGCCTCCAGGTTGCTTTGCTCCTGGGGGTTATGATGCAATCTTGTTTTTAAAGCTTTTCCTCTTGTATTCGGAGTAAGTCTTGTAAACCACCAGAAAAATGCCAAATCCCCAAAGCCCTAGCCATGTTTGTGGGCTACAACTGATGCCAACCTATTAAGCTTTTAAAACATTTAAAAAAACAAAACATCATACACACACACACACACACACACACACACACACACTTTGGCACGTGAGCCTCGAGTTATTTGAGCATGTTCATGTTTCCCACCCCTTCCCCTGTCCCAACATTTCAGAGTCACTGTTTTCAGAGAACGACGACCCCTTCTGCCTCATGGAAGGCTGCCGCCAAGCATTGCTGTTTTGAGTAGCAAAAGGAGGCGGCACAAATGCTAAACTGGCCCCAAAAACAGTTCTTGTGTTGAGCACTATAATTTAGGCAATGCTGCAAAACTTTTGTACCAGGATGACTAGTTTCAAAACTGCTGGTTGATTAAATATACATATACATATAGATATCGATATAAAAATTACTAAGTCAACATTTGCTGTTTTCAATGTGAAAACGATAAAATGTAATTCTGAATAATTGTGCATTTGCCATAGGGTCCTCGTTAAAGGGACCATAAAAATAATTTTGTAATAAAAAAACTCTTATTTTTAAGTTTAGTATTGCCCTCAAGTTGAAAAGTTTGGAGCAAATGTACTGAGTAAGCAGGACTGGAATCTGTTCCTGCCAGGGATCTGGAAGCCTTAAATTTAGTGATCCCTGATGGCAGGCCCAGGGAACCTGACAGCTACTCACTAGCTTTGCACTGTTAACAGTACAGGGCTCAGCAGCGCACGCTGACCCGTGACACAATCAGCACTGAAGACTGAGGCAGCCCAGCAGGGACTGGAGCCTCCGCCTCTTGTGCCCTTGGTGGCCGATGATGCGGCAGCTGGCCAACTCCCTGCACAGAGCTCTGGGGGGCACAGAGGTGCTGGGGCTCTGCCTTCTCTTGAGCTACCAGACAAAGCAACTGGCGGGGGGTGGGGGTCTAGGGCCTCGGGACCACTGAGCACCAAGGCTGAGGGTGATCCGGGAGCAGACCTTCTATTCGGCTGGAGGTGGGACGGAGGAAGGAATGGGCATTTCAGTGATGTAGAAGTTAGCTGTGCAGGAAGGAAAAGTGCGTTTAAGGTAGCTTAAAAACAGGTGAAGACCAAACTGCCACTGAGGGGAGGAAGAACGAAGACTGCTCCCTCCACCTGCCCCACGGGCCAGCCATGCTCCTTGGATTCTGTGGGTTAACATTCATGCTTTGTGATGCGAGTCTGCTCGTGAAGAAACAGGAACACACTTCTCCTGGTTCTGGCAGGTACACAATTTTCTCGGCAAAGTTCTTTTTTGCCAAGTTCAGTTTTATTTGGTTGCTGTTCTGAACCGTTGTCACCGGAATTCATAGATGGGTGCACTGTGTTCAGGAACATGGGTTAGATTGAGGGACTGATACCTGCAAGGGGGAGGAGACAGAAACGGGAGGTAGTCATCTAATGCACCCTGAGCAAAGGACATTAGTAACCCCTCAAAAAGCAGAGCACCCAACAAGTCACATACTTGGACTGAAATGCACATTCATTTTCTATTTCTCAAGTTGAACCTAGTTTGATTTCATTCATTCTTTCTTTTTTTGGTTAATCCTCCTGAACCATGCACTAGATGAATGTTTTTTTTCATTCTGCTCTAATCATGAAGTTAACTATGGTATGTTTTATAAAAAGGAGACCTCAATAAGCTGTGGGAGAAGATGGAGACCCACGCCCAAGCCCTAACCTCACCGGCTGCTCTGACCTCTCCTGCTGTAGCATGTAATGCCAGGCTCTCATATCCTAAGAACTTTATGGCTAGCATAGGCATAAACTGATTCTCATGGTATCTAAAGAGAGCGTAGAAAAATTCATTTCACTACTGCCTTAAACTGTATTTTACCTTTCATTTAAATTTTCTCACTTTCCTAGGTACGGTATTAGGCTTGGAAAACATTAGTGATATCTGAGGTGTTTGCCTCCCCTGTTGGCAGGTGATCCAGGGAGTCATGCAGAGGGAGGAGAAATAGGGGCAGACAATCTACATGCTGGGATGACAACCTCGGGCACATTTAGAGTCAATGTCTAGCAAGTTGGCTCTCCCCTACTTGTTTCATACAGGAGTGTGGAAGAACGTAGGAAAAAGCGGCTTATTTCTTACCAAAAACAAATTATCAGGAAAGAAATATGCATTAGCCATCAAAAATATGCAAATTAGAACTACAATGAAATACTGCTTCACATCCACTAGGGTAGCTATAATTATAGAGACATGATAACAAGTGCCAGGGAGGATGTGGAGAAACTGGAACCCTCATACATGCCGGTAGGAATGCAAAATGGTGCAGCTGCTGTGGGAAACAGTTTGGCAGTTCCTCATAAAGTTAAATATAGCAATACCGTATGACCTAGCAATTTCACTCCTAGGTATATGTCCAAGGAATTGAAAGCAGGAACTCAGATATACCCATGTTCACAGCAGCATTATTCACAAGAGCTAAACAATGGAAGCAATCTAAGTGTCCACTAAATAATGAATGGATAAATAAAATGTGGTATATACCGGCCGGGCACGGTGGCTCACACCTATAATCCCAGCACTTTGGGAGGCCGAGGCGGGTGGAACACCTGAGGTCAGGAGTTCGAGACAGGCCTGGCCAACATGGCAAAACCCCGTCTCTACTAAAAATACAAAACTTAGCCAGACGTGGTGGCAGGCGCCTGTAATCCTAGCTACTCGGGAGGCTGAGGCAGGAGAATTGCTTGAACCTGGGAGGCGGAGGTTGCAGTGAGCCGAGATCGTGCCACTGAACTCCAGCCTGGGGGACAAGAGCGAGACTTTGTTTCAAAAAAAAAGTTGTATATACCTGTAATGGAAAATTAATTGGCAATAAAAAAGAAGTTCTGATACATGGTACAACATGAATGAACCTTCAAAGCATTATGCTAAGTGAAAAAAGCCAGAAGCAAGGGCCGTATTTTGTAGATTCCATTTATATAAAATACCCAGAATAGGCAAATCTATACATACATAAGAGAAAGACTAGTGGTTGCCCAGGGCTCAGAGGGGATGAGGAGTTTGGGATAATGGCTAAGGGTATGGGGTTTCCTCTTATGGTGATGAAAATGTTCTAAACTTGATAGTTAGACAACTCTATTAATATAGGAAAGATCACTGACTTGTACACTTTTTTTTTGAGATGCAGTCTCACTCTGTCGCCCAGGCTGGAGTGCAGTGGTGCAATCTCGGCCCACCGCAACCTCCGCCTCCGAGGTTCAAGTGATTCTCCTGCCTCAGCCTCCTGAGTAGCTGGAACTACAGGTGCGTACCAGCACGCCTGGCTAATTTTTGTATTTTTAATAGAGACGGGGTTTCACCATATTGGCCAGGCTGGTGTCGAACTCCTGACCTCGTGATCTGCCCACCTCGGCCTCCCAAAGTGCTGGGATTACAGGCGTGAGCTACTGTGCCCGGACCAAAGCTGTTATTTATTTATTTATTTATTTATTTATTTATTTATTTATTTATTTTTGAGATGGTGTCTCGCTCTGTCGCCCAGGCTGGAGTGCAATGGCCCGATCTCAGCTCCCTGCAAGCTCCACCTCCCAGGTTCACGCCATTCTCCTGCCTCAGACTCCCGAGTAGCTGGGACTACAGGTGCCTGTCACCATGCCTGGCTAATTTTTTGTTTTTTAGTAGAGACGGGGTTTCACCGTGTTAGCCAGGATGGTCTCGATCTCCTGACCTCGTGATCCACCCGCCTCGGCCTCCCAAAGTGCTGGGATTACATGCGTGAGCCACTGTGCCCGGCCAGCTGTTATTTTTAAAAAGGATTATAAAAGTTTTACAAACTTGCGTGAAAACCATTACTGAAAGCCTAAAAATCGTGGCTACAGGGCTGGCATTTACTTGCAGATATAATTTCGTTACCACTGAACAAGGAATCTAGGGTAGGATCACTTCACATATAACAAAGTGTTAAATACTGGAAAGAAAGAATTTTTACCTTCAGAGAGGAAATCAGGCATTTTATCACATGGTTTGCCCTCCGGGGACAGCAAGGTGCTTAAAAAGCAGCAAGGAGGCAGGAGAATCCCTCAAAAGGTGGCAAAAGTTAGCATTCAGGCAGAGTTCAGTCCTTTACTATTGGTGACACACTGGACAGGACTGTCCACTCACAGGCCCCCAGGTCATGAGCCTTAAATCAAGTGCATGTCGGACCAACTCTAAGGAATGCAGCCACAAAATTTAAAAAGCTGCTGACAGCAAAATTCACATTGTCCAGTACTGGATCAATTCACATTTTAGTTACTAATTCAATTTGCAAGGATTAAATAAAAACCAGCAAGATTGAGATAAACATTGCCAAAAATACAGTATTGCTTAAAAGTGCTTAGAAATGAGTTCTTTCACCTATAATTCATTTTCATCTCATTTACTCTGCTCTGTGCATAGGGATAAGGCCTTATTGTGAGCAACTGAGATCACTGAAATAAGCTCTCAGCATCCAAATAAAGCACAGAATCTATACAGAGACAGGCTAAGATGTTGCTTTTGGGTTTGATGAGCCAAGGGAGAGCCAGCTGGGCAGCAAGCCCTCCCCGTGGCCTCTGTCCTCAGAGGTCCTCACCATTCTGAACTCCTATGGTAGTAGTAGCCCTCTATGGAGGCTGCTGACTTCTGAAAGCAGATGTAGTAGAACCCGGCAAAAGAAGCACCACTGATGTCTTTGATCGTGTGATCTGGGACCAGAAACTGTTCCTGCACACAGATGAAGAGGGTCAGTAACAGATAGCATTCTCTGACCACCCACGGGGCCTCCCTGTTAAGCATCAGGGGGTTCTAAGGACCACTCGAGAAAAATATAGGATCTCATAGTCTAACCTAGACTTGCTGGGTGATGGCGGGCCCGTGGGGTCTCAGCCTGACTTCTAAAAAGCGTCCATGTGCTCCTGGAGTATTCTATATACTAAAGTGACAAACTGTGTCTTGAGCTCACTAGGATCAGCAATTCAGAGAAGGTACCATGGCCGAAACATCTAATATATAAATCAATACCTACTCACCTGCCTGTCTGCCTGCCTCTCTATCTTTCAGAGACCACAGACAATCAACCTGGGAAGAGCGAAGTTTCTGCTCCAGTTCTCAGAACTGTCAACAGATGCTTGATAACATCTAGAACAGTGAGTCGCTTCTGTAGGTCTGTGGACCATTCTGAGTGCAAAGCAGTTGCCAGTAGCCCCTGTGACACCCCCTCCAAGAGCTTGACGCCTTGTCAAAAGCAGTCAGAACGGTACTGTTCTTTACCAGGGACCTTAGGAGAGAGGCAAGCTTGCCACCTCTGCTGGAGCTGAAAGCTGGAAACCCAGGTCCTGGCACCTACTTTCCCAGAGAGATGAGGTCAGAAGCTCCAGGGCCTCAGGTGGTCTACTAAAGGACCACAGATGAGCCACTCTGAGACATTCTTTGGAGGCAAAACAAGCCCATTGCTTTTTAAACAAATTTAAGACACCCTCCCATTCCTTATTCAACTTCTAAAATTGTGGCTTTTAAAATTAATTTTAAAATTCAGATCGGGTGTGGTGGCTTATGCCTGCAATCCCAACACTTTGGGAGGCTGAGGTGGGTGGATCACCTGAGGTCAGGAGTTTGAGACCAGCCTGGCCAATATGGCGAAAACCCGTCTCTACTAAAAATACAAAAAATTAGCAGGGCATGTTGGCGGGCACCTGTAATCCCAGCTACTTGGGAGGCTGAGGCAGGAGAATTGCTTGAACACGGGACGGGGAGGTTGCAGAGAACCGAGATCGCGCCATTGCACTCCAGCCTGGGCAACAGAGTGAGACTGTCTCAAAAAACAAACAAACAAACAAAAAAACCCAAAAATTAGCCAGGCGTGGTGGTACGCGCTTGTAGTCCCAGTTACTCAGGAGGCGGAGGCAGGAGACTTGCTTGAACCTGGGAGACGGAGGTTGCAGTGAGCCAAGACTGTGCCACTGCACTCCAGCCTGGGCAACAGAGTGAGATTCCGTCTCAAAACAAACAAAATTCAAACAATAAACTTCCTTTAACAGGTTGTTTAGTTGACATGTTTCCCGCTAGATGGCAAGCTCGTGAGCATACTGTTCCCTGTTTACTCTCTGCATCTGGCAACCTACTGGAAGAGTGGTGATCCCCACTTCTTTTTTTTTTTTTTTTTTTTTTTGGTGAGACAGAGTCTTGCTCTGTCACCCAGCCTGGAGTGCAGTAGCGCAATCTTGGCTCACTGCAACCTCCACCTCCTGGGTTCAAGTGATTCTCCTGCCTCAGCCTCCCGAGTAGCTGGGATTACAGGCGTGCACCACTACACCTGGCTAATTTTTGTATTTTTAGTAAAGACGGGGTTTCACCACATTGGCCAGGCTGGTCTCGAACTCCTGACCTCGTGATCTGGCTCTCTTGGCCTCCCAAAGTGCTGGGATTACAGGCATGAGCCACCGCGCCCAGTGATCCCCATTTCTTTTTTTTTTTTTTTTTTTTTTGAGATGGAGTCTTGCTCTGTCGCCAGGCTGGAGTGCAGTGGCGTGATCTCAGCTCACTGCAACTTCCATCTCCCAGGTTCAAGTGATTCCCCTGCCTTAGCCTCCTGAGTAGCTGCGACTACAGGGGCATGCCAACATGCCCGGCTAATTTTTTGTATTTTTTAGTAGAGATGGGTTTTCACCATGTTGGCCAGGATGGTCTCAATCTCTTGACCTCATGATCTGCCTGCTTCAGCCTCCCAAAGTGCTGGGATTACAGGTGTGATCCACCACGCCCGGCCGATCCCCACTTCCTAAAGTGGTTAGCTATGCAAAATAAAGACCAGGAAAGGCAACTCAATATGATTCATCTTTATGAAAGCTGACAAGATTTCAAGATAAAACGACTTTTTCCCTGCAGACTGGGGACTAGGGGTTGGTATGTTCTCAAAGTTATTTAACAAACTGGCTTCCTGATTTTGCTATTCTGGGGCTGTAAATATCACGTTATCAAAGCAGGGAGCACAAATGACCTCGCAGCTAAAAGCCAATCCATCAAGTCAGTCAGGTGGGGCTCTCTGAGGTCTGCTGAGTCAAAAACCCGTGTTCCATTCCCGGTCCCTCATTTCCTGAGCTGGAGGGAAGTAGAGGAGGTGAGACTTTCCTGAGCTCTGGGAAAAGGATGTGGTGGAGGGCACCTGGCCCACGGATGGTGTTTAAGCCTGTAGAGGGATCTGGGTACAACTGATGACTAAGTTCAAAGCAAGTTTGGCTCTGCCTTGAATCCACAGAACACTTGGAGTGATTCAACTTGGGGGTTCAACAAGATTCTTGGGTGGGAGAAAGGAAAGGGAGAAGACAATGTTAGAGGCAGCCACCTAGGCCCAAATCCACTTGCTACCCACCAAAAGCACAGCGAGGAGGAGCTGTCTGGGACATCGGCAGTTAACCAGTGCGTGCCCTGGAGCTGGGCCCACTTTTTATAGGCGTGCAAAGACCCTGCCATGAAGACTTTGCCATGACAACCAGCTGTGACGAGCACTGGACATGGGGAGCCCTTGGTTAGAGTGAATATGTAGGTGCGATACAGGGCCTGGCTTGCTGGGAGTCTGGAGGGCCACCTGGTGGGAACTTACCTTCCACCTCATGAAGACGTAGTCTCCATTCTTCAGCTCTTCATAATCAAAGTCATCTGAGTTAAATGATTTTGCATACTGATAAAAAGCCAGAAACTTGCCCTGAAAGCAGAAAAGAGAGTGTGCCGATTGACTGAGAGAAGGAGAGGCTGCTCTCAGAACTATGCTTATGTGCCCAGGTAAACTCACCTTCCCAAGGCATGACAGCTAGGGACGTGGCTCCCAAAAGGGCAGCTAAGACCAAGTAACAGATGGGGCCCTATGGTCACCCCATTGAATGCAGACTCAACCCTGGGGCAGATACCTGGACTCCAGCTGGGGCCCCACTGCCCTACACCTGCCTTGTTAACATGGCTGAGGAAAAGGCCAAAGGATGGGAATGGTGAACAGACAGACAAAATAAACAGACGAAAGCTAAGAAAAATTAATGAGAAGACCTCTGCAAGTAAATCCGAAGTAGCAAAAAGAGCCATGCAAAACAGCTTAGAAACAGCCTGCCCAGTCTCAGAGAAGAGGGCTTTGTGAAGCTTGTGTCTCTGCATGATCTAGGGGCTTGGGCCAGCTAGCTAAGCAGACACTAGAAACACATGATAGCCTTGTCCTTCGATATCTGCGAGAGATTGGTTCCAGGACCCCCATGAATACCAAAATCTGCAGATGCTTAAGTCCCAGATATAAAACAGTGCAGTATTTGCAGATAACCTACACACATCCTCCCCTATACTTTATAGCATCTCTAGATTGCTTATAATACCTAATTCAATGTAAATACTAAGTGAATAGTGGTTATACTGTATCGTTCAGGGAAAAATATCAAGAACAAAAAATCTATACATCCACTGGGTGTGGGGGCTCACGCCTGTAATCCCAGCACTTGGGGAGGCCAAGGCAGGCAGATCACAAGGTCAGGAGATCAAGACCATCCTGGCTAACACGATGAAACCCTGTCTCTACTAAAAATATGAAAAAATTAGTTGGGTGTGGTGGTGGTCGCCTGTAGTCCCAGCTACTTGGGAGGCTGAGGAGGAGAATGGCGTGAACCCGGGAGGCGGAGCTTGCAATGAGCCGAGATCGTGCCACTGCACTCCAGCATGGGCAACAGAGCGAGACTCTGTCTCAAAAAAAAAAAATCTATACATCATCAGTACAGATGCAATTTTTTTTTTCAAATATTTTCAAACTGTGGCTGGTTGAATCCACAGATACAGAACCCACATATATGGAGGGCTGACTACATTTACAACAGGAGATTAGGAATAGGTTACAAAACTGTATTTTATGATCCCATTTTTTAAAAAAAAGACAAAAAACAAGTATACACTGTATACCCAAAAGAGATTCAGGAAGAGGTTAACAGCTATTTTAGTTTTAGGTGTTGCCATAGATGACTCCTTTTCCTCCAGCTTTTCTATTTTTTCAAATATTTTTAAACAAGCATGTGTTAATTTGATAAGAAAACATCTTAAATAAAAAATCAAGACACAGAGATATTAAGTCATAGATTTTGTCACATAGATTTATTTTATTATTATTTTTTGAGACAAAGTCTTGCTCTTGTTGCTCAGGCTGGAGTGCAATGGCATGATCTCAGCTCACTGCAATCTCCGCCTCCCAGGTTCAAGTGACTCTCCTGCCTCAGCCTCCCGAATAGCTGGGATTACAGGTGTGTGCCACCATGCCTGGTTAATTTTTATATTTTTGGTAGAGATGGGGTTTCACCATGTTGGCCAGGCTGTTCTCGAACTCCTGACCTCAGGTGATCCATCTGCCTCGGCCTCCCAAAGTGCTGGCATTACAGGCATGAGCCACCACACCTGGTGTCACATAGACATTTTTATCCTATGTAGACTGAATATATGGAATCCTGACTTTATAGTACCACTATAATAGCAACTTAAATACCACTCAGGAAAATCTGAGGATGCAATACAATATCTCTGATTCTAGTTTATAATGAAAAAATGACAGCCTAGGTGAAGTGTATTAGACATTGTAAATCTCAGACAAACCCAGGTGCAGTACAGAGCTCCAGGAGTCCCACGTGGGAACCTGGGAGTCCTCCATGAGTGGTGAAAGTTAGGGGAAATGCTGAGTACTACAAAAGCAGCCACAAACTGTTGGAGGAGGAAGCACTCCATAGGTTCAGCTCCCTGGCTCAACCACACCTCACATGCCAGTACCAAGGGTGGCCTTCTTAGTTCCTCTCTCACCCAAAATGTTTCAGTCCAGTCTAGCAGAGTCTGCAGATCCAGATATCTTCCAATGTTCTAACGGAAGTCAATGGGAAAATTAAGAGTTGCTTTCCAAGTATTTAATTTGTAGTCAACCTAGCCTAAAACTGAGTGTCACTGGGCCTCAAAGACTTTGCTTTTTGCAGGACCAATATGAAATGGAAAATAGAGTTGAATGGGAGAGAGGCTGTGGTTTACTACAAGGAAGAACCTTCTACTCTGGGACTGTACAGGAGAGGAAGGAGCCATCTCGTGAGGCAGCAAGCCATGCAGGAAGAGCCTAGCCCTGGGCAGGGGTGGGCGCAGATGGTACTAGGGAGCCCTTCCAACTCCACCTGCTGGTGGCCAGCACCTTCATACACCACTTGGGCTCCCCCAACCTTCTGGATACTCAGGTCTTGTGCATTCTCTTGTATCACAGAGAGACACAAATGACTGTCTAGTTTTTAGTGTCCATTTGCTACAACAATCAAAATGTATAGAATTCAAAAAACGCTTTAAAAAGCTCAAGTTTAAATTTAAATTTAACTGAACCTCAGTATTTGATAGATCTCCTTTTTTTACTCAAGTAAAAAACAGCTTGGGGCTGGGCATGGTGGCTCACGCCTGTAATCCCAGCACTTTGGGAGGCCAAGGCAGGAGGATTACTTGAGGCCTGGAGTTCAAGACCAGCCTGGCCAACATGGCGAAACCTTGTCTCTACTAAAAATACAAAAATTAGCCAGGCACGGTGGTGCACGTCTGTAATCCCAGCTACTTGAGAGGCTGAGAGATGAGAATCACTTGAATCTGGGAGGCGGAGGTTGCAGTGAGCAGAGGTTGCAGTGAGCCGAGATTACGCCACTGCACTCCAGCCTGGGTGACAGACTGAGACTCTGTCTCAAAACCAAACCAAACAAAACAGAACAAAACAAAACAAAAACCCCCATAAAAGAAAAACCAAAAAAACAGGTTGGGTCAGTGGCTCACACCTATAATCCCAGCACTTTGGGAGGACAAGGCAAGAGGATCACTTAAGATCATGAGTTCAAGACCAGCCTGGGTAACATAGGGAGACTCTGTCTCTACAAAAATAAAAGAAAATGAGCTCAGTGTGGTGGCACGTGCCTGTAGTTCTAGCTACTTGGGGCGCGGAGGTGGGAGGATTACTTGAGCCCAGGAGGTTGAGGCTATAGTGAGCTATAATCATGCCACTGCACTCCAGCATAGACGACAGAGCAAGACCCCAACTCTAAAAAAAATTTTTTTTAAATAAAATAAACAAATAAAAAACATTAGTAAGCAAAGCAACTGATCTCTAGTGAGGTGAACTCAAGACAAGGGTCTGCGGGAGTTCTCTCCACAGACTGCTGTGCCAGAACCAGGGGAGAGTTTAGATAGCCAGGTGTGAGAGGCAATGGGAAGAACGAGTTCTAGAATCTTTGCTACTGACACAGCCATTTCTGGTTGGTTTATGGAGGGTAAACCCATTGAACTTCTTCAATGTTAAACAAAAATTCACCATCACCATGGTCAACTAAAGCAAAAGGCTATTAGGTTGAGAAAATGATTTTTTTTTTTTTTTTTTTGAGACGGAGTCTCACTCTGTTGCTCAGGCTGGAGCGCAGTGGCACAATCTCGGCTCACTGCAAGCTCCGCCTCCTGGGTTCACGCCATTCTCCTGCCTCAGCCTCCAGAGTAGCTGGGACTACGGGTGCCCACCACCACGCCCAGCTAATTTTTTGTATTTTTGGTAGAGACGAGGTTTCACCGTGTTAGCCAGGATGGTCTCAATCTCCTGACCTGGTGATCCGCCCGCCTCGGCCTCCCAAAGTGCTGGGATTACAGGCGCAAGCCAACGCGCCCAGCCGAGACACTGATTTTTGAAGACATGGTACTTATATGACAACAAATGAAAAGATCCCAGGACACTAACTGTCTTGAAGCATTCACTACTGCTGAGTGAGAATGCTCTACACTTGACAGTTAAAAAGGGGGGCAGCAGGATTTATAGTGGTGTACTTAAGACAAGACTATACTTGTCTGTCAGCAGCCAGGATAAAAAGAAATGATGTGGCTCTGCCCTGATAAGCCAGTGGGCAGGCAGATTCCCACAACATCATCTCCATCTCATGCCAGCCCCGAAGCCGGAGGTCATCATTGCATGTTTCACAGGGTTTTCCCCAAGCAGAGGTGATTTGAAAGGAACAGTGGACAGAAGATGGACAAACAGGTGGGAAGGATGGGGGGACACTGTTAAGATTCTGATAGCTGAGCAGAGTTCTGGCTGGAACTCTGGGGTTGCTATCATCAGACAACCATTTGCTATTTAAGCAGCAGGTCAGATCGTATTTAAACTGTCCTCATAAGGAAGATGGAACAACTGAGGTCTGTGTGCAGTGCAACCTTTTACTTGGTTGCAAAGCCCCAGTAATCCTCAATAAGGGACAAGGTCTCTGGCTCCCAGCATTTCTTCAATTCTCTAGCAGCCCCTAGATGACCCAGCACAGATCAGATTTACTCACCCAGTGTTTCCGATCAACATCTTCATCTGCATCCCACTTGCGAGTTAAGAAAGGGTGTTTTTTGCTGATTATTTCTCCTTCGAAGAAGGTTGTAAGGGTTGGATACTCCTATGGTAAAAACCCAAATATCAAAATAAGATGTTGAGTGAGAGTTTTTAACCTTTGTACAAAGGAAAAATAAACTTTGCTTTAACTTCTTTCCAGTACCTAGACACTGCTACCTGACAATCCAAACCAGAGTTAGATCGCAGCCAGTTTGCCAACAGGCTGTGGCAATGGACCTGAATCTAAATCACCCAGAGAATGAAGGGTTTCCTGGATTTTGCCAGCAGCAGACAGCCCTTCTTTGACTTCAATTGTTACATGCTAGTCTCTTAGAAAATAATTTGGATGTTTCCACAAATAAATTTTTAATATTCTAGCATACAAAGCAGATCATAACTTGGTAGATTTTACTTTCCAAGGTTAGACCCAAAGAGGCTCCAAAATCACTGTGTCTACCACTAAGGCTCCCTCAAGCCACTGGTTCTCCAACTGGCTCAGTCATTTGTCCCTTTTACACCAATTCTCCAAGGTTCCAGGGTGGATTCTGGGGTAGAATACTTTTTTATTTTTCCTGAGACAGAGTCTTGCTCTGTCGCCCAGGCTGGAGTGCAATGGCACAATTTCGGTTCACTGCAACCTCCTCCCACACCCTGGGTTTATGTGATTCTCCTACCTCAGCCTCCCGAGTAGTTGGGATTACAGTTGGCTGCCACCACGCCCACCTAATGTTTGTATTTTTAGTAGAGACGGGGTTTCGCCATGTTGGCCAGGCTGGTCTCGAACTCCTGACCTCAGGTGATCCACCCGCCTTGGCCTCCCAAAGTGCGAGGATTACAGGTGTGAGCCACCGCACCCAGCCTAAAATACCTTTTATTTTGGCCAGGCATGGTGGCTCACGCCTGTAATCCCAGCACTTTGGGAGGCCGAGGTGGGAGGATCACCTGAGGTCAGGAGTTCAAGACCAACCTGACCAACATGGAGAAACCTCATCTCTACTAAAAATACAAAATTAGCCGGGCGTGGTGGCGCATGCCTGTAATCCCACCTACTCGGGAGGCTGAGGCAGGAGATTGCTTGAACCTGGAGGCGGAGTTTGCAGTAAGCCGAGATCACGCCATTGCACTCCAGCCTGGGCAATAAGAGTGAAACTCTGTCTCAAAAAAAAAAAAAAAAAAAAAAAGTAAATACTTTTTTCAGTGTTCTACATGTTCAGAGAAACTTCTAGTAATGAACTATACAAATGGTCCCTGAAGGTAGTCTTAGAATACCTTGATACATAGGGATACGTTTAATTCTGTCACATGAACTAAGAACAACTTATATGAGGAAAAACATATGAACTAAAAACAATTTATATGAGGAAAAACATATGTAAATCATGTCTGAATGTAAAAACCACACCGTGGAAAACGTAAGCAAGAAGCCATGTGCTGGCTTGGGTGCTTTGTTAATTGCTCTTTGTTCATGTGTTAATAAGTAGGCACCAATGATTTTAAAAAAGATTAATAAGACAAAAAGTTAACACCGTAAAAAGTCTACATTTCTCTGCATTTGTAGAAACCAACCAAGCACCCACCTCTCAGGCTACCTTGCCAAGCCCCTGGTGTCTGCCAGGAGCATGGTTATGAGAGTCACTGGCCTGGAAAACCACAGATTACAGTCCTAACATCAAGGACTGCAGAAGGCCCACGTTTTTCCTTCAGATCAGATGTAAGCCCCTCTTATTCTGCATCAAAAACCTCATTCTGATGGCTTTGCCACATCTACCAACCTGGCCTGCATGTAGTGTAGGACCTTCCTGAGAGAGGCTGCCACAGTAAAAGCCACTGGTGCAGAGGCTCCCAGGAAACAGAACGTCACCACCGCTGCAGGTGGCTCAGGAGGCCTGCTTTAGGATGACACCATGGAGGGGATCTGTTTCCTTAACAGTGAACTTAAAATATGATAAATCTAATACTGCCCCAAACCCACAACCCCCCTATCCTAACACTGTTGCTGGATTCTTCACATAAATATTTAAATACATAGACTGAAAAAATGAGAGAGGAGAAATTTTCCTAAATGTAAACCTAATTTTTAAGGTATAAGCTAACTTTTTTTTTTTTTTTTGGGGGGAGGGACAGAGTCTTGCTCTGTCGCCCAGACCGGAATGCAGTGGCACGATCTCGGCTCACTGCAACCTCTGCCTCCCGGGTTCAGGTGATTCTCCTGCCTCAGCCTCCCAAGTAGCTGGGATTACAGATGCATGCCACCACGCCTGTCTAATTTTTTGTATTTTTAGTAGAGACAGGGTTTCATGGTGTTAGCCAGGACGGTCTTGATCTCCTGACCTCATGATCCACCCGCCTCGGCCTCCCAAAGTGCTGGGATTACAGGCGTGAGCCACCGCACCCAGCCGGTATAAACTAACTTTTAATTATAATCTGTTCTAGGAAAGACTACTAAGGAAAAAAGTTCTCAATAAATCAGCACCTGCATTTGAGATTTTAAACTAGAAGCTATTTTTTTTTTTTTTGAGATGGAGTCTCGCTCTGTCGCCCAGGCTGGTGTGCAGTGGTACAACCTTGGCTCACTGCAACCTCCGCCTCCCGGGTTCAAGCAATTCTCTGTCTCAGCCTCCCGAGTAGCTGGGATTACAGGTATCCACCACCACGTGTGGCTAATTTTTGTATTTTCAGTAGAGACGGGTTTCACCATCTTGGCCAGGCTGGTCTTGAACTCCTAACCTCGTGATCCACCTGCCTCGGCCTCCCAAAGTGCTGGGATTACAGGCATCAGCCAACTACAAACTGTTTATATTATTTTTCCGAGTTTCAAGCTTTAATCTTTTTTCTGAACTTCCTTGAAAGGGATAGGATGAAATGATAAAGAGGTTTTAATACAAGGCCAAGCCTGGTGGCTCACACCTGTAATGCCAGCACTCTAGGGGGCCAAGACAGGAGGATCACTTGAGCCTAGGAGATCAAGATCAGCTTGGGCAACATAGTAAGACCCGGTCTCTATTTTTAAAAAAGGGAGGGGTGGGGAGGAGGTCCTAATATGATTAAAACACTTATGGTTTAAATCACTAGTTTTCTTAATGAATAATTCTGCATTGACTTCTTTGTAAACATACTTTAGGCAGTATATCAGGGTAACTACAGGGTACCCTCAAACTTTGAGAATTAAATAAAATAAATACCTAATAAATGAGATTCAGTGTGTACAGAAGTCACTGAAAAGATAAAATATTCTCAGAGCAGGAACAGGAAATTCAAGCACTTTATTACAGCCCAATGAGGGGTAATTTATAGAGCGGACGAAAAACCATGTCAGAAGAAAGGATATCGAGAAATGAATAACAGAGGCAGCAAAAGCAGGAGTGGGCATCCCTTGGTGGGTCTGGCTGTTGTCAGACATTTAAGTCCCCCAACTAATCCTCCCACTGATTCCAGGCTCACCCAAAACTGTGTGGTGATAGGTACCACGACTTTCCATGTAGACCTGTCTTCTGGAGGATTAACATTCAATTGGCCAATAAGTCAACAGGAACTTCTGGAACATACAGGAATCTCATTCTCTGACAAAAACTGGCACTTTTGTTTTTGTGAGTTTTGGTAGGTGTGACCTGTCTCCCTAGTTAAGCACAAGTCTAGCACAACTTCAGCTGGAGCTTCCAACCCTTCCAAACCCAAGTAATGAGTAAGTGGGGGGCCTGCCCATGGCCCCCAAAGGCTGGGCTCCCAGGTAACCCCTGAAAGCTGCTGGGTTCCCCGGAAAGGTCGCCTCTCTTGACTGACGGATGGCTCAAAAGTGCAAAAAGAATGTTATTTCATATTTATTCTTTACATTTCTAGAATTTCACTTCCAGAAGGCATGAAAACAAACTTTAAAGCTCCGTTTTGCAATGTGGCAATTCCTCAAAGAGTTAAAAACAGAACTATCATTCGACCCAGCAATCCCATTATTGGGTATACACCCAGAGGAGTATAAATCATTCTACTATAAAGATACATGCATGCAAATGTTCACTGTAGCACTATTCACAATAGTAAAAAGTGGGTCAACCTAAATGCCCATCAATGACAGATTGGATAAAGAAAACGTGGTATATATACACCAAGGAATACTATGAAGCCATAAAAAGAAATGAGATCATGTCTTTTGCGTGAACACGGGTAGAGCTAGAGGCCGTTATCCTTAGCAAACTAATGCAGGAACAGAAAACCAAATACTGCCCTTATAAGTAGGAGCTAAATGATGAGAACTCATGGGCTCAAAGAAGGAAACAATAGGCTCAAGCCTGTAATCCCAGCACTTTGGGAGGCTGAGGCAGGCAAATCACCTGAGGTCAAGAGTTCAAGACCAGCCTAGCCAACATGGTGAAACCCCATCTCTACCAAAAGTACAAAAAAAAATTTAGCCTGGTGTGGTGGTACATGCTACCTGGGAAGCTGAGCAGGAGAACTGCTTGAACCTGGGAGGCAGAGGTTGCAGTGAGCAGATATTGCACCACTGCACTCAAGCCTGGGCAACAGAGCGAGACTTCATCTCAAAAAAAAAAAGAAGGGAAGAACAGACAATGGGGCCTACTTGAGGGTAGAGGGTAGGAGAAGGGAGAGGAGCAGAAGAAATAACTATTCAGTACTAGGCTTAATACCTGGGTGACAAAATAATCTCCACAACAGTTACATAGGTAAACCGTGACATAAGTTTATCTATAGATCAAACCTGCGCATGTACACCCAAGCCTAAAATAAAAATTAAAACAAACAAACAAAAAAGCTGTGCTTGTTTGTGAATGTGAGGTAGCTAAGAGGCCATTTAGCTCCTTTTTTTTTTTTTTGACACTTATCTCCTTTTTTTTTTTTTTTTGACACGAAGTCTCACTCTGTTGCCGAGGTTGGAGTCCAGTGGCATGATCTGAACTCACCACAAACTCTGCCTCCTGGGTTCAAGCGATTCTCTTGCCTCAGCCTCCTGAGTAGCTGGGATTACAGGTGCCCGCCACCATGTCCAGCTAATTTTTGTATTTTTAGTAGAGATGGGGTTTCACCATGTTGTCCAAGCTGGTCTCAAACTCCTGACCTCAGGCGATCCAGCTGCCTCAGCCTCCCAAAGTGCTGGGATTACAGGCATGAGCCACTGTGCCTGGCCTATCTCCATTTTAGTAGATACTTTTCCATACTGTATACGTGAGGAAGGCAACTACTATGACTAAAACCCAAATTATAGTTTAATTAAAATAAATTAAAAATTTGATATTTTTGCCAGGCACGGTGGCTCATGCTTGTAGTCCCAGCACTTTGGGAGGCCAAGGTGGGTGGTTCATCTGAGGTCAGGAGTTCAAGACCAGCCTGGCCAACATGGTAAAACCCCATTTCTACTAAAAATATAAAAATTAGCCAGGTGTGGTGGCACATGCCTGTAATTCCAGCTACTCGGGAGGCTGAGGCATGGGAATTGCTTGAACCTGGGAGGTGGAAGTTGCAGTGAGCTGAGATCACACAACTGCACTCCAGCCCGGGTGACAGAGCAAGACTCTTCCTCAAAAACAAAAAATAAAAATAAAAAATTGATATTTTAACAAACATAAATGGAAAAGAAAAAAAACCCAAATACAGGTACAAAATTTATTCAAAGATTCATTGTAGTTTTCTGCATTTTACTATTATCTACGGCAACCATATACTAGACTTATAATTTTAAAAGTTATCAGGCTGGGTGCGTTGGCTCACGCCTGTAATCCCAACACTTTGGGAGGCCAAGGAGGGTGGACATTTGAGGTCAGGAGTTCGAGACCAGTCTGGCCAACATGGCGAAACCCTGTCTCTACTAAAAATAAAAGTTAGTTGGGCAGGGTGGCGCACGCCTGTAATCCCAGCTACTCGGGAGGCTGAGGCAGGAGAATCGCTTGAACTTGGGAGGCAGAGGTTGTGGTAAGGTGAGATCACACCACTGCACTCCAGCCTGGGTGACTGAGACTCTGTCTCAAAAAAAAAAAGTTATCGGCCAGGCGTGGTGGCTCACACATGTAATCCCAGCGCTATGGGAGGCCGAGACAGGCGGATCATGAGGTCAGGAGATCGAGACCATCCTGGCTAACACGGTGAAACCCCATCTCTACTAAAAATACAAAAAAATTAGCCGGGTGTGGTGGCGGGCACCTGTAGTCCCAGCTACTCGGGAGGCTGAGGCAGGAGAATGGCGTGAACCCAGGAGGCGGAGCTTGCAGTGAGCCGAGATTGCACCACTGCACTCCAGCCTGGGTGACTGAGCGAGACTCCATCTCAAAAAAAAAAAAAAGTTATCACATAGTTGCACAACTTTGTGAATACACTAAAAACCAATGAACTGTATACTTCAAATGGGTGAAATGTATGGTATGTGAATTATCTCAATAAAGCTACTAAAAAACATTATTTAAAAAGAATTCTTCTACATCTAAGGCCTGAGCAGGACTTGCTTTAACGCAACACCCCTGCAGCAGCATAACGTGGTCTATTTATTGCTGGACCAGGAACAGGCAACTCTGGGGAGGGTATGTGCTCATCGAGGCCACGCCATCTGCAGAGGTTCTGTTAAGAGCCTAGGGCTCCCCTTGGGTTAGCCCCCATTGAAGGGCCATTGTCAGTGCCCCCTCCTCAAAGGAGCCTGACTGCTGCTCTCGACTCACGGGGGCTTCCTAAAGGAAGGGCTACTTGTTCCCGATGGAGAGCTCAATGCCATTAGCATTTCTGTATACTTCTTCAAGATTTCGAATGCTACTTACCATTTCTGTGCAGCTTGTTATCACCCAAATGACTGGTTTTGGAGTCAGCGTTAACATTCCAATGCCTTACACACTTGCTGGTTTCCTTATGAAATTCAGTGTTTATGTTCTGCACCCAGTTAACTAATGTATTTGGCTACCTGAGAGTTGAGCATATTCTGTTTTAGTATCTTTTCTCCTACCACAAACCCAAAGGCTGGAATCCTGTATTTTGCTATCACTTCTACTCCTACTTGATTTGATACAATTCTCGAGTTAAAGAAGAAATACCTTTGGTCTCAACAACAAACTTCATAGGAGATCCTTAATCAGTTAAGCTTCTAATAGAAAAGCAGATAGGAACCAGGAGCCAGAAACTTGTCTTAAGACTGAGGCTCATCAGGACTTTACAAGAGAATCACATATTAGTACCATATTTGAGTCTGTCATTTTCTCTAACATTCTTTCCTTACCCCCAGAACAAGTCCACTGATTGTCTTAGACAGAGCAGGGATTTTTTTTTTTTTTTTTTTTTTTGAGACAAAGTTTCGCTCTTGTTGCTCAGGCTGGAGCGCAATGGTGCAATCTTGGCTCACTGCAACCTCCGCCTCCCGGGTTCAAGCGATCCTCCTGCCTCAGCCTCCTGAGTAGCTGGAATTACAGGTGCCTGCCAACATGCCCAGCTAATTTTTATATTTTTAGTAAAGATGGGGTTTCACCATGTTGACCAGGCTGGTCTTGAACTCCTGACCTCAGGTGATCCATCCACCTCAGCCTCCCAAAGTGCTGGGATTACAGGTGTGAGCCACCACGCCCGACCCCAATTTTTTTTTTTTTTAAAGAGAGAGGATCTTCCTAGGTTGCCCAGGCTGGAGTGCAGTGGCTATTCACAGGCATGATCACAGCACATTGCTGCCTTCAAATCCTAGCCTCAAGCGATACTCCAGCCTCAGTCTTCTGAGTAGCTAGGACTACAGGCACACAACACCATGCCTGGCTAATTTATTAAAAATTATTTGTAGCGACAAGGTCTTGCTATGCTGTCCAGGCTGGTCTTGAATTCCTGGCCCCAAGTGATCCTCCTGCTTTGACCTCCCAAAATGTTGGGATTACAGGTGTGAGCCACAGCACCCAGCCTGGAGCAGGAATTTTTAATTCTCAACTTCGCAGATGAGGACACTGAAAGAAGTTAAAGGTCACAGATGCAGGAAGGGGCAGAAGAAGAATGCCACCCCAGCTCCTTTCCACTGCCCCATCCAGCACAGCACTCTGTCCAAATACTGCTGGATCATCAGACCATGAGAGCTGACAAAGGCCAGAGGCCCCCTGCAGCTAGGTCCAGCCTGGGCATTCCCAGCATTCGGAGGGCCAGTCCAGCTACCTCCTTCCACTTCCTGTTTCCTTGCTAATGGAAAAGAAAGGATGCTCCTCCTTGCTTTCTAAAGTCCCAGGAGTTCTGAGGTTTAAAAACTTGGTTCAAAGAAAATAAAATACTCTGCACAGCAGGTACTTCTGCTGGAAACTAGATGGTCACTTCCCCTTTTTTTTCTTTCTTTTTTTTTTTTTTTGAGACAGGGTCTTGCTCTGTTGCCCAGGTTGGAGTGCATGGTGATCTTGGCTCACTGCAACCTCTGCCTCTCTGGTTCAAGTGATTCTCTGTGCCTCAGACTCCCAAGTACCTGGAACTACAGGTCTGTGCCACCATGCCCGGCTAATTTTTTTTTTTTATGTTTAGTAGAGATGGGGTTTCACCATGTTGGCCAGGCTGGTCTCCCTACCTCAAGTGATCTGCACACCTCAGGCTCCCAAAGTGTTGCGATTACAGGCATGAGCCACCGCGACCAGTCAGTAACTTTTCATTGTTCCAATTAACTAAGAGGCTTAAAGAACTTAAAAGCTCATTTTTTATAGGACTGATGCTTATCTCAGAAACTGTTAAACTTATGATGAGGGTGGCAGCTATATTCTTATTATTTTTTCCCCCAAAAAGGATTAAAAATAAAATCAATAGTGTTGGTTGTGACAATTATGATGTACTTATAAACTTTTCTTTAAAACATTTGTGAATCTGTACACTTCTCAACAGGACACACTGAAACTGCCTGTTTTATGTTCCCTATACAGTAGCAATGCTCAGGAGTAGTCTGCTTTAATTAGGCCTCAAGGAGTTGAGACCGCCTGCCCTGAACCCCAATGAGCCTGTGGAGCACACCACAGACTTTCTAGTGCTGGTTTGTGTGAGCAAGTGCTTACCTCAGTAAGGCCTTTAATCTTCAAGTACCCACAAAGGTAAGAGTTCCCCGTGTCCACGTGCTGAAAAGAAAGGATACACAGCCTGTCACAAATAGATAAACTTACTAGGGGACATGCAGGAGGGTACTCTGCAAATCCTGTGAGGCCAGACTGGTGGTCAGTGAACACCCAGGGCAGTCCAAGGCTCACCCAGTCTCTGGAATCTTGATAAGTTCTCCCCACACACATGCCTGTTCTGCCAAAGCAAACTGATCCCAAGACCCTCTCAACTTTCTTCAGCTGAATATCATGAGACTGAAGTGTCTTTCTGAAATGGGGTGCCCACTCAAATTCATTTTCTGTACTATCTTCAACACACGTCTCCCGGTCATCTAGAGACCTTGAGCATTGCTGGGCACAGGGCCTCTGTCTCTGCCTGTACACGTGGTGTCATCCCTAACCTCAGGCTTGACTTTCTTTCTAATGTCTTTCAAGCCTTTTTCTATTTCTGTATTGCTCAATCATTGGTCTAGGAGGTCTGCTCCTCTTCTAGTTTTTACACTAAACATCATCCTGCATTATCTCTTTATGAAATGGGCAGACTGTTCAGAAATGGCATCTTATAAAGATTTATGTGGTATAAACTTCAGTTATGAACCAAAATGCCAACCAAAAGTCTGACTATATTGTGAATGTTCACTCTGTGCATTTTATATATGGATGCTGTGTTTCTTAATGAAAAGAGTCAGGAGCCTAAAATAAATAGAAATAACAGGCATAGTAGACTTTGAGGTTTAGCAGTCACCAATTACTGGTTGCTGAGACACTGCCGGATGCCTACCCAACAAACAATTTCCTCCTTTTTCACGCTGGCAGGGTCCAGTTTTTGCTCTGGTACCTACCTACCACGTAAGACTTGGTCAACCTGATGGATCTAAGGCACACAGGTGTCCCTATCCCCTTGCAAGTCATGTATTTAGGGGTGAGTGACCCATTTCTGGCTCATCAGATGTGTAAGTCTCCTGAGTGCATCTGTGAAAAATCCCTGGCTTTTGAAGAGGCGCATGAGGAAGAAATGGCTTTTTTGTCCCCTAGTGGTGACAGTATCCGCATGGAGTGTCCAGTCCTGGGGGAGACATCTAGACCACAGGGGAGAAACAGGCCAGGAAATGCTGAGGATGGTAGTTAGAAAGATGGAAAAAACTGGGCCCATCGTAGGCCTCTGAATTAACCAACCTGAAGCCACGTCACCTCAAAAATCCTCCTGATGTGAGATTTCACCCAAATCTATACAGACTCATTCTGAATAGGGAGTTTCAGATTTCATGACAATTGGATTCACTTACAAGGTAAATCCTTGAATTAAAGCAAACCAAGTACAAGGGTACCTGTGGTACACTGAGATTTTAATGTTAAGTGAGGTCTTATTTCAAGAAATTAGAATAGTTTTGTGGCATTTATCAGATTTGTGAACCTGATTACTTCCAATTATACCATAAATCAAATACTAAGCCATGCTTAAAAACTGTAATGAACTTAGTCAACCAGATGATGTCAGCACCAAAGCAAATGAACTTCAATGAAGCCAAAGTGCCTTCACAGTTTGGTGCTGGTGACAAAGGTATTCCCTGTGAAAACTGCCAAAGCATTTTAAATATCCTCATCTGCTGACCTTGGCACTGGACATTATCTAAAACAGCTAATCCACGCTAACATGGTTCAGCAAAGAACTTTTATTAAAGGACACATAATTCTAACCTGAGTCTTTAAATTTCATGTATGCAATTCTCATTGAATTCAATATAGTTTGGAGTTTCACAGCTGCTGAAAAGTGTATCAGGTGGCAAGGATACTTGCTAATAAGATTAAAAATTGAAATGTAAATTGGCTAACATTTTGCATGGATTATCACATGCTCAAGAATCAGAATTTCAGCTTGGCCTCCATTCAACCAAGCGTCTCTCTACTCTGCCCAAATTGATCTTGATAATGGTTGGTGAACTCAAATACACCACAACGCATACAGCTTTTACCAAACGGCAGGCGAGCATCTCAAGAAAGATAACAGGGCACGTGTTTAGCAAGAAGGTGTCACAGCACAGCTGTGTCCAACGGCTGTTCTTTTAAATATTCCTTTCACAGCGACCAGGGCTCCCTTCTACTGCTGGCTTCTTAGATGGCAGAGGAGGAAAGAGGAGTCACAGTAAGTGCGGGGTGGAGAGGAGACCCAGTCAGAAACTCACAAAGGTTTGAGGAACTCTTTACACTAGAATCACAGAAAAGAAAGTACTCCAAAACAACAACAACAACAAAAACACAAGAAAAGATGCACAACAGCACAGTCATTATAGAAATTCAAATCAAGACTACAGTGAGAGACCACTTCAAAAACACTAGGATGGCTACAACAAAAAAGATGAACAGTGAGTGTTGGCGGGGATGTGGAGAAACTGGAACCCTCACCCACTGCTGGTGGAAATGTAAAACAATGCAGGGCCAGTTTCTCAAAATGTTAAAACCCAGTTACCATGTGACCCAGCAATTGCACTCCCAGGTAGTTATCTACCAAAGTGAAATATACATCCACATAAAAACTTGTACATAAATGTTCATAGCAGTATTATTCATAGTAGCCAGAAGTGGAAACAACCCAAATGTCCATCAACTGATCACTGTATAAACAAAATGTTGTATATCCATTCAATGGACAATTGTTACAATGAACAATGCAAAATAAAAAGGAATATAAGTGCTGATACATATTACCATATGGATGAACCTTGAGGACATTATGCTAAGTGAAGGAAGCCAATCTCAAAAGGACAAATACTATGTGATTATATGAAATGTCCAGAATAGACAAACAACAACAAAAATAGATGAGCAGTTGCCTAGGATTGGAGTGGGGGTTATGGCTAAGGGTTACATACAAGGTTTCCTTTTGGGGTGATGAAAATATTCTAAAATTAGGTTGTGGTGGTGGTTAAACAACTGTGAATATACTAAAAACTATTGAATTGTACACCTTAAATAAGTGAATTCTATCTAAATAAAGATACAAAAAGAAAGAAAGAAAACAAAACAAAACAAACAAAAAGAAGCTGAGTTATAAAAGGCAGAAGTATTTTAAGTCTAAGAAGGCTGTGTCTGACAAACTAGTCCTGGCTGAAAAACCAGATGATGGGGCAATTCACATGCCACTGACTAGTCGTGATGATGACCAAGCAGCTCACCAATCCAGATGTAGGGCAGCATTCATTGGCATGACCACCACCCCCACCATCAGACATCTTACTCAAGTGGCTCCCAGCCATCCACCAGGTTTCTGCTCTGGGCTGCCTGAGACCTATCAGCCCTGCCCCAACTCAACCACTGCTTCCCCTGGTTCATGATTCTCCTTCTGAAAGGAGCTCAGAAGTGATACCCTAATGACAGAAGGGAGCAGCAGTTGCTGCAGTAGCCAAAGCAGACTCCCCTTTGACGCCTGGCTATCTTGCCAATTGTCCCCTACTACATCAGAAACCATCAAACTGAACAACAGGGACAAATCCAAGATCATCCCAAACGTGACCCACCCAGGGATCTCACCTCCAGAATTCTATGACTAGGTGCAAAACAAACCGAAAAACCCCTGTACCTTCATACTCGACTCTCACATTTTAAGAAGAGGATCACTACATTAGGCATACAGTTATGAAGACAAAAATATTTCAGCCACAATCGTATTTCCATTATAATAACTATCGTGGCTCATGATAGAACTTTACAGCCCAAAGATATGATTAACATGACGATGCTGTTTCAAGTAAGCAGAGAAAATGATTTATTCCCACAAAGCAGTATGAGAATAAAAGAGTGATGAGTGCTCCGCAGTTAGCAGAAAGAAAAGGCACCCTCATTGTCTTTTGGATGGGAGACCTACTCTTCAGAAGTGAAACTAAGATTTGTTTTAAATGACCAAAAGGAGAGCTTGAGGAATAAATATACTGTACATTCCACCCTCACACCCCGGGGGGTGGGGCGGGGGGGAGGCAGTGGGGCAGCACACAGTGCCTTTCAGAGGGACAGGTGTTTGGAGGGGCTTCTGGGAACAGCCTGGCAGATGAGGTGTCAGACTAAGGAAAAAAAGGGCAAAGGGAAGGGGAAAGGGGTCCTTAGTCAGGCAGGGGTAGGTATAGAGGAGGAAGAGTTTTGTGGGGAGGGGAGATAAAAGAGTATTCACCACTGCCACTCCATTTCAGCTGGCAAAAAGTGTCAAGCCTGAGAGGAGTGAGGTGTGGGAAAGGCCCAGACAAGTGAAGCTGTACTTCCGAAGCTGATCAGGGACTGGCAGCAGGTATTCAGGAATCCAGGTCAAATGGGGGGAGGCGACTGGACATGAACTAAAATTGGGTGAGTTAGATTTCCCAGTACATGGGTACCAGAGACTAAGAGGAAGCCCTGTGCCTGTGTAGAGAAAAGTTAAGAACAGGAAAGAGGGTCCCCTGGAACCAGGATCGAGCAAGACGAAGGTATGGGGTGGGGAAGTCTGGATAGAGGCCAGGAAGACTGGGAAAAGACTGCAAATGGTCCCAGAGCAGGGGCAGGAGGCCTGGGGGTGGAGAAGCTGGAAGGAGCTGGGTGCCTGGACCATGAAGAGACAGAAGCAGTGAGTGGAACAGGGGACCCAGGAGGCAACATCCCAACAGACTGTGAGCAGCACTCAGGGAGTGAGTGCCTGGTCTTGAGGTGAGGCCAGGGCCTGACCAATCAGTTGCGGGTTAGGTGCTCCCCCGTCTGGGGGTCTGATGAAGCCCTCCTAAGGAGATCTCAGGAGGAGGAAGACCCCAAGGTCTGCGGATTCCTGGAACTGAGGAAGGGGCAGGAGGACATGTCTCAGGTCTGAGAGAATCTGACGTGGGCCCAGACATGGGGAGGGTCCCAAGTCTGGTGAAACCAATGGAGAGTTCTTCAGGGTCTGAAAAGGGCTGGTGGCAGTCCCTGATCTAGGGACGACAGGTCATGGGGAGGAAGGACCCAGGCCTTCTCCGAGTCATGAGGGGCTTCCGGATCCCAGACGGGCCGGTCACGGGCTTCAAGTCTGGGAGTGTTCGGGGTCCGCCAGGAGCCGGTCACGACGGGCTCTGGGTCCGAAGGGGCAGGTCAGGGCTGGGGCTCGGAGAGTGTGAGACACAGGCTGGGAAGGTCCCGGGTGGGAAGCGCCGGGTGCAGGAGGCCCCGGCGGCGAGGGCCTGTTCCGCGGCTGCGGGGTCGAGGAGCCGAAGCGGGCACGGCCCGTGAGCGCCGCGAGGAGGCCCTCGGGCCCCGGCCCGGCCCGGCGCTCACCTGCAGCACCACCTCTACGTCGTACGAGTTCCCCTTGCTCTTCTGGTGGCCGCGGAACTTGGAGCCGCTGTAGAGCAGGCTGGTGGCCACGCCGGGCTGCTGGGTGTTGATGGGCGGCGGCGGGATGAGTGAGGCCGCGGAGGCAGCGGAGGCACCGGCCGGCGGGGGACACTCGGTGCGGACCGGCATCGCGGGGTCCCCCGGAGCCAGGGCTGGGGGGAGTGGGAGAGGAACCGCCGCCGCCGCGCGGGAGCCGAGGAGGGTGGCGGGGAGGGAGAGGCCGGGGCGCGCACGCGCGGGGTGGGGGCGGGAGGGGCGACCACCCGCCCGCTGCCTGCGGAGCAAGCGCTCCGGCCGCCACCGGGACCCAGGGACCTGCGAGCAGGGCCTCCCAGTCCTGAGCTGGGTCCCCCTCCCGACTTGCCCTCGCGCACACATACACACACACAGACACTCACAGACACACAACACACAAACACACACAGACACACACACACCCCGCCCCTTCCGATTGGCTCAGGCGAGCCTGGGGGGCGGGAGCAGGCTCAGGCGGCGCTTCCGCCCATTGGCGGGAGGAGAAAACACGTGGCGCGGTGCGCGAGCGGCCCGCTGGGACTTGTAGTCTCCTCGCCGAGGCGCGGCGTGGAGGGGGCGGGGCGAGGTGCGTTTGTGATGCTGATTGACTGGGGGTGTGCGCAGGAGGCGCGCGGCGGCGACGGCGCGCCGTAGGTGTCATGCGGAAGATGGCGGCGTCCAAGGGAGGTTGAGGGCTCTGAGGAGGCGTTGAGAGGTTTCCGTACAGCCCGACCGTGCGGCTTTGGGGATCCCATCGCTCTGTGTTTCCTGCTCCAGGTTTCGCGTCTCGCATCTTCCCAGACCCTCGGGCGCGATGTGGAGGAGCTGCCTCCGGCTGCGGGACGGGGGACGCCGTCTCCTGAATCGGCCGGCGGGTGGCCCCAGCGCTTCTATGAGTCCGGGGCCAACCATCCCGTCTCCAGCCCGGGCTTACGCCCCGCCGACAGGTAAGACCATGACATGTTCTTTTGGGTTGGGGCCGAGCTGGGGTAAGGTGGGCTTCGGGCTTCGGCTGTGCAAAGCGAAGTAACTGAGGCAGGGTTCAGGCTCATGAGGTTATGCAGGCCAGTCAGGTCTTTTTACAGATGAGAAAGTGAAGCCCAGACAAGGGCAGACGACCCGAGAGGGAACAGCGAGTCACGCACGATACAGTAATTGATATTTGGCCTGTGCAGGTTTTCTCAAAGCTTATGGCTGCCCTCCCTTTAATAAGGAAAGCAGGTGTCATCTTTGTTTTCAAAAGGGGAAGTTTGGGCTCTGAATCAGGACTTCGTCTGGGTTACAGGCAGACTCTCTCAGAGGTTTGTGGTGTCTGTCTGACTGTTTTCCGTGTCTCCACTGCCCAACACAAGACCTGCCCAGAAGGGACCTAGAACCTGGGCCTTCATTCCTCCATCCCGGGCACTTCTGCTGCAGGTTTCCTGACTTTCCCTCCTACCACAACCTCTGCCATCTGCAGCCTTCTCTCCTAAATAGAAATTGACACCTCCACCTCTGACTGTGGAGTCACCTCCACCTCCAACTCTGATGAAGCTTAGAAGTAGTGGCTCTTTCATTGCTGATGGTGAGTGGTGTCAGGGTAAGAGTGAGAATGACTCATTTCAGTGAATGAAGAGCAGTAACACCCTCCCACCATTCAATTAGTTTTATTGTGCTGGAGGCAGGAGGCACGGTTGTCTTTAAGACCCACCTGTATGTATTGGTAGAGAAGCTCAATTAAAGAAGAAAAAGGCCCACCTGAATGATGTTCACTGTTCATTGCAAAAGGTTATAATATTCTGATTAAATTGTGGTTTATAATATCCTGATAAGGGACATACAAAGAAACTGTGAGAACACAGAGAATCGCTTACTCCCATCTTGGGGATGTTCAGGGTTTAGAATGGGTCTTGGGTGAAAGGGCGTTTGTTTAAGCTGAGCCATGATAGATGAGTAGGAGTTCAGCAAAAAGGTGGGAGAGTGTTGGGTATCTAGAACGTGTCCAGGGTGACAGCAAGGTATGAGGGACTTTTCCCTGACACTGCCTGTTTTAGAAAATCCAGAACTTCACAGGCAGTTTGGCATTGTGGCAGGAGTGCAAATCTAGGATCTGATGCTGGCTGAACCTCTGAGGTCTGTGTGATCTTGGGCATGCAACTACTTCCTCATTTTTCTCCATGCGTTGAAGTACTAGGTTGCCTTTGAGGATCTTTCTGGCTGTCAAGTTCTTTTTTTTTCTTCTTCTTCTGTTTTTTTGTGTTTTTTTGAGACGGAGTCTCCTCTGTCACAGAGGCTGGAGTGCAGTGGCACCATCTCGGCTCACTGCAACCTCCGCCTCCCAGATTCAAGCGATTTTGTGGTCTCAGCCTCCCAAGTAGGTGGGACTACAGGCGTCTGCCACCATGCCCTGCTAATTTTTGTATTTTTAGTAGAGATGGGGTTTATATTGACTAGGCTGGTCTCGAACTCCTGACTTTGTGACCCGCCCACCTCGGCCTCCCAAAGTGCTGGGATTACAGGCGTGAGCCACCGCGCCCAGCCAAGTTCTATAACTTTATAGAAATGGGGAAGGGGGCTGGATGCAGCAGGGAGCTGAAGTTTCACCTGCAGGACTCAGGGGAAGGGCCTGGAAATGGGCCATGAAGGGCCAGTAAAGAAGAGAAAGGAAGGGCATCCCAGGGAGGCATAGCAAAGGGGACACATTCAGGAGTTCACCAAGTTGGCAAAAAGCAAAGGGTTAATTAATTTATTTATTTACGTATTTATTTATTTATTTTGAGATGGAGTTTTACACTTGTCACCCAGGCTGGCATGCAATGGTGTGATCTTGGCTCACTGCAACCTCTACCTCCCAGATTCAAGCAATTCTCCTGCCTCAGCCTCCCAAGTAGCTGGGATTACAGGTGTCCGCCACCACACGTGGCTAATTTTGTATTTTTAGTAGAGATGGGGTTTCACCATGTTGGCCACACTGGTCATGAACTCCTGACCTCAGGTGATCCTCCCGCCTCAGCCTCCCAAATGCTGGGATTACAGGCGTGAGCCACCATGCCTGACCACAAAGGGTTAATTTAGATTTGTGGATGCTCACTTTACATAATGGTGGCACTTGATCTACTGCCTTCTTTTCCTTTTTAAAAAGCCTAAACTTACTAGTTAGGCTCTTGGAAGTACCTGGCACATGGTAGGTAGTCAAATGTGAAAGAAAATAGGAATGAATGAATGAGAAGGGAGGTGCATAAATCAGGCCCATGCATGCTTTTTTTTTTTTTTGAGACAGAGTCTTGCACTGTCACCCAGGCTGGAGTGCAGTGGCGCAATCTTGGCTCACTGTAAGCTCCGCCTCCCGGGTTCACGCCATTCTCCTGCCTCAGCGTCCCGAGTAGCTGGGACTACAGGTGCCCACCACCACACCTGGCTAATTTTTTTGTATTGTCAGTAGAGACGGAGTTTCACCATGTTAGTCTGGATGGTCTCGATCTCCTGACCTCATGATCCACCCTCCTCAGCCTTCCAGAGTGCTGGGATTACAGGCATGAGCCACCGCGCCCGGCCCCCGACCCCCACGTGTTCTCTCTAAAGACCTTACCAGTTGTGAGATATTTGTGCGTATTTGAAGTAGTAGAAGATTAAACCGCAGTGGGTTCTTCTCAATGAACACTTCAGTCAGCAAGCTGATTGAACTTGGCCACTTAGGAATGGCCATGCCATTGAAGGTTATCAGAAGGAGAGGAGGAGTTTACGAAAGGGTCACTGAGGTGTTGGAGAAGGAGATATTGCAACAAGAAGACCTATATGAGGTTGTTGTGGCAGTTTAGTTCTGCACCAGCTTATCAGAGGTCTATTGACTCCCAGAGTGGCAGGTGTTCTGGAGAAACCTATCTATTCAGCGTATCTGGCTGAATGCAACTGCCTGATGAAGTCAAGGCTAGAAGTCTTGTCTCTGCTATTTACCAGTTGTCTGTCACCAAGACAAGATGTTTAGCTTCTCTATCACCTCCGAGGCATTAGCTGCCTTGTCATCCTCATAGAATAGTGGTGTGGATTGAGGGAGATTATGTAGTCTGTAGATCAGGGTCCAGCCTGCCACCTGTTTTTGTAAATAGAGTTTTATTGGAACACAGCCACATGCATTCATTTACATATCATCTATGGCTACTTTCACTACAGTGGCAGAGTTGAATAGTTGGAACAGATATTGTATGGCTTGCAAAGCTTAGAATATTTACTATCTGATTCTTTGCAGAAAAAGTTTGCTAAATGTTATACATTTGGCCTGAAGGATTTTTTTAACAGCTTTATTGAGATATTTACTTGCTATACAATTCATTTACTTGAAGTGTAAATATAATAGTTTTTAGTATATTTACAGAATTGTACAGCCATTGCCACAATCAATTTTAGAACATTTTTATCACCCTTAAAAGAAACCTGCACCCTTTAGCTATCATCCACCCTTACTACTTCCATCCCTTGGCAACTACTACTTTCCTTTGTTCTTTTATAGATTTCCCTGTTTGGGACATTTTATATAAATAGAATGTGGTCTTTTTTGACTGACTTTTTCACTTAGCATAATGTTTTAAAGTTTGGGTTTTTTTTGTTTTTTTTTGTTTTTAAGAGATTGGGTCTCATTCTGTTGCCCAGGCTGGAGTGTAGTGGCACGATCACAGCTCACTGTAACCTCAAACTCCTGGGCTCAAGTGATCCTCCTGCCTCAGCCTCCCAAGTAGCTAGGGCTACAGGCACACACCACCATGCCCGGCTAGCTTTTTAGTGCTTTGTAGAGATGGGGTCTTGCTCAGGCTGACCTCAAACTCCTGGCCTCAAGTGATCCTCCTGCTTCGGCCTTCCAGAGTGCTGGGATTACAGGAGTGAGCCACCATGACCAAACGTTTTTAAGTTTTATCCACCTTGTATCATGTATCAATGACTCCATTCTTCTTTATTGCCAAACAATATTCCATTGTATGTGTAAATATGCCACATTTTACTTATCCATTCATCCATTGGTGGACACAGGGTCGTTTCTACCTTTTGGCTAATATGAATAACGCTACTATGAACATTCATGTACAAGTTTTTGTGTGGACATATGTTTTCATTTCTCTTGGACATATACCTAAGAGTAGAATTACTGGGTCAAATGGTAACTCTGTTTAACTTTTGGAGGATCTGCCAGACTGTTTTTCAAGGTGGCTGTGCCATTTCACATTTCCACCAGCAGTGTTTGAGGGGTCCAGTTTCTCTATATCTCAACACTTGTTGTTGTCTTTTTTATTACAGCTGTCCTAAAGGGTTTGAAGTGGTATCTCATTGTGGTTTTGATTTGCATTTCTCTGATGAATTATGTTGAGTATCTTTTCACGTGCTTAATGGCTATTTGTATATTTTCTTTGAAGAAACGTCTATTCAGATCCCTTGACCATTGTTTTTTTTTAAAGAGAGGGGGTCTTGCTCTGTCACCCAGGTTGTAGTGCAAGTGGCTCAGTTACAGCTTACTGCAGCCTCAACCTCCTGGGCTCAAGCGAGCCTCACACCTCAGCCTCCAAAGTAGCTGGGAACTACAGGTGTGTGCCACCATGCCCAGCTGACTTTAAAATTTTTTTGTACAGACAGGGTCTTGCTATGTTGCCCAGGCTGGTCTCAAACTCCTGGACTCAAGCAATCTTCCCACCTCGGTCTCTCAGACTTGAACATTTTTAAATTGGGTTATTTGTTGTTGTTTTTGAGACAGGGCCTCGGTCTGTTGCCTAGGCTAGAGTGCAGGGGTGTGTTCATGGCTCACTGCAGCCTCAACCTCCCAGGCTCAGGTGATCCTCCCATGTCAGCCTCCTGAGTAGCTGGGACTACAGGCACGTGCCACCATGCCTGGCTAATTTTTGTATTTTTGTAGAGACAGGGTGTTGCCATGTTGCTCAGGCTGGTCTTGAACTCTTGGACTCAAGTGATCCACCTGCCTCAGCCAGCCAAAGTGCTGGGATTACAAGCTCGAGCCACCATGCCCAGCCTATTTGTCTTTTTGTTATTGAGTCGTAAGAGTTCTTTATGTATTTGGGCTGAAGAATTTTGATACCTGAAAAGAGTTGGTTAGAGCCGCCCTAGGATTACAGATGGCCCTGGAGTTAGAATTTCACCTTTAAGGTTTAAGGCCCACCAGATGGCACTGTTTTAAAAGATAAAGGCACTGAGACAGCTCTGAAACCAGTACTTCCTCTTCTTGGTGCACTGTGGGAGTTGTGGTTCCTGAGGCTGGTAATCTTTCTAAAGGAAAGGCCAGTTCTGCATGATCCTACAAAGCTAGGCTGATTTTTTTCATCTTTAAAGACAGGGTTACCATTGATGTCTGCTAACCATGTATTCACCGAGAACATGGAAGCTTCATAGGTTTCTGGTGGTCTCACATTTTGTCTTATGTGACATTGTTGGGGAACATGGATCCCCCAAACGAATTGTCCAGATCATGTTCTTTTTTTTTTTTTTTTTTGAGACAGAGTCTCATTCTGTCACCCTGGTTGGGGTGCAGTGGCGCAATCTTGGTTCACTACAACCTCCGCCTCCTGGGTTCAACTGATTTTCAGCCTCCTGAGTAGCTGGTATTACAGGCAGGCAATACCACACCTCGCCAATTTTTTAATTTTTTGTAGAGACAGGGTTTCACCATGTTGGCCAGGCTGCTCTTGAGCTCCTGGCTTTAAGTGATCTGTCCCCCTCGGCCTCACAAAGTTCTGGGATTACAGGCATGAGCCACCATGCCCGGCCCCAGATCAAGTTCCTGTATGCCTGTGTGGAGCCTTTACTTGGCTCCCTTTGCTGTCTTTGCAGTGATCTACATGTCCCCCATATGTGGCCCCATTGCCCTCTCTAGCATCTTAGAGAATCTTGCATTCTCCTTCTGACCATCTGTCTAGTCCACAACTGCTCTCTAGAAACCCTGGTCCTTCATGCAACCTGTTTCTTCATCTGGAAACTACTTCCACAGCCCTGCTCTGCCAAAAAAAAAAAAAAAAAATTGAATCAATCAGAAAGTTTGGTACCTCCTGCCTCACCTTCAAGTTGCAATTTAATTCTGACTAATCGTTCCACGTGCCTGCCCCATCACAGAAGTCACCTTATTGTTTGCCTGGTTTAGTGTCTGTATTCCTACTAGACAGTAAATGGCTGGAGAGTGCAGAGATGAGCTTTGCACATGTCCCATCCCCAGGACTTGTATGTCCTGGAACATGATCAGTACTCACCAAAGCTTGTTCCAAGACACGTTTGCCCCTCCAAGTGTCAGTGGGTCATTCAGGAGAGCCCCTGGCTAAAACACATCTATGTGCACCTGCCTTCTAATCTGAGGCCTGGCGGCCCCTGGGCTTCTTTTGCCCTTCTGCCGTCTCATTTTCTGCATGGTTTTCTTCTGCTTGGAGAAATTTTTGGTGGCTTCTTCCCTGCCCTCCATCTATCCCACTCCCATCTAGTTTTTTCTTATTCAGTTACAGAAGTGAGCCTGGCCAACAAAACAGAAAAAAGACTTCCCTCTTGGGAAACCTGGCTGTCCCAGGAGCTTTTGAAGGTTCAGCCCTGTGCTGGCAGTTCCTGCCTTGAGTCTGTTCGTCTGCCCCAGGTCTCTTGGGTTCACTTCCCAGACCGGGCCTGGAAGTATGCTAGAGTGCTCACTCTTGTACATTTGTACACTCTGCTGGCTCTTCCTGCTGACATGGGAAGACCCTTTCCCCAGTGTTGAGTCAGAGCTTTCAGAGCCCTTCCCAACTTCCTGCCTGGCCTGGCTTTTATACATGCAGCCCAGCCTGTTGCATTGGAAAACACAAAGGACATGGTCTACCTCACTCCAGACCTGAGAGAGGAAAGGAGGCCTCCAGACCCATGTCTAGCCTGCCATTTGGATATGACCAGGACAGCATGTAGAGAAATTTAAAAGCAGTAGGGTGCTGTAAACTTCTAATTTTAGTGTCAAACGTATGAGATAATCAGTGTTGTGATTTCAGATGAAGGTGCCATAGTAAGACAACATCATCTTGGTGGACAGATCTGATCCTAAAAAAACACTTTATTTTCTTTTTTTTGAGATGGAGTCTTGCTTTGTCACCCAGGCTGGAGTGCAGTGGTGCGATCTCAGCTCACTGCAAGCTCCACCTCCCGGGTTCACGCCATTCTCCTGCCTCAGCCTCCCAAGTAGCTGGGACTACAGGCGCCCGCCACCACGCCCGGCTAATTTTTTGTATTTTTAGTAGAGATGGGGTTTCACTGTGTTAGCCAGGATGGTCTCAATCTCCTGACCTCGTGATCCGCCCGCCTCAGCCCCCCAAAGTGCTGGGATTACAGGCGTGACCACCGCGCCTGGCCTAAAAAAACACTTTAAACTCTGTCTATTTTATTCACTCTTGTATCCCAAGTGCCAAGACACATGGTAGACACACACATATTTTTGTGGGAAAACAATTTGGGCCTTAGTTTAGTAAGTGCAAATGTGGAATGCAATTTTGGGCCCTCTGTCTGTAAGTATTAGTGATAGCAAATGAGATTTATAGAAAACTGATATGATGGGAAAACATAAAAATATTTGGAGTAGGCTGGGCGCAGTGGCTCACGCCTGTAATCCCAGCACTTTGGGAGGCTGAGGTGGGCGGATCACGAGGTCAGGAGATCGAGACCATCCTGGCTAACATGGTGAAACCCCGCCTCTACTAAACAAAATGCAAAAAATTAGCCAGGCGTGGTGGCAGGCACCTGTAGTCCCAGGTACTCGGGAGGCTGAGGCAGGAGAATGGTGTGAACCGAGGAGGCAGAACTTGCAGTGAACCGAGATCGCGCCACTGCACTACAGCCTGGGCGACAAAGTGAGACTCCATCTCAAAAAAAAAAAAAAAAAAGGCCAGGCGCGGTGGCTCACGCCTGCAATCCCAGCACTTTGGGAGGCCAAGGCAGGTGGATCACGAGGTCAGGAGATCAAGACCATCCTGGCTAACACGGTGAAACCCCGTCTCTACTAAAAAAAAAAAAAAAAAAAAAAAAGCCAGGCGTGGTGGCGGCGCCTGTAGTCGCAGCTACTCAGGAGGCTGAGGCAGGAGAATGGCGTGAACCTGGGAGGTGGAGCTTGCAGTGAGCTGAGATCGCGCTACTGCACTCCAGCGTGGGCAACAGAGTGAGACTCCATCTCAAAAAAAAAAAAAAAAGAAAAAGAAAAAAAATATTTGGAGTAAAACCAGTTGCCCACTTCTCCATTACCCTTCCCTGTCCATGCACACATACTAATTTCTCCTGAATTTTCATGGTCTATTTGAATTAATGAAATTTTAACTTAAGCTTGTTTTTTTTTTTTTTTTTTTTTTCCCCAAGAGACAGGGTCTTGTTCTGTTGCCCAGGCTGGAGTGCAGTGGTGCCATCACAGCTCACCTGAAGCCTCAGCCTCCTGGGCTCAAGCAATCTTCCTGCTTCAGCCTTCCTAGTAGCTGGGGACTACAGGCATGTGCCACCATGCCTAGCTAATTTTTAATTTTTCTTTTTTTTTTTTTTTTTTTTTTTGAGATGGAGTCTTGCTCTGCCACCCAGGCTGGAGTGCAGTGGCGTGATCTCAGCTCACTGCAGCCTCTGCCTCCCGGGTTCAAGCGATTCTCCTGCCTCAGCCTCCCGAGTAGCTGGGACTACAGGCATGTGCCACCACACCTGGCTAATTTTTGTATTTTTAGTAGAGATGGGGTTTCACCACATTGACCAGGCTGGTCTCGAACTCCTGACCTCAGGTGATCCACCCGCCTCCGCCTCCCAAAGTGCTGGGATTACAGGCGTGAGCCACTGCGCCCGGCCTCATTTTTGTATTTTTTGTAGAGATGGGGTCTCATGTTGCCCAGCTTGGGTCTTGAACTCCTGGCCTCAAGCAGTCTTCCCACCTTGGCCTCCCAAAGTGCTAGGATTATAGGCATGAGCCACTGCGACCAGCCTTTTTTTTTTTTTTTTTTTTTTTTTAGCGTTAAAGGCAAACTATTTGGCCGGGCATGGTGGCTCACGGGTTGGATCACTTGAGGTCAGGAGTTCGAGACCAACCTGGCTGGCATGGCAAAACTCTGCCTCTACTAAAAATTCAAAAATTAGCCTGGTGTGTTGGCGCATGCCTGTAATCCCAGCTACTCAGGGGACTGAGGCAGGAGAGTCGCTTGAACCCAGGAGGTGGAGGTTTCAGTGAGCTGAGATTGCACCACTACACTCCAGCCTGGGCAAGAGAGTGAGACGCCATTTCAAAAAAAAAATAATAATAAAATAAATAAATAAAGCAAATGATTTACTCTTTTTTCTTCCACATGCTGCATCATTATTTCCAATAAATAACTTCAGTTAGGGTCTCCAAAGACTTTGAGAACTCAGTGAACACATGAACGAGTGAACAAACGAATGAATGAATGAAAGTTTTGTGTTTGTCACAGATGTGAGAGACTGAGTTATAGCTTATAGCTTCCAAAATGTGACTTCTTTGTTATCAGTTGAGGGAATCTGCATAATTCCTTAGAAGTGCTCTTGGTTGTTAATCCCTCCAGGGTAAAAGAAGGAGACTGTTTCATGTAAGATTTTATTCAAGTTATTTTCAAAAGAAAACAAAGGACATAGATTTTCCCATTCTTGAAGGAAATGTTTGGAGTTCCTGTTGGATACACAAGCAAGCTGGTTAATTAGGTTAATTAATTGGAGAGAGGGGATGGGAAATGCCCTTGGGAGCTCTGTATCCTGCCGATGTATCACACACGCACACCCTGCGCACGCACACTGGCTTTCCACTCACTCCTTAGAGGCATCAGAGTCTTGCCTGAAATGGGTCTCTAGCTTTGTCCCACTCAGACACCGACTTTAGGTTTGAACTCGTTGTGCTGGCATGAGGTGGCACTGGTGGTGGGGAGGGTGGGAGAGCATGCCGAGATGCTCCTGATCAGACTTGTCCCCAGGCTGCGGGGCTGGCAGAGGTATGACCAGCATGTTCTGTTCCTCCCTTCTCCCTGGAGATCAGATGTTCCCTTCCCCCAGCTTTAATCAGAAGCGGTTGATTATACCGTGTTGAGTAGGGCAGACCTTGAATGGGGATATGAAAATCAAGCCAATCAATCAACATTAGCAGTAATGATACAAGCTGGTCCTGTCGCTTCCTGAGTTGTCTCAACGTTATTTTAAACTGCCTCTTTGAAAAATCTTTCTTACAGAAAGGAAGAGGTTTTATCAGAATGTCAGCATCACACAGGGTGAAGGTGAGTGTCTGAAATTTTGACTGCCTCTTTTTTTTTTTTTTTTTGTGAATGGTTGGGAACATTTTTCATCTTCAGCTGGTTTCATGGTGCGATTATCCTTCCTGCTTTTTGTGAGATATATTTCTGTAAGGGACTCAGAGTTGGCTTTGTCTGCACCAATTCAAGTGGCTAAATATAGGAATGGTCACTTGATTCCACTTAACAAATCCCTGAGAGTTTTTCATTTGATCTTTCAAGGTGGCTTTGAGATAAACCTGGACCACAGGAAGCTGAAAACTCCCCAAGCCAAGCTCTTTACCGTCCCCAGCGAGGCCCTGGCCATTGCAGTGGCTACTGAGTGGGATTCCCAGCAGGATACCATCAAGTACTACACCATGCACCTGGTAACAAGTTCACAGTGTGAACCTGGACCCTGAGACCCACCCAGGGCTTCGTAGGGTAGACCCTTTACCAAATTCCGACAAGGCCCTGGGGGCTGGTCCTTTGCCTGTCTGGCCCCCAGGGATTCACCTCCTCTCAAGTCACTAACGTGCTAAACTCTTTCCTTGTCTGGCCCGGCTACTTGCAGCTCTCTCTCCTAGGAACACTGTGCTGGATGGCTGGTTTCTCCTTTGGTTTCAGGACAGATGTCACCTTCATTGACTGCCCAGCTCTCTTATTTTCTATGACAGCAGCTGGCCATTTGTTTTGTCAGCACTTAGGCAATTTATAATTGTTTTATGTTTGCACATTTATTGTCTGTCTCTTCCACTGCCTGGTAAGCAACAGAAGGGCAGGAGCCATGTCTGTTTTACTCATCAGTGTCTGGACAGCCACTAGCAGGTAATTTAGTTGGTACTCAGTAAATATTAGTTGAATATAAGATCCACTGGAGGCAGATGGGTGAGGTGAGGAAGACTCCCTATAGAACCAGCCCCCTCGTCCACACCAAAGTGGCTCGCCTAGGCACCAAGGCTGCCTGGGGAAGGAAGGGCCCAGCTACACTCTTAGGTCCAGCCTCTGCAGCTTCTAAACTGTAACCTTGGGCAGGTTGCTACCCCTTTCGCAGCCCCATATTCCCCACCGATTAAAGATGAGTGATAATAGTACCCACCTCACGGAGCTGTGGTCAGGATGAGATGAGATGATGCAAGAAAGCCCTTGGCATGGTCCCCAGCACTGACTGGGCACTCAGTCAATACAGGAGTCAGCTGCTATCATCCCAGCCGCTGCTGTGCTCAACCTTTGCAAACCCAGGTGGGCCTCCTCCCAACATCACAGCCTGCTGAGGTGGTTGGCCTGGTCCTTGACAACCTAGTGAAATTAGGGTGATTAGGGCTACAAACGAATAGGGTAACCTAAGCAGCCTATTATTGACAAGGTAAGTCTGGAAAAAAAAAGATCTTTTTTTTTTTTTTAAACAGTCTAACTCTGTTGCCCAGGCTGCAGTGCAATGGCATAATCTCGGCTCACTGCAACCTCTGCCTCCTGGGTTCAAGCGATTCTCCCGTCTCAGCCTCCCAAGCAGCTGGGATTACAGACGTCCACCACCATGCCAGGCTAATTTTTGTATTTTTAGTAGAGATGGGGTTTTACCATGTTGGCCAGGCTGGTCTTGAACTCCTGACCTCAGGTGATCTGCCCACCTCAGCCTCCCAAAGTGCTGAGATTACAGGCGTGAGCCACCACACTTGGCCGAAAAAAATAATCTTGATCCCGATTTGCATGGGCTATTTCCCTACTTTCTAAGGTGTAAGGGAGGCAGCTGGTAAAGGTTTCCAGTCAGATTTGAGCTCCATCACTAATACATGTCTTATTAACTGTATTTGACAATGTACTTAACCTGTCTGGGCCTCAGTTTTCACATCCCAGATGGACATAATAATAGTACCTACTCCAAAAGGTTGTTGTGAGGATTAAATTAAATACACTAGAGCCTGGTAATAAAAGGCATGTGACCATGGGGGAGGTTCACTAATCCTGGGGCTGCTGCAAGCTTCCCTCGAGTCCTGTGAGCGTCAACACAAAGCATTTGGCATGGAGCCTGGTTGTGGCACACTCTCAGTAGCTGTGCTGCTGCTCCGGTAATGCAGACGCCTCTGGTGGAGGGCTGTGCTGTGGTGCTGTCTGCTATGTGTCAGATGTGGTGTCCTCAGGAAAGCAGGGCTTTTGCCTGAGCCCCGCAGGCAGTGACAGGGTGGTTTTTGCCTTTGATTCAGACCACATTGTGCAACACATCATTGGACAACCCAACCCAGAGAAACAAGGATCAGCTGATCCGGGCAGCCGTGAAGTTTCTGGACACCGACACCATCTGGTAATGGACATTTAGATGGGCATTCCCCTTGGATTGAGGCTATTTTTCCTGATTTGCCCAGATGGTTATCAGTGGAAGAAGAAACCCTCTCCATTTATTGCAAGGACAAGGAAGGTGGCCCACTTGACTTTGGCACTTGGCTGCTCTGTAGCCCCTTAGGAGGAGGACTCCTCGGGCTACAATGGTGTCAGAACATGGCCACCCCTCTTCTCTAGCCCAGAAGCTGCTCCTTAGGCTGGGAGGGTGGTTATGCAGCTCTTGCAGGTGCCGTGACCACAGGCCCCTTAGGCCTAGGGGGGCCTGTGACCTTAAACTTCTGCCCACCGACACTTTCTCAGGTAAAGCATCCTTGGCACTATGGATGCTGATAACTAGGAGTGTCCTTCTCCAGTTCTGAATTCTCCTCTGTGTCTATGTTTCTTGGCTAATTGTTCAGTGATGCCAAAGGAAAGTTGAGAAACAATGGAAATGATTGAGCAGCACCGTGCCTGCTAGCCCAAGTGCTCTAGGATCCTGAGTCATCTCACGATGACACAGGAAGTCAGCACTGATGGCTGGAGGCGTGCTTTCGAAGGGGGTGACCCATAGCTAGTGGGAACGCCCACTCCATTTATATTAGGGTTCACTTGATTGCAGGGAGCAGAAACCCATTCAACCTAGCTCAGACAAAAAGGGGATTCTTGAAAACTATACAGGGATCCTGACAGGAAATGAAGGACAGTTGGGTCACCAGGAAAGGTAGCTGGAAGATCCAATGTCAGAGCTCCTCCCTGTGCCCTACTAGGGTGAGAGGAAGGTGAGGGAGGAAAGGCTGGTTGTCCATCTGCCCCTCCCAGCACCCCAGCTTTTCCTGCATAACTCATGACCTCTCTTCCCCACTTTGCTTACACAAGACAGTGGATTTCCATAGTGCCCACTTGGATTCCCATCCCATGAGGCCCTGCAGCTCAGCTCCTCTCAACTGGCTCATGTCTGTGTCTCTTGGTCAAACAAATGGCACAGCCTGACCTCTAGCTTGGTCCCATCAGGTCTGGCATCTGTGCCAGCAGCTGCATCTGTAGCCAGGAGGTGGGTGGACTTATGAGGTATAAACAGGCTATTTGGTCTGTGACCAGGGGCACAGTCTCTTGGAGGGGGTGAGGGTAGAGATGCAAAGACTGAGCATCTGGCACAGCATTCCCATTCAGCATCTGGGTCAAGCGGGTGTGGACCCAGGGTTGCAGTTAGTAGATTGGATCTGCTTTAGGATGGCAGTAACAGTGTGGCAAGCTTGGACCTGTCAAATATTTGGGGGCATTTAGGGTAGTGGTTCTCAAACTCAAGCTTACACTAGAATCCCCTAGAGGGCTTGTTAAAACAGATTGCTGGGCCCCCCTCCAGAGGTTCTGATTTCTGTAGGCATGCAACCTGAGAATGTGTATTTCTAACAAGTTCCCAGGCGATGCTGGTGCCAGGGCCACACTTTGAGAACCACTGCTTTAGGGGAAAAGACTTGTGGGGCTGGGATGGTGGTGGTGAAGTTTTTGCTGTTGTCCTTTGTGTTTTTCCTTTTCTATCACTGAATGAAGGAATTGTACTTTTTTATTAATGAAGGTTATTTTTACAATGAATTAGCTACAGGGTGGAGGAGCCCGAGACATTAGTGGAACTTCAAAGGAATGAGTGGGATCCAATCATCGAATGGGCTGAGAAAAGGTAAGATGTACAGCCCTGCAGAAAGCACTGACTGGGCACCTGCGTTTGGTGGAGTGTAGGGGTCAGGGGGTCACGCTGGAAAACTAGTGCCCTTAGCTAGTCAGCTTTCTGATTTCAGAGCACTCGTGGGATTTGGCTCCCCTCATATGATCAGGGATAGGGTCATCCTGGGAAAAAAGCACCTCAAATTTAATTTCAGCCACTAGGTACAGCACACCTGCTGTAGCGGTTCATGAAGTGTAGGGGCAGCTCTGTGTCCTTGGAGAAGCAGTGGAGTTCCCAGGCCACCTTCTGCCAGCGGGTCAGAGCAGCAGTGTCGGTTTGAATCCCAGCTCTGCTGAAGACTCAGCTGTGTGACTTGGCTAATGAGTTGATCTCTCTGAGCTTCAATTTTCTTGTCTATAAATGGGGCTAATAATCCCTACCTCTCAGGGTTTGAGGAGGAATAAATGAATTGATGCATGTAAAGGCTTAGCATCCTGCTTATTAGCACACAGTAAATGTTCAAATTTTGGCAGTGATTTTAATCTTTGTCACAATTGCTGTACTATTAAATAAAATAACAGAACAACATATACGATATGTATGCACTTGGAGAAAAGTCTGGATAGCTTCCTGCAAAATTACGGGTAACATCCAATGGATATGTAGCTTCCAGGAATTGATATGAAATATTTTTCTTTAATAGGAAGACTCTTGAGTGCAAAGTTGAATGGATTATTGATGTGGTGGCAAAATAAATTCAATTTCATTTGATCCCAAGGGAAATTTGGAAGGGCTGGCTTTCATGGTACTACCTTGACTGTGGTATTTTCTAAGCTTGCAAGGCACATTTCTTGGTATAGCAGTTTTCCACAAAAGTGATGTTACCAATCAGTTCACTGATTTGCCACATGCTGCCCGATGCTCACAATGTGGCAGGTGTCCTTGGGTCTTAAAAGAGAAGGCAAAGGCAGTGCTCTAAAGACCAGACTACAATACTATGTGGGAATGTGACAAAACAGTGTCATTTCAGAATCTAATGAAATGTAATAATAATTTAGGTGCCTAGAGATCTTTGCTATAGTATAAAATCATCAGATTCTTGTGGCAGGAAATACCTCATCCTTAAGAGTTTATAGAAAAACTTAGCCATTTCTTACAGTCCATTTGTACTATTAGGAATTTCAGCAAGGATTTTTTATTTTTTCTTTCTTGAGATGGAGTCTCGCTCTGTCGCCCAGGCTGGAGTGCAGTGATGCGATCTTGGCTCACTGTAACCTCCACCTCTTGGGTTTAAACGATTCTCGTGCCTCAGCCTCTCAAGTAGCTGGGATTACAGGCGCCCACCACGCCCAGCTAATTTTTGTGTTTTTAGTAGAGATGGGGTTTCACCATGTTGGCCAGGCTGGTCTCGAACTCCTGACCTCAAGTGATTGCCCACCTCATTCTCCTGAAGTGCTGGGATTATAGGTGTGAGCCACTGCACCCAGCAGGATTTTTTTTTTTTTTTTTTTGAAAGGAGTCTCGCTCTGTCACCCAGGCTGGAGTGCAGTGGCGTGATCTCAGCTCACTGCAAGCTCCGCCTCCCAGGTTTTATGCCATTTTCCTGCCTCAGCCTCCCAAGTAGCTGGGACTACAGGCATGCACCATCTACACCCGGCTAATTTTTTTTGTATTTTTAGTAGAGACGGCGTCTCACCGTGTTAGCCAGGATGGTCTCAATCTCCTGACCTCGTGATCCGCCCGCCTCGGCCTCCCAAAGTGCTGGGATTACAGGCATGAGCCACCGCGCCCGGCCCCAGCCGGATTTTTTTAAGCAACAGAAAAAAATCAGTGATATATGGAAGAAAATTACAAAAATTATTTTTATCCCCCATTGTGTTTTTCTGTTTTATTTAGTTATGATTATTCTTGAAAATGTATCTTCTCAGCCAGGCGCAGAGGTCAGGAGGCGGAGGTCGCAGTGAGCCGAGATCATGCCACTGCACTTCAGCCTGGGGTAGAAAGCAAGAAAGACTTCATCTCAAAAAAAAAAAAAAAAAAAAAAGTTTGAAAAAATGACTGCTGACTGGTCATGGTGGCTCATGGCTGTAATCCCAACACTTTGGGAGGCTGAGGTTGGCAGATCGCGTGAGTCCAGGCGTTTGAGACCAGCTCGAGCAACATGGTGAAACTCTGTCTCTACAAAAAAAATTAGCTAGGTGTGGTGGCACATGCCTGTAGTCCCAGCTACTTGGGAGACTGAGGTGGGAGGATCGCTTGAGCCTAGGAGGTCAAGGCTGCAGTGAGTCAAGATCATGCCAGCGCACTCCAGCTTGAGTGACAGAGCGAGACCCTGTCTCAATAAAAAAGAAAACCTCCATGATATATGACATAAACATTATTTTAAGGAAAACCATTTTAAATATTGTTTTTAACTTTTATATGTCCTCAAATGTGAAAAACTTTAAAGAGATGTAAAAGGCAGATGGCCTTTTGATGGAGATTCCAGGTGAATGAATGAGCATTTCAGGCAGCTGCGTATAACCGAGCCCTAGCTCACATGACTCAGGAACCATCCCTTCATTCAGCACAGTTTCTTGGTCCTCCAAGTTTGCTTTTGAGGGACAGAAAATCAGGTCGGGAGGCCACTGACCATGGTGGCAGTTGCTCCTGTAGTCAAGACTAGCTCCTTGGCCAATGCACACACATGCTCTGAAGCTTAGGCCTTTGTTTCTAGTCAAAAGGTGGGCTGCTCTTGGGCTACAGCATGACAGAGACATGCCGAAGCCCTTTTCCTTTCAGATACGGCGTGGAGATCAGCTCCTCCACCAGCATAATGGGACCCAGCATCCCTGCCAAAACTCGGGAGGTGCTCGTCAGCCACCTGGCATCTTACAACACATGGGCTTTACAAGGCATGTATGGAGTTTCTTGTGGGCTTGGCAGGTGGCTGTGAAGGCCATCAGTGTCTGAAGCCTGTACTTGCCCCTCCCCAGGTCCTGTGAGTGGAGAGGCACAGAGTGTTCTGGGCTAGCTGAGTGTGGAGGCTGGGTGGCTCTGATGCTAGCCAATCACTCTACGCTCTAGGCTCACACCTTTCCACCTTCGACTTCGCCAGCAGAAGTCTTGAGTTCAATCTCATTGCCCTGGCTTGGGTCACATGTCCATCCATGAACCAATCACTAGACTGGGTGCGGAAAGCTCTGATTTGCCAAGTTCGGGTCATGTGTCTCACTAGGTAAGAGCAGAGGAGGATCACCCCCAGGGAAGACCAGAGTGCTCTTTCAGAAGAGTGGGACAATCGCTGGATGGCTCTTTGCACCACTCACTCCTGTTCTCTGCTAGGGCTGCTGGGACTCACAAGGGGTAGGTTGTGGCAGCTGCCCTGTTTTGGGTTCTGACTTGGCTTGTGTCCCTGCAGGGATTGAGTTTGTAGCTGCCCAGCTCAAGTCCATGGTGCTAACCTTGGGCCTGATTGACCTGCGCCTGACAGTGGAGCAGGCCGTGCTGCTGTCACGCCTGGAGGAGGAGTACCAGGTGAGGAGCAGCACCTCAGGTCCCGCCTCCCCCTTCCTAGTTCAGACTCACTTTGGGGGAGCAGCTAACCCATCTGAAATATAGTTATGCATACTTGGCTTTTATTACTTTTATGTACACGCAGAAATCAAAATCAAGGACCAGCAGAAGTATTGTCAAGTAGGCCTGGCATGGTGGTTCACACCTGTAATCCCAGCACTTTGGGTGGCTGAGGAGGATGGATCATTTGAGGTCAGGAGTTTGAGACCAGCCTGGGCAACATGGCAAAACCCTCTCTCTACAAAAATACAAAAATTAGCACCTGTAGTCTCAGCTACTTGGGAAGCTGACGTGGGAGGATTGCTTGAACCTGGGAGGTGGAGGTTGTAGTGAGCCAGGATTGTGCCACTGCATTCTAGCCTGGGTGACAGAGTGAGACCCTGTCTCAAAAAAAAAAAAAAAAAAGGTAAGATAATAACAATAAAAAAATAACAGTAAGTGCTACCGCTGTGTTCCTGCATTGTATCCATCTCACCTCCTCTCAGCAGCCTGGGCAGGTAGGAGCTGTGGTTATCTCTGTTTTACACAGAAGGAAATGGAGGTGCAAGGTTGCACCTCTGGAAAATGTGCCAGCTGGGGTTTGAAGCCAGGTCTGGTGATTTTAGGGCCAAGGCCGTCAGGCCTCACTCTGCACAAGGAGGTTCACGGGTGGATAAAGACCATCTGGGCTTGATAAAGCCTGCAGAACAGGCCCTGCCAAGATGACTGAGAACCCGTTTGTGCTCCTTCATCAGCTGAGCCTTCATACCCTGACATTTTATCTGGCTGGCAGAGGAGCATAGGGGTAGCTGCTGTTTGTATACAAGTTTTGATTTAGTGGGCTCAGAATTAAGGTTTTGCCACAGTATGGTTTGCATTTTTTAACTCTGAAAATTATAGCCATCTTTGCAGTCTTTTTATTGTTATTCCACCAACCTCAGAAGGTTAATTGCTATTATGAATTGGTCCCTAATATGGTAAAAACAAACAAACAAAAAAACACAAAACTTTTTGTGATGTATTTCCCTAGTTCTTGTAGTCTTCTGCTCAGAAAAATGCCAGGGAAAAAACTATTTTTGTATAACAAAGGAGGCCCGCTACTATTCTCTGGATGTCAGAACTGATTACATAGGAAGGGGGTGACTTGTAGGGCTGGTGGGAAGCCAGTCTGGGCTCTGCTTCTGACTATGGGACCCAAGCCAGGCCATCATTCTCTGAACTTTGGTTTCGATCCTCTACAAACAGAGGAATAACCTGAATTATGTATGTGATGGTATACAATGAAAGTATGGAATACTCTTCAGATGACATATTACAATTGTACAGTTTGGGACCAGGCAGCCCAGAAGTTCAAATAGCTTGTGTAGCATGGTGGATTCTGAGTTCCTGGATGAGCTGGGGCGGCCAGGCCAGGCCTCTTGGGCAACTAGCCAGGGAGGAGCCAGCAAGGTTTGGTTGGACTTACACTGTCTGGACAGCCACATCGTGTGTCTGAGCGTTCCTCCCTCTTGTTTTTAGAGCTCCAGACAGAGAATCTGCAACTTGTCCCCAGTGTGCAGAGCAGAGGCATCTGTAGTTCTGTGACTACCACAAGAGTCAGAGTTGAAGCCACTGCGTGGCCTTACTTGATTTAGTTATTCCACCCACATGGCGCTGGGGGGCACTTGTAGCCCAGCATGGCAAGGCAACTTGGAGAGGCTGTCCATTCACAGGCTTTCTGGGAGGAAGTGTAGGAGAAGGGATGGCACATAAGGCCTCCTCAAAGAAGTCACATGGGTGGTTCTGGTACCCAGCCTGCCCAGTGGTGGGTGGGCAGCCACTGGCCCTGGGCCTGGGCCTGGACTGCACTTCTTCCAGACCATCCATGCCACAGAGAGCACAGGTGCCTGCTCCGGCTCCCTGGGGGTGGGGTGGTGGGGTGTGTGTGTGTGTGTGTGTGTGTGTGTGTGTGTGTGTGGTGTTTTTGAGACAGGGTCTTGCTCTGTTGCCCAAGTGGGAGTGCAGCGGTGTGATCTTGGCTTACTGCAGCTTCAGCCTCCTGGGCTCAAAGCAGTCCTCCTACCTCAGTCTCTCAAATAGCTGGGACTACAGGTGCACCCCCACCACACCCAGCTAATTTTTAAACCTTTTTGTAGAGGCGAGGTTGCACCATATTTGCCCAGGCTGGTCTTGAACTCCTGGATTCAAGCAGTCTTCCTGCCTCGGTCTCCCAGAGTGCTGGGATTACAGGCGTGAGCCACCGTGTCTGGCGTACCTGGGTGTTCTTACCTGCCACCTCCCCCTAGGCATGTCTCATGTGTTTTGGCAAGATACAAACCTGTTGCCCTCAGCCAACCTATTGGAATGGAACGTGGCTTTGGTCAGGAGGCAGCCAGGCACTGGCCACTCACCCAGCAACTTGTCTTGTCCTTCCCTCAGATCCAGAAGTGGGGCAACATTGAGTGGGCCCATGACTATGAGCTGCAGGAGCTGCGGGCCCGCACCGCCGCCGGCACCCTCTTCATCCATCTCTGCTCCGAGAGCACCACAGTCAAGCACAAGCTCCTGAAGGAGTGAGGCCTGGGCAGAGCACACTCAGCAGGATAGAGGCAGTGCAGCCACAGCTCCCCCGGCCTTCAGGGCTCCCCAGCCTGTGGGGCTGGCTTCCTTGGCTTTTGGGGACTCGGCCTCAGCGTCACCCTGAGATTCCCCCCGAGACACAGTGCGCTAGTACGGCTGTCCGGAGGTCAGCCTGATTTCAACCCAGGTGCCCCTGGCCTGGCCAGCAGTGAATGTAGGAGATGAATTGTGCAAGTGACTTTCTCTCGACTCTGATTTTATTAAATATTTCTCCACCCTGGAAATGTGCTGAGCCCTGTTTTCACGTATGCCTCTGCACTTCTCCATTCTTCCTGTTTTGTCTAGGTTCCAGAGGGTTAAACAGCTTATCTCCCATGGCGTGTTTGGATATCTGCTGCCTGTGGTCAGGAACCTTGCACTGGGGAAACAATCATGTAATCCACAGACAACTCTATTTGTGTTCTTCAGCCTCAGCCTGAAGGCTTTTTTTTGGCTGGCTTTTAATCAAACAATCTTTTGAAACAATTGTGGTCTAAGCTGGTTGTTTCTATTTGTTCCTACTGTTCTAAAACAAATGATTTACTCTAGAAAGTAGAAAATAGAAGTTGTTTCTGGGCTAAAAGCCTGGACAGGCTTGACAAGGTCACCTGATGTGCATGTTTCCGCTCATCTCCCACCCAGGAGTCCTAAGGGTCCTCCTGACATAGCCACCTCTAGTGTCCCAGGAGGCAGGCGCTACTTTCTGGTGTCAGGCCAGTAAGAGGGCAGGGGGGAAGAGTGGTTCTCAGGCAGACAGGCTCTCTCAGCCCTGTGTCCTTGCCAGCCTGAGTAAGGTAATGGCATCAACCCTGCTCACAGGGCACTGATCGCATGCTGGGTGCCTCTCCACGCTTCCCATGCACTGTCTCCCTGAACTGTTCCTCGAAGGCACTGTGAGGTACTGTCACAGATGACACCAGGGCTGCGGGGGTGACATGGTGGAGCTGGGATGCCCTGCCTGCACTCTGCTCTTCTGGAGGGTCCTCAGGTCCTTGTGGCTAACCTCAGCCTTGGTGGGCAGGCCCAGGCCCCAGCACTGTGGTGGGAGCTGCAGCCTCTCCTCCTGCTTCCCTGCCCCTCAGCACCCAGAGCAGAGAAGGTCTTAGCCCACACCGGCCTCCTTTTGCCTGTGGCTGGCAGCCTGCCTAGGCATGGCAGGGGAAACGGCAGGGGCACGTGTCTGACTTTATGCCACAGCCAAGAATCTAGCTGATGGCAGTGCCCTTGGGAGTTGCTCTGTCAGCTGGCCTGGGACCGGCTGTTCATCTCAAACTCTTTCTCTTGTTCCTACATGAACATTTTTTTTTTTTTTTTTTTTTTTTTTTTTTTTTTTTTGAGACGAAGTCTCGCTCTGTCGCCCAGGCTGGAGTGCAGTGGTGCGATCTTGGCTCACTGCAACCTCCGCCTCCCAGGTTCAAGTGATTCTCCTGCCTCAGCCTCCTGAGTAGCTGGGATTACAGGTGCACGCTACCACATCTGGCTAATTTTTGTATTTTTAGTAGAGACAAGGTTTCACCATGTTGGTCAGGCTGGTCTCGAACTCCTGACCTCGTGATCTGCATGCCTCGGCCTCCCAAAGTGCTGGGATTACAGACGTGAACCACCGCACCCAGCTGATTTTTTTTTTTTTTTTATGAGTAGGGGAAATGTGAAATGAGTCCTTTATTTTCTCTACTTTTGGAAGTTTTTCCAGGGGTGGGGGAAGAATGGTGTTGGGGATCGCGGTTGAGAGATGCCCAGCAACTCTCTAGAGGTGCGGGTGAGGCGTGTGCACTTCCTTCTCCTGGCTGGGGCTGGTGCTATGTTTTGAAGAAGCTCCTGTGGCTGACATTCATCTAGTCTAGGATGTCGCCACATTCCAGGTTGTCCAGTTCGCTCTGCATGTGGTCGATGTACTGATTGATCTCCTTCACGCGCTTGCGGTTCCTCATGATCTCATCCTTGTGAATCTGAGGAGTGAAACCAAAGCCCGATTCCTTACATCAGATCATTGGTTAATATCTTTCACTGAATCCAGTTTGAGGGAAGGGGAAAATAGTTCCTTTAGATCTGCAAACCTCATTTGCTTCAGCGCCTCCCCAGGTTCTGCTGATCTCTGTATATTTGAGGTAGGAATTAGGAAAATGATGAAGCCCATGGGTTTTAAAGTCTCTGGGCAATGTTGTCTTCAGTGTGGAATTCTATAATCCTTAATTTTATTTCTTCCTTCATTTCATTCCTTAATGAAAATTCTATCCACTACCTAGGGAGGATTTCCATGTCAGCTAGAAAAGTTCATCCAGCCTGCTAGGATGGCTTGGGATTGACTCACCCTGTCTATTAAACGTGTACACCAAGAGTTGATTCTGGTCACCAGCTCATCTTCTCGATTGTCAATCTTCAGGAGGTGGATGTCGTGCGATGCCCCGACAGCATTAACAATCGTATCTTTATCGACAAAAAGCTGGTGAGTGAAAAGAATCCAATGAGAAAGTGTGTGTCATTATACCGTGAACACAAAGGGAGCTGAACAGAGAAGGAGCATTTGGAAGTCCCCTGGCTGTGCAGGCCACACTCAGAGCAGAGCCCACCTTTGTATCAGCGCACTCTGCCGATTCATCTGTGAATTCATCTGTGACAGCCGCTTCCCCAACTGCACAGGGCAGGTGTTGTGGGGAAAGGGCCAACCAGGGTGTTACTTTGCAGTCCCCGCTGGAAGCATGTTTCCTCCAGGGTGAAGGCAGATGGCTGCCCAGGGGGCACCTCACCCAGGACATCTGTTCTCACAATGCTTCTCTCTCAATTACTCTCAAGTCTAACTTGCCCAAAACCTCTGCCTGCTGGGTGGAAGCATGAGGCTGGCTGAGGGTCTCGAGGCTGCTCTGAAGACAGCAGGCCCTACAAACTCATGGGTGTTCACCCCACAGTTGTCTCTCCACTGCCACTCATGTCAACAAAACCAAACTTTGGATTCCATTTGGAGTATCCTTCTGCCTTCTCTTGTTCCTGACTTTGCTGTCTTGTAAAAAGTTGTTAGAAACAACCACCTTCTAATAGGCCTCACTGGTTCTAGGTGTTGACACTGTGGCTATTGTTGCCTGGGATGGTTGAAATGGAGTCATTTCCCAGAGCAGGGCAAGGCCACTGAAGCACTCAGTAAGCAGTTGCTTCCACCTTGAAGCAGAGGCGCTTGGTAAGGCAGAGCACCTGAATGCTCTGTATTGCAGGGAGGATTTGCAAGTGGAGTGTGCATTTTTTGTTCTTTCCTGTAGTGGCAGTTAACTTAATGGTCTCTAAAACGTTCTGTGCAATCTTAAGATGTTAATATTTCTGCCAAAAAAAGTATTCTTTGGTCAAATACATTTGGGAAAGCCAGCACATCCTAGGCCCCTCCTAAAGATTTGCTGGGCACAAAGTATTCTGAAGGCTCTACAAAGTCCTGTGGAAAATAAACCCTTTAAGCTTTGTCTCTCTTGGTTTTCCAACTTTTTTGGCTACAGACTTCAGAGTAATGCCTGTTAATGTCTTGTGGGATGCTGATTTTCCACATAATCTCATGTGGGAAAAGCCAGGTTAGCTGATATGTGGAATGGGGTGTCTGGGGGACCAATTAGCACAGTCACAAGGGAGAAATGTCAAGAAATTATTAAGTTCTTTCCATGTGTGTACAAGGTCCCAGGCCAGGCTCTGGGAATGGTTCAAAGGTGTGTAAAGCCTGTTTTCGGTGAGCCTTGGCAGTGTGCTTAGGAGTGGGTGTCCTGGTTATTTTAGAGATAACTACAACCACAGTGTCAACCCATCACGAAAAGGTTCTCATCCTTCATTCTAAAAGGTGGGTCATAGTGGAGCTCTAAGCCAGGCAGAGAAATCATACCCCTCAGAGTTTGAATATGTAGAAAACAGCTTCAAAAGCTGTGAGAAGCAACAGAAACTGAAATCTGCTTAGAAACATACATGATTAGAATTGGTTATGAAAAACTGTGTGACATTTGTAAAATGAAAACAAAAGGAAACTGGGTTTAAGGGAATTGTTTTGAAATGTGAGTTACAAGTTGTTTCTGGACTTTGGGTGGCCTAGAGTGGTGGCTACTTCAATTTTCCCTCTTAGAATAGTTTTTATGGGTAGAATATTCCAGATCCCTCTCCAGTTTCTGCAGGTTGAAAGCACTAGGGTGGAGGCAGGGGCTGTGCAAACAGGTATTCCTGAGTCTTTTTTGAGCTGTTGCCCTGCTCTGTGGTCCTTGTGGCTGTAAAGACACATTTCTTTCAAAGCAACTTCTTTGTTTAAACACGTTGGCACTGGCCGGGCACGGTGTCACATGCCTGTAATCTCAGCACTTTGGGAGGCCAAGGCGGGAAGGTGGGTGGATCACCTCAGTCAGGAGTTCAAGACCAGCCTGGCCAATATGGTGAATAAAAATACAAAAATTAGCTGGGCATGGTGGCGGGTGCCTGTAATCCCATCTACTTGGAAGGCTAAGGCAGGAGGATAGCTTGAACCTGGGAGGCCGAGGTTGCAGTGAGCCAAGATTGCACCACTGCACTACAGCCTGGGCAACAACAGTGAAACTCCACCTCAAAAAAAAAAAAAAAAATTGGCATTAAAAAAATTGACAAATAACTGTACATATTGATGGGGTACATAGTGATGTTTCAACACCTATCATGTATAGTGATCAGATCAGGGTATTAGCATATCCGTCTCAAACATTTATCATTTCTTTGTGTTGAGAACATTCAATATCCTCCTTTTAGCTATTTGAAACTATATTATTGTCAACTATAGTCATCCCATAGTGGTATAGAACACTAGAACTTATTCCCCCTATCTAGCTGTAATTTGGTATATCCTTTAACAAATCTCTCCCTATTCCTCCATCTCTCTACCCTTCCCAGTCTCTAGAAGCCTCTGTTCTTGTTTTTACTTCTATGAGATCAACTTTTTTAGCTTCGGCATATGAGTGAGAACATGAGGTGTTTAACTTTCTGTTCCTGGCTTATTTCACTTAACATAATGTCCTCCAGTTCCATCCATGTTGCCATGGATTTCATTCTTTTTTTATGGCTGAATAGTATTCCATTGTGTATAGGTACCACATTTTCTTTATCCAGTCATCTGTTGTTGGACACCTAGGTTGATTCTGTATCTTGTTATTGCGAACAGTGCTGCAGTAAACATGGGTGCAGATATGTTTTCAATATAGTGATTTCCTTTCCTTTAGACAAATGCTCAGTAGTGAGATTGCTGGATCATATGATAGTTCTGTTTGTAGTTTTTGAGGGCCCTCCACAATGTTCTTCCTAGTGGCTGTCCTAGTTTACATTCTTACTTACAGTATATGAGTTCCTTTTTCTTTGCATCCTCACCAGCATTTGTTATTTTTTGTCTTTTTGATAATTATCATCCTAAGTGGGGTGAGATGATGCCTCATTCTGGTTCTTATTTGCATTTCCCTGATAACTAGTGATGCTGAAAAGTTTTTAATGTATTTGTTGGCCATTTGTATGTCTTCTTTTGAGAAACATCTGTTCAGATGTTTTTAATTGAATTGTTTGTTTTTTTGCTATTGAGATGTTAGAGTTCATTGTATATTCTGGATATTAATACCCTGTCAGATAAGTAGTTTGCAAATATTTTGTCACATTGTGTAGGGTGTCTTTTCACTCTGTTGTTTCATTTGCTGTGCAGAAGATTTATAGTTTGATATATTCCATTTATTTTTGCTTTTGTTGTCTGTGCTTTTGAGGTCTTATTCATAAAATTTTTTCCCAGGCCAATGTCCTAAAGCATTTCTCTTGTTTTCTTCTGGTCATTTTATAGTTTCAGGTCTTTTTTTTTTTCTTCTGAGACAAAGTCTGGCTCTATTGCTCAGGCTGGAGTGCAGTGGTGCAATTTCAGCTCACTACAACCTCCACCTCCTGGGCTCAAGCCATCCTCCCACCTCAGCATCCTGAGTAGCTGGGACTATAGGCAGGTACCACCATGCCCAGCTAATTTTTGTATTTTTTATAGAGAGGTGGGTCTTTGCCATGTTGCCCAGGCTGGTCTCCAACTCATGAGCTCCAGCGACCTGTCTGTCTCAGGCTCCCAAAGTGCTGGGATTACAGGCATGAGCCACTGCGCCCTGCCAGTTTCAGGTCTTACATGTAGGTCTTAGATCCATTTTTAGTTGATTTTTGTATAGAGTGAGAGATGGGAATCTAGTTTCATTCTTCTGCATATGGATATCCAGTTTTCCCAGCAAAATCTATTGAAGAGACTGTCTTTTCCCCAGTGAGTGTTCTTGGCGCTTTTGTCAAAAATCAGTTGGCTGTAAATATATAGATTAATTTCTGAGTTCTCTATTCTGTTTCATTGGTTTATGTATCTGTGTTTTTGTTTGTTTTAAACAGGCTTAATTCACTTTATTTTTCTTATATAAAAACCCTGTGTTACTTTGGGAAGCCAAGGTGGGCGGATCACTTGAGGTCAGGAGTTTGAGACCAGCCTGGCCGGCCAACATTGGTAAAACCCCATCTCTACTAAAAATACAAAAAATTAACCAGGCATGGTGGTGTGCGCTTGTAGTCCCAGGTACTCGGGAGGCTGAGGTAGGAGGATCATGTGAACCCAGGTGGTGGAGGTTGCAGTGAGCCAGGACTGCACCACTGCACTCCAGCCTGGGCGATAGAGCAAGGCTCCATCTCAAAACAAAACCCTGTGTTGTAGCCACAGCTGAAGCCTGAGTCCTCCACACAGAGACTCTGGTGTGGGTCTTGACAAGATGGTCAGTGAATTACTGAGAGGAAGACTTGGTGAACACAGTCTCCTCCCAGAGGTCAGGGGGCAGGTAGCTATAGGTCTTGGAGATGGCATCAAAGGTGGCCTTGGCAAAGTTGCCCAGGGTGGCACTGCAGCTCCTGGCTGAGGTGTAGCAGTTGTCAATACTGGACATCAGCAGCATCTTCTTGGGCACAGAGGCCAAGAGGATGCCAGTGCCCCTGGGTGCAGGAATAAGGTGCAGCAGCACAGAGCCGCAGCAGCCTGTCATCTTGCAAGGGACAGTGTGGGGCTTGCAATCTTGGTCCCCCAGTGGCCTCTGCACGGGGACAGTAGAGAGCTTGGTCAGGACAGTGATCCCTCTGACAGCAGTGGCTGCTTCCTTGGAGCACTTAACACCCAGAGTGACACGGCCATTGTAATCCCTGATGGCAACAAACGCCTTGAACCTGCTGCGCTGGCTGGGGCAGGTCTGCTTCTGCACTGGCATAATCTTTAAAACCTCATCCTAGGCCTGGCGTGGCGGCTCACGCCTGTAATCCCAGCACTTTGGGAGGCTGAGGCGGGCAGATTACCTGAGGTCAGGAGTTTGAGACCAGCCTGACCAACATGGAGAAACCCCATCTCTACTAAAAATACAAAATTAGCTGGGCATGGTGGCGCATGCCTGTAATCCCAGCTACTCGGGAGGCTGAGGCAGGAGAATCACTTGAACCTGGGAGGTGGAGATTGTCGTGAGCCAAGATCATGCCATTGCACTCCAGCCTGGGCAAAAAAGCAAAATTCCGTCTCAAAAACAAACAAACAAACAAACAAACAAAAAAAAAACCTCATCCTTGAGAGAGGCCCCCAGGAAAAAGTCAATGATCTCAGACTACTTGATGGGCGGGGAGAAGAGATAGATCTCTTCCAGGGACTTGATCTTCATGTCCTTGACCAGGCAGCCCAGCTTGGTGATGGGCATCCACTCCTTTGCCTGGACCTTGCCTCTGAGAGCTCCCCGCAGCCTCAGCCCCTGCCCTGACTATGGCCACAATCCTAGCCCCAGAAGCTGCTGACAAAGCTTCCATGGTTTCCCATTCCAGGCTTCTGGGCCCTCCTGCTGCCATAGTGTCATCTACCATTTGGTGTTTTCTTGGAGAAATGTGTGTCTGTTTTATGCCAGTACCATGCTGTTTTGGTTACTACAACTTTGTAGTATATTTTGAAGTCTGGTAATGTGATGCCTCCAGCGTTGTTCTTTTTGCTCAGGATGGCTTTGGCTCTTCAAGGTCTTTTGTGATTCTAAATTGTAGGATTTTTTTTCTATTTCTGCGAAGAATGTCATTGGTGTTTTGATGGGGATTGCATTGAATCTGTAGGTTGCTTTGGGTAGCAACAAAGTGACTTTTGAGAAGGCAACAGCTGGTGCCCCTCCCCAGGACCACCGCACTGCTAGTGGCTTGAGGACTTGCTGCCCCATGGCATGTGGGATCAGATCATTCCATCATACCCACAAAGGGCACCTGACAACCCTGCATTCTCCTCTGCCACAGACAAATGAGCAGCTTGGCTTGATGGGCAGGGACAAGCCAACGCGGAGTCTCCTGGTGCCAGCCAGAATCTTGTGGCAGTCTCCCTGTCCAGAGACTGCTGGCTTGGGTCAGACCCACTGCCACTTGAGCAGACCCTGGGGACTTGCATCCTCCCTGGGCCTGAGCACTCACCCTGCCCTCGCAGCCGGATACCCGCGTGGATGTTCAGAGCAGCCAGGCAGCACCTCTGTCCTCCCCACCTCCCTAAATGGGCAGCTGTGGCTGCCAGCACCACTCAGATGCCCTCCCTCAGTGCCAGCTCCAGGCTCTCTCCTCAGCATGTACGTTCTGCTTTTCCTCTCAAAGCTGGAAGGACTTGAAAATAGATATGGGACAGATTGGCCCCATGTAGGTCATGAGCTGATAACAGTCACTCAACTGCATGAGTGGAGTTTTAGAGATAACCTCATCAGGGTGACTTATCAAGATATGCTCCTTGATAATTAGGTAACAGAAGCCAGGTTTTTTTCACCCACAGCCCTAGTCCCTCCTCTGAACATCCCCATCTTGCTATACAGTAGACATTTTGTCAAAGGCTTTCAATCAAACTGCCTGGTTCAAATCACAACCCTATCTGTTATAAGCTGTGTGTCCTTGGGCAGGTTACCTTCATCTCTGTGCCTCAGTTTCCTCATCTGTAAAAGGGAACCATAATAGTACCTACTTTTCCGTGTTGATGTGAAGATTAAAAAAGCAAACATGAGTTCAGTGCTTCCCAGAGGGCTGGCCCTCAGGAGGCCCCCAGTCAAATGTCAGCGATGTATTATTCCTTTATTTTATTTTATTTTTTTGAGACAGGGTCTTGCTCTGTCACCCAGACTGGAGTGCAGTGGCACAGTCATGGCTCACCTTGACTTCCCAGGCTCAAGTAATCCTCCAACCTCAGTCTCCCAAGTAGCTGGGACCACCAGGTGCGCATCACCTAATTTTTAAATTATTATTTGTAGAGAGGGGGTCTCGCTATGTTACCCAGGCTGGTCTCAAATTCCAGGGCTGAAGCAATCCTTCCACCTCAGCCTTTCAAAGTGATGTTGGTATTACTCATATAGTCAGAGCATACTTTTTCCTCCTGAGAAGGGTAGGTCACATTTTTTGTTGCTTAGATGGAAGGAGACTTAGGCCATGGTATAAGGTCCTGGGGAGTCTCTTCCTATAACTGCAGGCGTAAAGCCACAGGAATGGTGGTCAGCTGGCACCAGGCAGAGCCAGCTGGGCTGGAGGGAGGGCTGGCCACTGAAAATGCCAGCCCAGCCTGCTTCTCTGCTGTTGGCCTCTGGATTCATCTTTTTCTGTGTGTCCTAGTCATTAGAAATTGGGCACGTTTCAGTCCTGTGCCTTCTGGGTGTCACAGACATGGGAGCTGTGCTGGGAGGGATCTCCACCCACCCCAAGATGGTCTGTCTGGGGAATTCCAAACTGGGCACTCAGGGACAGCCTTACTTCACAGGGAAGGTGGTGTTTTCCTGTGTCTGGTCAATAGCAATTAGCTGCAGTTATCAGCTTAGGGAGGGAAGGCTGGTGTCACGGTGACCCTATCACCACACTGCTATGTTGGGTGTCTGTCTGGGCCCCAGGACAGAGGCTGTGGAAGTCAGGGACTGCTGGTCCTGTGTGTCTGCAAGACTTAGCCCCATATCTGGCAGAGTGGAGGCTTGGTGAGCATACGCTCTCACACTCATTCTGCAGATGATGCCTGGCATCTGTGCTGCATGTTGTACACTGTTGCTGGTACTGAGGGGGTACATGGTGGTGAAAAGGCCATCCCCGTCCTCCCTCCTGAGCTTACATGTAGTGTGAATAGTCACATCAGCAGCAAATACACATCAGCCAGGTAGTTTGAAACTATGATGAGGCTCTGACCTGACCTGATAAATGGGGCATGTGATACAGAGACAGTGGTTTTTCTGGAAGTTGATGAAGAAAGGCCTCTCCCAAGAGCTGATAGTCAAGCTGAAATCTGAATGACAAGGACAAGCCAGGCACATGGGGACCTAGGAAGAGCGTGTCTGCCAGGTGGAATATCAACTGAAAGGAGCAAGCCTGGGTGACTGGGGAAGAGCTCAGAGGCTGCCGCTGAGCATCAGGAGTGAGGGTTCTGGGGGTGGGAATCGCCCAGATGGGCAGGGTCAGCCCGAGGGTCTGGGGGACTATGGGGAGGAGCTGACGCTAGGGGTCATGAAAGCCACTAGAAGGTGTTGTGTAAAAGTGTGCAGTGATAGGGTTTGGGTTTTCAAGGGTCCCTCTGGCTGCCACATGGAGGACGGACTGTAAGAGGACAGTAAAGAGGCAAGCAGTCCAGGCCAAGGACGATGGTGGCTTGCCTTGGTGGTGATGTCGCGACAGAGAGAAGCTGAGAAACTGGCAGTGGAGTGAATGATGCATGCACTAAAGCAGGCCCTGACAACATAGTATCTCTGTCTGGGCCCTGACAACATAGTATCTCTGTCTGGGCCCTTGATGCCCACACTCCTTCCAGAGACATAGACATGCTGCCGCGGGACCCAGCGCAGACATCCGGGAGAGCCTTCTTAGCGTGCAGACCCCAGGGATGGAGCCAGGTTCCTCAGGCCGACCCTGCTGATTTTGTGACCATTCATCAGTGGATGTGCTGGTGCAAACCGGATGGCATTGTGCAGGATCAGAAATGGTGGTTCCAACACCCCCACAGTACTCATTATACAGACTCTAAGGTTAAGAAGACCTCCAGGGGAAATCTCAGACTTCAACCTCTACCTGTAACTGCTTCTCTTAGAAAGTGCCAGAAGCCTCCACATAATTGAACTTTTGGAAACGACCCTGTTGGAAAGTTGAAACCATCTAATTATCATGAGCTCCTCTTTAACTGGGCCCCACTGGGTGCCCCACCAGGTGCTTTGTTAGCCTATTTTATCTGCCAGCAACCCTGTAAAGCAGGTTAGTGTGCCCTTTTGCAGATGAGAACACTGAGGCTCTGGGAGGTTGTCAGGCTTACTCACAGAGCCTCAGTCCAGCCACAGAGCTGGGCTGGACCACATCTGTCAGGCTCCGAGCAGCCCGCCCCGCCTACCGCGCGCAGGTCGTTAGGCAGGTCCTCGTCCAGGTCGCCCTCGACAATCTTCTCCAGGGTGCTGATAGAGATCTCCAGGAGCTTCTCGTGGTGGTGATTCTCCAGGTCCCGGCACTGAGCCATCGTGCAGCCCCGAGTTAAGCAAAGGCCCGGGAGGAGCAGGCCCGGCGCGTCCCTGATGCTCTCAGACGGCGGGAGACAGACTTTAAGGGCCCAAGGCGAGCTCGGAAATTCTGGCTGGCAGCACCGTCCACTCACAAGCTCCGAACCCTGGGCCTTCCTCGACTCCCTGCCCCTGCCCCACACCTCGGACGGACCCTCGGCCCCTGCCATCACACTCTTCTCTCCCTCCTGCATGGAGGCTCCTGGCCTCTGGGTTAACTGCTTCTCACCCTGTGCATTTGGCACCACTTGTTGCCTCTACAACTTGTCTCCCTGAGGGACTGTGAGCCCCAGGAGGGCAGGACCACAGGGCTGCTGCTAGCTGGAGCACAGCAGTTTGCCCCATGTGGAGTGCCCTGAGTTCGGGTGGAAGAAGGGTTGGCCATGCTCCGATGTTGGCTCCTCACCCTAACATTTCACCTGATGTACTCCTTATAGTGTCTTCCACGTGGGGGTTGCCTCAACCCCAGAGTGTGCTTGCCTGCAACACAGGGGGCGTCATTTCCTAGTGAACATCACTCATATGAGAACAATCATGCTGGGAGCCTACTGCAAACAGTTTGGATGTTGTCCCTCTGGGCATCCAAACCACAGCTCTAACCAGGCCATCATTGTTCTGAGGGTCGGGAAACCTCCTCAGACCCTGTGGAACATTCTTTTGTCCAGAGGCCGGGACAAGCCCAGGGGCTCTGTAGCACCTCCCCATGGGGAAGGTCATCACAGAAAGGATATAGGCTTTGGACATTTTCGATAAACAGTCCTACCATGTCAACAATGTTCCTTTCAAACATGTTTATAGTCTCCTGGAAATGTTAAAGAACACAGTTAACATGCATATTTAGATGTCCAGCACAGAGCAAAAGGTACTCCTCAAAATTTAGCAACCAGCTCCTCTAATCACAGACCTTCAGCATAAAGACCACCCATCTTGACCCTCCTGAGCAGATGGTTGTGAACTGACCCCTCTGCTCTCTCTAAAGTTGTTGTTCTCCAACCATATTAACTCCCTCACCATCTGAATGTTTAATGCTGTCACCGGAACTTTGCCAGGAACACTTGTCCTGGTCTTACTCCCCTTACCTGCCTGCCCAACACACACACACACAGCCAACCCCCTCTCCTTTGGGTTTCCCAGTGACATCTGTGCATCACCTCCAGGGAAACAGTGGAGTGAGCTGTTAAGAGCTAGACTGCCTGGGTCAGTATTCCCAGCTCCAGCACTCTGTGTAACTCTGGGAAAGGCATTTCACCTCCTTGGGCCTTATCTTCCTCATCTGGGAAATAGGTTACCTGCATAATCCCTGCGTTGTGGCGTTGTGGTGAGGTTAAATGAGTCACTTCACACAAAATGCTTTGCAAGGTGCCTGACAGAGAGGAGGCCCTCAGTAGGAGCGGGCTGGCACTCCAGATCTCTTTCAGTTAGTTGCTGTTTTGTGGTGCTTAGCAAGGCACCTAAGGCCCAAATGGGAGTTAGTGTTGATTGAAGGAACAATGGAAGATGTGATCTCCAGGCCTGCCACTCTCGGAGTGCCCCACTCCCATCTGCTATAGACTCCAGGGGCTGCAAGGTGGGCAGGGGTGGAATCTATAGGAATGTGAGTACTGTCTGCAGAGTGAGCACCTCACATAATTTTCAAACACATGTATGTGCTGTTCTCGTGAATAAAAATAGGGTCATTGAAAAGCATGATTGCGCTTGTGGCTTTCTGGCCACCAGTAATACAAGTAGGATGGCACATGGGTTCTGGGAAATGTTTGGATGTTGAAAGGCAATCTCCGTGCCTGAAAAGGCTGGGAGCTGCTGCCTCACTCGCCCCTGGCACTGTGCGCTGCTTCTGCAGTGCCTGTGCTCTCCAGCAGGGAGGGAGCACCTGCCCTGTGATGTGATGGGGAAATCTATCCCATGTCTGAGGTGTCACTTGACGTGTGAGGAATTGATTAGGTGCTATCACTTGGCCCAGCCACAGCAGCATCCGATGAGGTTCAATTCATCACACCACTTCAGACTCCCAGCCTCCGCTGCCTTGTAACACATACTCTGGCTGCTAATGAATTTCAGACAGCGGCGCTTTTCATTTTCACTACTTAGTGCTGAGTTGCAGCCTCCTCACGTCACCTGAGAAGCGGCAACTGCAGGCTGCAATGCGGAGGGGTCTTTGTTTGGTCCCCAAGTGGGGGTGCGCTTTGCCTTTAGAGTACCCGGATAGCTCCAGGGGTCTAATCAAAAACCTCTCCCCACTGACTTCCAGGATAGGGGGACCATTTCAGAAGAATGAGCTCACCTCTCATTTTCCACAAGAATCACTTCCAATGTAAATGATTAAAATGTAATAAAAGCAAACAGGACTGATGAGCAAGAAAGCTACAGCCTGCCACGCTGAGTCGTGCTGGACGTTTCCAGCAGAGGCGTGCCCATGAAGGCTACAGTTCACCTATGGATGTGCAGCTGCATCGCCAGATTCTGGCACTTGTGCCCAGGGCCCAGCCTTACCTCCAGCTGCTCCACCAGCTGCATCTCCAGCGTCATGAGCGCATCGAACAACTCACTGATGTCAGCACTGCATTCTAGGATCATCTTCTCAATGTTGGGCAGTTCCAACTCCTCTCGAATGGCACTTAAACTCTAGAAACAATAGACTGCACTTTAGGAATCAACAACTAAGTGTAATTAGATAATGGCAGGTGGCAATTTGGTTTTGTGGGTAAGAATTTGGACTCGAGTCAGCCTGCCCAAGTGCAAGTCTCAGCTTTGCCATTTGCTGGCTCTGAAAGCGTGTAGAAGCTACCTACCCTCTCCATGCCTCAGTTTCCTGGTCTGTAAAGTGCGATTGATAGCCCCTACCCTTGACACAAGTGAGAGAACACATGTGAGGCTCTTTGAGCACTAGCAAGTGCTCACTCCCTGTAAGCTCAGGTTTTTATTAGAGGCTGGTAGGCAGGGTAGAAGGAGCCATGGCTTTCATGGGGTTCAGAGCATTTCACACCAAAATATGCCGCTTTGGCATAGTGATTATTTTGAGTTAAAGATACTTAAAGGCCGGGAGCAGTGGCTTATGCCTGTAATCCCAGCACTTTGGGAGGCCGAGGTGGGTGGATCATGAGGTCAGGAGATTGAGACCATCCTGGCTATCACAGTGAAACCCCATCTATACTAAAAATACAAAAAAAAAAAAAAATTAGCCAGGCATGGTGGCGGGTGCCTGTAGTCCCAGCTACTTGGGAGGCTGAGGCAGGAGAATGGCGTGAACCTGGGAGGTGGGGCTTGCAGTGAGCCGAGATTGTGCCACTGCACTCCAGCCTGGGCGACAGAGTGAGACTCTGTCTCAAAAAAAAAAAAAAAAAAAAAAAGATACTTAAAAACAGAAAATGCAAAGAGGACACCCTGACCTCCCTTTTTCTTCCTGAAAGCAGAAGTTAAATCTCCCATGGGAAAGGTGCCCTCCCTGTACCAGGAGGAAAGAAACCATTCTTTTTTTTTTTTTTTTTTTTTTTTTTTTTTTTAAAGACGTAGTCTCACTCTGTCACCCAGGCTGGAGTGCAGTGGTACGATCTCGGTCACTGCAACCTCTGCCTCCTGAGTTCAAGCAATTCTCTGCCTCAGTCTCCTGAGTAGCTAGGATTACAGGCACCTGCCATTATGACCGGCTAATTTTTTTTGTATTTTTAGTAGAGACGGGGTTTCACCATCTTGGCCAGGCTGGTCTTGAACTCCTGACCTCATGATCCACCCACCTCGGCCTCCCAGAGTGCTGAGATTACAGGTGTGAGCCACTGTGCCCAGCCAAGAAGCCATTCTTATCATCAGAGGGAGGGAGTCCGGGCCAAGGGGAATCTGTGTGAACAAACCTTGTTAAACTAACGCTCATCTGCCTTGTCACTTCTCCACGATGAACTGCCTTAGCCCAAACCTCTTTGTCTTGTCACGTTCTCACAATTCACTACTCTCTGTCCAACTAAGTATATAAGCTTTCGGCCCTAACGGCTTCTTGAGCCTTCATTTTGCTTGTGAATGCTCCCATGTACATGTACAAATTACTCAATAAAATTTGTATGCTTTTCTCGTTTGTCTTATGTCAGTTTAATTCTTGGTCCCAGTCAGTGACCCTGATAAGCTAGAGGAAAAAATTTACCTGCCTTACAACTTCAGAGTTAGGTGAACCTGAATTTGAATCCTGCCTGGGTCACTTAACAGTGTGACCTTGAGAGACCCACTTTCATTCGCTGACTCAGTTTCCTCACTGTAAATGGGGAGAAGCATCTCTGCCTCACGGGGTCCTGGGGATCAGAGGCCGTGTACAGGAAGCACCTGGTGCACAGTGGAGCTCGGCTACCGGAGTCTCCTATAAAAGGCCTATCACAGGCACAGGCCAGGAAAGACCCTGGCAAGGAAAGACAGTTCCAGTCTTTGAGGAGATGAATTGAACCCACACAGAACCCCAGTGAGCAAGTGGAAGCTACTGCTAAATAGATGCTGAGCCCTTTGGAATGAGGGGGTGCTCAGAGGGTATATGGCAACCTGGGGTCCAAACAGCACTGACTACCAGCTGCTTACTAGCAAAGGGCCTGGGTTACCACCAACACCAGATGTGATTTTGGCTTGTTTTTGTTGATGCCTGGTATTAGTCATGAAGGAGGATGGAGTAACAGCATGATTGAAGGGGGCGAATGACATAATAATAGCTACCCTGTCTGGAGAAAAACCAGGCTCGATCCCTACCTCAAGCCTTACATGAAAACAAATTCCTGATGAAGATTCAAATGTAAAAAATTAAACCATAAAAGTGCTAGCAGAAAACCTGGGAGATTTTTTTTTTCTTTGAGACAGAGTCTCACACTGTCACCCAGGCTGGAGTGCAGTGACGTGATCTTGGTTCACTGCAACCTCTGTCTCCCAGTTTCCAGCGATTCTCTCGCCTCAGCTTCCCAAGTAGCTGGGATTATAGGTGCCTGCCACCATGCCCAGTGAATTTTTGCATTTTTAGTAGAGATGGGGTTTCACCATGTTGGCAAGGCTGGTCTCAAACTCCCGGCCCTCAGGTGACCCGCCCGCCTTGGTCTCCCAAAGTGCTGGGATTACATGCATAAGCCACTGCGTCCGGCCAAACCTGGGAGATTTTTAACAAATAATCTGAGATCTTGCCAAATATAACCAGAAGATTGGTAAACTCTACTACCTTAAAAATTTTTTAATTCTTTTAAATTTATTTATGTATTTACTTTTAAGATGGGGTCTTACTATGTTGCCCAGGCTGCTCTCAAACTGCTGGGCTCAAGCGATCTTCCTGCCACAGCTTCCCGAAGTGCTGGGATTACAGTTGTGAACCACCTCCCCCAGCCAAAAAAATTTTTCATTCTGAATGGCAAAAGCACCACAGACAACATTGCAAGATAAAACACAAACCGGGAAAAATATTTGCCATTCATTTCACTGACACAATCTACAAAGAGCTCCTACAAAGTAATAACATTTTTTTTCTTTTTTTGAGACAGACTCTCACTCTATTGCCCAGGCTGGAATGCAGTGGCATGATCTTGGCCCACTGCAACCTCCACCTCCTGGGTTCAAGTGATTCTCCTGCCTCAGCCTCCCAAGTAGCTGGGATTACAGGCATGCATCACCACCCTGGCTAACTTTTGTATTTTTAGTAGAGACGGGGTTTCACCATGTTGTCCAGGCTGCTCTCGAACTCCTGACCTCAGGTGATCCACCCACCTTGGCCTCCGAAAGTGCTGAGATTACAGACGTGAGCTACCACGCCCAGCCAGGTAATAACTTTTTAAAAAAGAAAGGTCTGGTCTGATGGTAGTAGGTTATGAGAACTTATTAAATTTGGTGTCACTGAAGTTGGTATACAGTCTCCCACTGCTAAATTTGACTAGCTAAAAAAAAAAAAGAAAGAAAAAGAAAAAAAGAAAGAAACAGCCAGGTGTGGTGTTGTGTTCCTGTAGTCCCAGCTACTCAGGAGGCTGAGGCACGAGGATTGCTTGAGCCCAGGAGTTCAAGGCTGCAGTGAGCTATAATGGTGCACTGCACTCCAACCTGGGCAATGGAGTTAGACCCTATTCTGAAAATAATAATAATAAATAATTTAAGAAGAGAGAGAGAAACCAAAAACCAAATAGAAAAGTGGGCAAGGGCAAAATATAAGTACAAATAATTCACAGAATAAAAAACACAAATGGTTGTAAAACATGTAAAACGTGTTGCTCATCCCCACTTAAGAGAAAATAAATGCATACTCAGGGTGCACAGATTGGCAAACATGAGGAAGCCTGTGACACTGGCCTGATGACGGCTGTGGAAGGTACAGGTTCTGTAGGTTACAGTTGGACAATAACCATGAAAAAAACCAATGCACAGTTCCACTTCTAGGACTTCATCCTGCAGGTCAAACTTGCACCAACTTATTCAGTGGAACACTAAAAGAGCAAAAGGTTGGGAAAAAACCTAACTGTCCATCAACAGGGACTGGCTAAATAATTATGGCTCACCCATGCAATGCGATATTTTAGCTATAAAAAAAAGAAGCTACTTTTTCATTTTGGAAGGCTCTCCAAGATGCATAATATAGGAAAGCAAAGTACAGAACAAGGCATGCTATGCACACACACACACACACACACACACTCACGTGAAAGCAAAGTACAGAACAGGGCATGCTATGCGCGCACACACACACACACACGAAAGCAAAGTACAGAGCAAGGCATGCTATGCACACACACACACACACACACTCACGTGAAAGCAAAGTACAGAACGGCATGCTATGCACACACACACACACACAGAGGAAAGCAAAGTACAGAACAGGGCATGCTATGCATACATGTACACACACATAGGAAAGCAAAGTACAGAACAAGGCATGCTATGCTCACACACACACACACACACACACACACACGAAAGCAAAGTACAAAACAGGGCATGCTATGCATACACGCACACACACATAGGAAAGCAAAGTACAGAACAGGGCATGCTATGCTCACACACACACACGAAAGCAAAGTACAGAATAGGGCATGCTATGTGCGCGTGTGCACGCACGCACACACACACACACAGAGATACAGGAGTAGGAGGGAGACCGTATCCCCCAGTGGCCATTCTTCAGGCTGTGCCATGTGCACACACTACTCATTCGAGAGTGCAGCTGACTACACACAGACATGCTGTCATCCTTTTGGGCTGACTCTGCTCCAGGCCTTGCACAAGTGCTTTCCCTCTCTGTTTCTCACTACAGTTCTTCAAGGTGGTTATCTCTGTTCTGCAAATGAGGAAATGGAGGCTAGGAGAGGGTCAATAATGTGTCTCTGGGTCACCAGTGAGGAGTCTGCCTGAGCCCCAAGCCTTACATGGCTGCAGCATGACCCTGAAACGTGACTCACTGGGCACCTGGAGCAGTGCACTGTGTGCAATGGATGAGGCCTAATGGGGATGAGTGGGAGGAGCGTAGGAAAACCTATAGGAGAGGGCCTGTCAGGGAGGGAACTGGAGGTCTGCAGGGCCTATGGGGTCTTGGGAACTTCCAAGTCAGTGGCCTCTATCCAGGCTGTGCATGGAAAGCACCCAGGGAACAATGGAAAATCCCTGTGCCAGGCCACAGGGTGCTGCTGGGCCTGAATGTGAGCACATTTCCAGGGCCCAGGGACTCCGCATGCAGGCTGAGCAGGATCCACTGCTCTTGGCTCTAGAAGGGGAGCACTAGGATGGTCAGCTCGTCCGAGGTGGCCTTTGAGGAGCTGGCCCGCAATGAAGGCAGGTGCCTGAACGGAGGAGCAAGTGGCACGTTCCATGTTCCAAGTCAGGCTTGGCATGGCCCATATCCTGCTTCTGCAGAGGGACTCGCTGCTGAGGGGCTGGGTCCCTGCACCAGGCCTCAGGAAGAGCCAGCTAGCTGACACTCCCAAGCCCAGTGGCTACAGGGACCAGATAAATATCAGGAAGGAAGGCTGGACAGGGACTGCGGGACTGGAGACATGACCTGTCCAGAGGGGACAACTGCCACTCAAGCCCTGATGACAGTTGCTTCCAGAGAAGCTGGCAACCACAATTTTTTCTGTGAAATCTGCTAGTTTCTAATGTCAGCAGGATGTTCGAAATGTTTTAAAACCCTATTCAGGCCACATAAAACACATATGTGAGCCAAATGTATTCCTCTGCTGACAGTTTTGAACTTCTGGTTGAATGCAGTAACCCCTGCTCCCTAAAATATAACAAGGAGGGTCTTGAGAATTAAATCGCACAACATGTGAGGCCCTGGAGGTTAATGAGACAGGAATGGGGGTGGCCGTTGGGGAGGCGGGAAGCACATGGGAGTGGATCACCAACTCCATCAGATCTGAAGTTGCGCATCGAGGGACTTTGCTCTACTTTAAGTTCACAACAAGGAAGGGCCTTAAGTTCACAACAAGGATGGGCTCCCTAAAGCCCCTTATGCTACAAGCAAGCTTGGTGTGTGTGAACAGTTTTTTGAGGAAAAAGAAGGTCCACAGCTTTCCTTAGCATCTCACAAAGATCTGTGATTTACAACAGGCTAAGCATCCTGTCTTTAAAAGTAATGCCAACTCAAAGAGGCAGTTGCCATCAAATACAAAGATTGGTGCCCTTCCCAATGGCCCCTGCTTGGGCTGGACCCCATGGCCTGGTTAGGCTGAGTCCTGACCACCCAGAGTCTTCTCCTTTGCTGCTCCTAGTGGGTGGAGGAACGCCCTTCCTCCCCATCAACTTTTCTTTCTTCTGTGAGCCTCAGCCTTCCCTAAACTCCCCAGCCTGAGATAAGGCGCCCCTAGGGCACCCCCAAGGCTCCCCAGGCTTCCCTCCAGGATGGCACTGATCCCTCTGCTTGCTCAGGTGAGGGGTGGGGCCTGGGCCTGGGTCTGAGCCCCACAAGGGCAGGAACCATGTCCAGTGTGGCTCTAGCTTCTTAGGATCAGGCAGAGAGTAGAGCTCAGAAAATGTCTATTAAATGAATGAATGAATAAAAGGATGGTAATCATTACTGTCAAAATAGTAATGGTCATACTAATACTGTTATTAATAGTAACGATGATGATAAGTTGGGGGGTAGGGCCGACCTTGAATCCCAAGGGCACTTTGTGTGACAAAGACCCACAGGCCACACGTCAAGCAGTGGGGAGCTGTGGTTGGTGGTGCTGGTGTAAGGCGGGCCTTGGCTCTGCCACTGATTAGCTGTATGATCTCTGGCAAATGGGGACAATAACCATTGGCCTCAGGGGTCATCAGAGGGTACAGGAGTTGCAGTCCCCCTACAGTGGGAGTGGCAAGAGCAGGGAGGGCCTACAGCAGGAGACAGGGAGGGCCTCAGGAGGCTCGGGGCCTACCGACAAGTGCTTCTCCTCGAATTTGGCAATCTTGCGTTTGCCCTGCTCCTGGTTTTCCTGGATGGCCTCACGGACACATTCACTGAAGGTGTCAAGCTCTGTTTTCCGCTTCTCCTGCTGTTTCAGGCCATACTCAAAAATATTCACGCAGATGATGACAAACTTGTCCTTGTAGGTGAGTGGCTGTTAAGGAAGCCCACAGCTGTTTCAGGAGCAGGCTGCGGAGGGCACGGCCAAGGTGTTGGTAACCCTGGCACAGTGCACAGACTGTGCGCTCAACAGTGTGTGAGACTCAAACTCCTGGTCTCATTTGGTTCATTTGGTGGATGAAGAAATCAAAGGCCCAGAGAGCCAGGATTGAGATGTAGGTAAAATGTGTGTTTGGTGCATCCCCACCCTCAGCCTGAGGGATTCAGGAATGGGGCCTGTGTGAAGGAAGGAGGCAGAAACCATTGCGGAGTCTACAGAGCAGAAGGCAGACATGCTCAGAGAGGCCCCAGAAGAGAGGCCTGGGGACCCTGGGGGCCTGCGAGCCGGTCCCAGCTGGGGAAGCAGGCAGTGTGCGTTTCTGTCTCTGGTGTGCTATCTGGAAGGGCACCCTTACTGAGGGCCTGTCTTGGTGCTCAGCTGCTGTAGCTGTGCTGGGGATGTTCAAGTCCTGGCTCTGCCACTGCTTCCAGGACCCACCCTGGCAAGTCACTTCACCTCTCTGGGCCTCAGTTTCCTCATCTGCAGCTGAGGGTACAAAAGGGCCTGCGACACGGAGTCCTTGGAGTCAACCAGGTAAAGCCTACAGGACCTTGGTGATCCTGTGGGATGGAAACTGATGCCCAGAGAGATGAAATGCCTTGCCCAAAGTCACACGGCTACACAGGGCTACAGCCAAGGCAAACCTGGGTCACCAGCTGGCAGAAACAACCCAGCTCTGGAGCCCTGCTCTTCACTATTCCTCACCACCCTGCCCTCATTCTTTCCAGAATGTCAGGTGTGTTTGGTTTTTTTTAGAGATGGTGATATGGTTTGGCTGTGTCTCCACCCAAACTCATCTTGAATTGTAACTCCCATAATTCCCATGTGTTGTGGGAGGAACCCGGTGGGGGGTAATTGAATTATGGGGGTGAGTCTTTCCTGTGCTGTTCTCATGATAGTGAATGAGTCTCATGAGATCTGATGGTTTTAAATATGGGAGTTTCCCTGCACAGGCTTTCTTTCTTTGCCCACTGCCCATGTAAGATGTGACTTGCTCCTCCTTGCCTTCTGCCATGATTGTGAGGCCTCCCCAGCCATGTAGAACTGTAAGTTCAATTAAACCTCTTTCTGGCTGGGCACGGTGGCTCACGCCTGTAATCCCAACACTTTGGAAGGCCGAGGCAGATCACCTGAGGTCAGGAGTTTGAGACCAGCCTGACCAACATAGTGAAACCCAGTCTCTACTAAATACAAAAAATTAGCCAGGTGTGGTGGCGCATGCCTGTAATCCCAACTACTTGGGAGGCTGAGGCAGGAAAATCGCTTGAACCCAGGAGGCGGAGGTTGCAGTGAGCTGAGATTGCGCAATTGCACTCCAGCCTGGGCAACAACAGCGCAACGCTGTCTCAAAAAACAAAAAAACAAAAAAACCAAAAACCTCTTTCTTTTGTAAATTGCCCAGTCTCAAGTATATCTTTATCAGGAGCGTGAAAACAGACTAATACAGATAGGGTCTCACTACATTGCCTAGCCTAGACTGGTCTCAAATTCCTGGCCTCAAGCAATCCTCCTGCCTTGGCCTCCCAAAGTGCTGGGATTATAGGCATGAGCCACCTCACAGGCCCAGAATGTCAGGTTTTTGAGTGAATTTTTCTCTATCCAGTGAAGGTGGCTCCACAGACTCACCTGTGACTGGATGCCTTAGCTCAGAGCTCTCAGATCCAGGAGCTCCTTGATTCTGTCCTGAGTCCCTCAGCTCACAACTTAAGCCCATTGATCGATGGTCACAGCCTCAGCCCTAATGACAGGTACCAACCACGTCCTCTGGGCTCCAGGCAACTGGGGAAAGAATGAGATTCTCAGGCCCCACAGACAAAGCTTCAAAAGCTGGCCTCTAATGGGGTGACCCTGGACAGCCAAGCTATGTTTCCCCAACTATAAAATGGGGTTAATGATGGTACCTGCCTAGTGGGGTGGTTGAGAAAACAATAAATGCCAGATCCAAGTGCACAACAAGAACAAGTGAGTATGGCTAATGAGAACACATTTCAATCCATTTCTCCACCTCTGAAAACCTGGCTTGCCAAACATGGCCAGCCCATGCCATGCTGACCAGATACTACACATGTCCCTGAAATCCAGACAGCATCTCCCCCATGCAGCTCAGCTGACCGGACTCTGAACTGCCTGTTGGGTACATTGCTCTCAAGTGGAGATTTTACCTCCCAAGGTCTTACAAGAGAGATGAAGAAACTGAGGCCTAGAGCGGAAGGGGCCTTGCCAAGGCAGGCTGGTGGCAGAGGCTCTGAGACAGCCATGAACTCAGAAGGATATGTCTCAAGGAGCTCACCGACACCAGGCAGGTAGGACAGATTGTTGCCCTCTGAGTCCTCAGCGTACATGCTGTCAAACAGGAAGGAGCCATTCAGGTGTTCCACAAACGCAGTCTGCAGGCAGAAACACACGTAGGTAGGACGGCTCCTGTCAGGGGCCCCTGCATCATCTCACAGGCCCATGAGGAAGGCAGGTCAGGAGGGAGCATGTTCCAGACAAAGAGAATGGCATGTGCAGAGGTGCAGAGGCATAAAACTGCAGGCTGTTTCCAGAATGTTATACATTTCTCAGTCTGGTTGCAAGGAGGGGTGGAGACTGGTGGGAAAGAGGCCAACTGGGTCCAGTCATGAATTCAGGGCCATGGCTACAGGACCTGAGCCGTTCCTGGCATGTCATGGGGAACTGCCTTAAGGGTCTTAAGGGGCCTCTGACAGACTGTTTTTAGCACATTCTCTCCAGCAGCTGGAGGCAGGAATGCCAGTAAGGAGTAGGGTCAGGGTCTGGACTGAGACGGAGCTGGCCCTGGGGCAGACAGCAGATGAGCCAGGAAGGGAGAGGGCATCAGGCCCTGTGGAGGGAGCATGATTTCTGTGTTTTCAGAGCCTGGGGATCCCTGAGGACCGTTTTACTTGATCAGTGCCCTCTTGTGGGCATCTGAGGGGGCCGAGGGCGTGCAGCCTGCCGGAACGGTACCTTGTGCTTCTCTAGCTCCTCCCGCTGCGCCTGCTCGTCCTCCAGCTGGGCCTGCATCAGGTTCTCCTGGTGCTTCAGCTCGTCGATGCTGTACTGGTGCTTAGCCTCCGCAAGCTTTTTCTGACCAGGGAACGGGAGTGGCATTGTTACCAGAGGTTCCTCCGAGCCACACCGCCTCTGCCATGCCGCCTCTGCCATGCTGCAGCCTCCCGCGCATGGGCAGGGGTGTTGCACAGGGGCCTGCATGAAGGCTGTGAAAGCCATGAGGTCTCGTGGATGAGAATGCCCATCTCCTGATGACCCTCACCAGGTTTTTGTGAGCGCAGGGAAATCAGGGAAAGACCAGGAGGAGCGGAAGGCAGCGTGGCAGGCTGGGGTTCCCGGGGCCATCTCCAGGGCAGGAGCCACAGCAATGGAGCGCTCCCCTCGCCCCAGACTGGGTGTTCTCCACAGAGGACTTGCTCTCTCACTCCCAACAGCCCTCAGCAGGCCTTCTGGCCCTCTTTTAGGGAAGGAGGACAACAGGACAGAGGTAGAGTGAGGCCATAGGGCTGGTCACGAGGGTCTGGCCCTTGGCTCTCTCCACCGCACTGGCTCATCCCCCTGTACCTGGCCAGGAATGCTGGCACCTCTAGAACTTAGTCCCCGTCCCCCAGCTCACTCCATGTGCCCCAGGTGATCCCACCTGTACCATGGCTTCAACTACTGCCAATTGGCAATCCTCAGATGACACTCAGGTCTCTACCTCCAGCCCTGACTCTGCCCCTGAGAGCCAGGCCTGAGCCTCTGATGGCCTGGTTCCCTCTGGAGCTCAGCTGTTAATATTGCTCCTGGGATGACACCAACTTAGGGTGAATCCTGGCTTGGCCTTGAGCCAGTGATCCTGGCTGCTTGCCCTCCTTGGGCCTCCTCAACTTCTTTTCTTTTCTAATTTTTTAATTTTTTCACTCTGTTGCCCAGGCTGGAGTGCAATGGCATCTTCTTAGTTCACTGCAGCCTCAAACTCCTAGTCTCAAGCGATTCTTCTACCTCGGCCTTGTGAGTAGCCAGGATTACTGGTGTGTGCCACCACACCTGGCTAATTTTGGTAGTTTCTGTAGAGATGGGGTCTCCCTATGTTGCCCAGGCTGGTCTTGAACTCCTTGGCTCAAGCGATCCTCCCGCCTCAGCCTCTCAAAGTGCTGGGATTACAGGCGTGAGCCACTGCTCCCAGCCCTCCTCAGCTTCTTCATCTGGAAAACTAGACAGTGCAGGATGGCTGTGAGGTGGCCCTGGGACAGTGTGTGGAAGAGGCCTGGCCCCTGGGAACGCACACAAAACAGTACTTACAAGGGTGCTGCTGGAATCACTCTGACAGAGTCAGGTAAAGGGATTAGGAAGAGGGAGCTGCCCTTTCTCTCCTAGTTGTGGGCAGGGGAAGCTACTCTTCAATGCCCCTTTTCCAAGAAACCTGGGGGCTTGAGGAATCTGTCTCACAGGGCTGGGAGACTGAGAGGGAGACACTTGCTGTGTGGTCATCAATGCGCCGGTAGTCCAGGTACATGAGGTCAGGAAGGTAGGCACAGATGAACATCTTGTAATCCTCTGCCTCAGAGATAGGGTTCCTAGAGAGGCTGAGCGTCCGCAGGCACTTGAACCGCCGGAGGTAGATGATCTGGGGAGAAAAAGGGAGAAAGGCCCATTTTCTTGGCTGCCACAGAGTTGAAAACACAGCTGCACCTCCCTCCTCAGTACTCTTTCAGAGTCAGCCTGGCCACAGCACCATCAGCACTGGGGTGGGGTGACAGGCAGTGTGCAGGCGTGGGGGTGTTCCAGGCTGGGAAGCAGTACCGAGACCTTCTGTCAGAAATGGGCTTTTCAAAGAACCAGCAGACCATGGTTCAGGTCTGCTGAACCATGTGGTGAGACCTTGAACAAGTTACCCAACATCTGTGAGCTTCAACGTCCACATCTGTTAAACGGGTATAAGGATATCATGTGTGTTACAGGTGTTATAAAGACCAAGTGAAATAAGCTATAAAAAGCACTGGAAGAGTGCCTGACACCTATTCGGTAATGGGCGTTTTAGTTGCTGTTACCAGCATAGGCATACCCTTCTATTTATTTTTTAAAAATCTTTTAAATTTAACTTAATTTTATTTTTTGAGATGGAGTCTTGCTCTGTTGCCCAGGCTGGAGTGCAGAGGTGCGATCTTGGCTCACTGCAACCTCTGCCTCCCGGGTTCAAGTGATTCTCGTGCCTCAGCCTCCCGAGTAGCTGGGATTACAGGCCTGCACCACCACACCTGGCTAATTTTTGTGTTTGTAGTAGAGATGGGATTTTGCCATGTTGCCCAGGCTGGTCTCAAACTCCTAGGCTCAAGCGATCCACCAGCCTTGGCCTCCCAAAGGGTTGGAATTACAGGCGTGAGCCACCGCGCCCGGCCCTATTTTGTTTTTAAGTAGGGATGGGGTCTTGCTGTGTTGACCAGGCTGGTCTCGAGCTCCTGGTCACAATAAATCCTCCCACCTCAGCCTCCCAAAGTGCTGGGATTACAGGCGTGAGCCACTGCACCTGGCCAGGCATGCCTTTGTAGATTGTAAAGCCCCATGGAAGGTACAAATATCTTAAATTAAATGGGACCCAACTTATGGCTAACCTTGGATTCCCTGGATAACAGCTAGGGGAACATTCCAGTAACTTTATTTATTCTCCCTACACTCTATTTTTAGTAAAATGAGGAAAATGTTAACCAGGTAGTTAATATTAGATTGGTGCAAAAGTAACTGTGGTTTTTGCCATTAAAAGTACTGGCAAAAAAGTATTTTAAAAAAGCAATACTTTGGCCGGGTACAAGGCTCACGCCTGTAATCCCAACACTATGGGAGGCTGAGGCAGGTGGATCTTGAGGTCAGGAGATGGAGACCATCCTGGCTAACATGGTGAAACCCCGTCTCTACTAAAAATACAAAAAAAAAAAATTAGCCGGGCATGGTGGCAGGCGCCTATAGTCCCAGCTACTTGGGAGGCTGAGGCAGGAGAATCGCTTGAACCCAAGAGGCGGAGGTTGCAGTGAGCCGAGATTGCACCACTGCACTACAGCCTGGGTGACAGGGCGAGACTCCTTCTCAAAAAAAAAAAAAAAAAAAAAAAAGCAATACTTCATTGGATAGCATCTAGACACTGTACTATGCAAAAGATAGAAAAAAAAATCTAGCATGCTTTTCTGAGTGAATTTCTTTCAGTCATTTATTAGTCACCTAGCAGCAAACACTATTAGTCACCTAGCAGCAAACACTATTAGTCACCTAGCAGGCCTCCGGCATGTGCTAAATTATGAAGATACAGTGGGGAACAAGGCCTGTGGGGTCCCTGCCCTTATGGCAAGAGCACATATTTTAGGAGTGGGGGAAAAATGTTTTCTTTTTAATTTATTATTATTTTTTTTAGATGGAGTTTTGCTCTTGTCACCCAGGCTGAAGTGCAGTGGCGCGATCTCGGCTCACTGCAACCTCCACCTCCCAGGTTCAAGCGATTCTTCTGTCTCAGCCTCTGGAGTAGCTGGGATTACAGGCACCCGCCACCACACCCGGCTCATTTTTATATTTTTAGTAGAGACGGGTTTCGCCATGTTGGCCAAGCTTATCTCGAATTCCTGACCTCAAGTGAGTCGCCCACCTTGGCCTCCCAAAGTGCTGGGATTACAGGTGTGAACCACCGGGCCCGGCCAAATGTTTTAAAAAGTAAATAAAACCATTATGCTTTGAGTTAAGTGCTGTAAGGAACATCAAGATGGCACCCTGAGAGAAAATAACAGGGAGGCCTCTTTCAGTTAGGAGATTCAGAGGTCTCTCTGGGGAGGTGACATTTAATCTGAGACCTGAGGGAGCCAGCCGCAGAAGAGCAGAGGAGAGCACATTCCTGGAAGCCAAGACAGCACAGGCAAGGGCCCCAGGCAGCAAAGAACTTGGCACATGCCAGGCACTGAGCAAAGGCCAGGGTGGCTGCAGAATGCGGGGAGAGGGCTGGGAAGAAGTTGAGATGGGAGTAGAGACAAGGTCAGGGGCTGATTCATGCAAGACCATGCATGGGTTTGGATGCTGCCTGTCTGGCATGCAGGGCAAACTTCTGAGACTCCACCACCTCTGTGGCTTGACCCAACGGAACTGCTAGTGACAACTCGGTGCTTCCCACCCCAGGCTGTTCATGTAAGCCCAGCCTGGCCGTCACCCAGCCATGATGTTAGGCTGAGGGTCAGTGTAGACCCTGAGGGGGCTTGATCAGACTAAAGGGCCACTGTCGGAAGGAGAGTTCTTGCTCTCTCCATCCTGCTAGATGCAGACAAGGAAGCCCGTGTCCTTGACTGCAACCATTAAGAGAATCAAGCTCTGGGGAGATGCTGAGGATGGCAGAGCCCAGAGGCAGAAGGAACTCACGTCCTTGAAGCTCTGCTGATAAGCACCCCTTCCTTGCAGTGCCAATTATCACGCCACTAAATGCCCTTGTTGTTTGCCGCAGGGGCTCAGCTTACCTCCGGCTTCAGCTGTAGCCATGAGAGACCTTAGCTGGCAGCGTCCTATCTCATTACTCACTTTCTGCCTCAGAGATATCTCTGAAGCCAAAGAAGCCCACCCAGCCCAAAAGCCAGGTGGCAAGAAAGTTAATCCCCCTGGGGTCTCCCTCAGCTGTTGCGGGAATCAAATGCCTTAGGCTCCTGTCCTTAGAGGGTCACTTCTGGGAGGCATTCTGGACACTTCCGAGGCCGGGGAATCCTCCCTCGTCACCTGCAGCAGCAGTCTCAGTGACACGCCTGTGTGTTGGTTCTTCCCTGCCTCCCTTACTCCAGCTTCCTGAAGCCACCTCTCAAACCAGCCACCTGCGTGCAAGTCCCTGCCTTACCTCTGCTTCCAGCCAGTTTGGGGCCAGCTTCTCTTACCTGCAGGTACAGTATCCTTTTTGGTCACACTGTCCTGGGGTAACCCATTCTCACAATCCCCCTCAAATCCACCCTCATGGGGGTGAATTCCTTCCTAAATGTAGACCTGCCCCAAATACATCTCAGACAGAAGCCTCCTCGGCTCCCACTGCTTCTCTGGCCATCCTGACTGACTGTGGCGAGGCCCGGCCACATCCTGAGCCCAACCCTGCACCACACACCTTTGACCTCGTCCAGGGACCCTGCGCTCCTCAACGATGCGTGCGGCCAGGCTTTCCCAACTTACCTCCAGGCCTTTGCTCACACCATTCCATCCTCCTGGGAAGCCTTTTCCTTCTGCTGGATGGCAAATTCTAGTTATCTCTCAGTGAGTCTGCATCAAGCTCCCCTCATCCCAACACTCGCAGGAAGGCCCTCAGCTATGACAGTCCTCCATTTGTTAGGAACACACCCCAGCCTGACACCGAACCAAATGCGTTACATTCATGATCCCACTTGATTCCTGCAAAAGCCTGGGCAGCAGGGTCATGGCCATCATCTCCATCTGACAGGTGAGGAAACTGAGGCATAGAAGGCTTGACCCTTGGTTGGGTTTAGATGCTCCTGTCTGGCATGCAGGGCAAACTTCCGAGACTACAGTGCCTCCTGGATTTGGTCCTGCTGGACAGACTTACATACCAGTCACAACTCAGCGCTTGACCCTCCCAGGTCACTCACCTAAGCCACCACGGCCCACAGCTGGGATCTGAACCCAGGCCACCTGACTGACCTAAGCAGAAAAGGAATCTTCAAAGGCTACTGGACAGCCCCCAGGGTTGATGGGTTGCAGAAGCAAGCCAGGAGCCATCTGATGTGTCGCCTCTGACACAGGACGACAGCTGTGGCAGCTTAAAGCTGCTGCCACACCCCCAGCTGTGTCCACTGCCACTTGTGCACACCCCTAAGCCTCAGGGTGCCCTCCTACCACCCATAGGCCTTGTTTTATTGTTCCTCAGGACACCGGCTTCTTGTCTCCTTGTGCCTTGACTATGGGGGTGTGTGCTGGTCACTCCAAAGGGACCACATCTCGTCTGTCTCTGTTCCCAGTGAGCACAGGACATACGCCCAACACTAACAGGTATGTACCTCAGCAAATGTTTGTTAAATAAGTGCAAGACACAGGGAAAGAACCGCCACTAATGTGGAGGTTGTAAACTAGTGCTCTCCGATGAATTTTGTTGGGTAAGCATGGTATTTAAACATGAGCAAATCCCTCATGGAGTAATCCAGATTCCTGGCTTTTCCAGGAAAATGAGAAGATCTGAACACTCAGCCTGTACTTCCCCTAGCCACAGACCCCCACTCAACCCACGGCGCTCCAAGGCTCTGCAGGTGTGCGTGAGGGCGGGCTGGGCGGCCACTCACGTTCATCATGTTGTCAATCCGGTTGTTGCCCAGCGACAACACCTGCAGCTTGACGAGGGCGTCCAGGGAGTCGATCTTGGAGATCCGGTTGTTGAACAAGCTCAGGTCCTCCAGGTTCACCAGTGTGTCCAGCCCCTCGATGGTCTCAATGTTGTTGAAAGACAGATCTGGGAAGAAGAGAGGGCTGTGAGGGTCTGCTGCCTGGGTCAGGGGATGGGCTGTCCTGAAATAAAACCATCAGGGCTACTGAGTGCCCTGTGAGCCAGCACCAAGCTGCCAGGGCCAGAATTTGACTCACTGTCTAATAGTTTGTGATTTTTTTAGAAGCCAGGTGTGAATTATTTCCTGCAGCCTCCAATATTCACTACCCTCTCCAGTTCCGCCAATCATCCTCCTGGCTGGGGACATGTGGGCAAATACTGGTGTCTATGCTCTGCCATAGTTCTGGGAGGAAAATACTAACCCGCAGGTCTGAAGCAGTGCCCTTGGGGGTCGGGGTAGACAGCGGTGGAGTGTCCCCTTTCCTCACACCTGTGGCATTTTAGCAAGACCACCTCCTGTGTGCTTTGCATTTACCAGTTTATCAAGCACTCGTGTATATCCTCTGACAGCAGCCCTGAGTGGTAGTTTGGAATTTCTCTTGCTGTTTTATCATTTGGGAAGCAGAAGCTCAGAGAGACTCAGTGATTTGCCCAAAGCCACACAGCTAACCACAGTGGGGCCAGAGTTCATCTAAGGCTTCTCCCTGGACATGTGGCAGGTCAGGTTCCTCCAGCTCCATCACAGCTGTCTCAGGCTCCCTCAACCCCAACCGAGACTTTTGACTAATTCCACATCTTTGGGAATAAAAGTACCTTCCTTTTTTTTTTTTTTTTTTTTTTTTTGAGACAGGGTCTCGCTCTGTTGTGCAGACTGGAGTGCAGTGGCGCAATCACGGTTCATTGCATCCTTGACCTCCTGGGTTCAAGTGATCCTCCTGCTTCAGCCTCCTGAGTAGACTGGACCACAGGTATACGCCATCACATCCAGCTAACTTTTTAAAAAGGTTTGTATAGAGACAGGCTCTTACCATATTGCCCAGGCTAGTCTCAAACTCCTGGGCTCAAGTGATCCTCCCACCTCGGCCTCCCAAAGTGGGGATTACAGGTGTGAGCCACCATGTCCGGCCTAAAAGTACTTTTTCCCCACTACAGGTTTTCAGGGTTACCTGGCAGGTGGGGCTGTTATCTTGTCCTGGAACACCAATGGCCTAGAGGCCAAAAATGAGCATTTTTCCTGGGCTTGGAAATATGAGCATGATAACCACAGGGTGATCACATTTAAAAGGTGATTTGGGGCTGGGCGTAGTGGCTTACACCTGTAATCCCAGCACTCTGGGAGGCCGAGGCGGGGGGATCACTTGGGGGTCAGGAGTTCCAGACCAGCCTGGCCAACCTGGCAAAACCCTGTCTCTACTAAAAATACAAAAATTATCTGGGCATGGTGGCACATGCCTGTAATCCCAGCTACTCAGGAGGCTGAGGCACGAGAACCACTTGAACCTTGGAGGTGGAGTGAGCCGAGATTGTGCCACTGCACTCCAGCCTAGGTGATGAAGTGAAGCTTTGTGTCCAAAAAAAAAAAAAAAAAAAAGGTGATTTGGGAGATGAGTTTAACCACATCTTAATATAGCCTCCTCCGCATATCAGGGGATGCTCACCTGTTGACATTGAGACCAATGATAACTCTGTCCTTTCTCTATGCCAGGCCCTTTAAGTGCATTACCTTGTTTAATCCTCATAGCACAGATAGCATCATCCCCATTTTATAGATGAGGAAACTGAGATTCAAATGGGCCTCATGGTAATATGCTCAAGGTAGCACAGCACATAAAGGAATCGAGGTTCGGGCCAGGTGCAGTGGCTCACGCCTATAATCCCGGCACTTTGCGAGGCTGAGGCGGGTGGATTGCTTGAGGCCAGCAGTTCGAGATCAGCCTGGTCAACATGGCAAAACCCTGTTTCTACTAAAAATACAAAAATTAGCCACCCATGGTGGCACATACCTGTAATCCCAGCTACTTGGGAGGCTGAGGCATGAGAATCACTTGAACCTGGGAGGCAGAGGTTATAGTGAGCTGAGATTGTGCCACTGCACTCCAGCCTGGGTGACAGAATGAGACTCCATCTCAAAAAAAAGAAACTGAGGTTCACAGAGTGGAATATCTTGTGCAAAGTCAGTATGTTGGCCAAGCTGGGGTTTGAATGGGGGTCTAACAAATGCCAGGCCTGCACACTTCCTTTCCCACCGTGCCACTGGGTTCTGTTCTTGGGAGGCTTAGCCTACCCCCTAGTGGTGTGCTAGCAAGTGTTTACCAATGGGGGCTGAGGAAAACCCCTGATTTGAGGTGCTTGCTCATTTCTGTGGTGTAAATACTCCCACCGTGGCCAATTTCAAGCTACCAGCGTGGCATCCCTGGAAGCAAAGTTGGGAAGAAATGTGTATAGCCAGCTGTTGAGAGCCAGGGCTAGCCAGCTCCAGCACATCCTCAGCCCTGTGCATGTCAGTGTGGGAGGTCGTGCTGAACCATGGGAGTGCCACCTCCCTAACCCCCATCCTCAGCACCCCAGGGATCCAGCTCTTCTGGCTGTGGTTGGGTCCCTGGGCACCTAGTGCCATGGCTGGACAAAGACCAGCTTCTGCCTATACTCTGAGGGGCAGTGTGACCTCTTAACAGAGCCTGCCCTCACTGCTCTAGCACCCCCATCCCAGGGAGCACTGGCCATCAGTCCAATGACCCTTGGAAGCGTGGATGGCCACTGCAAGGGGTTGGGGGAATGAGCTGACTAGGAAGTGTGTGTGCAGGGGCTCCAAGTAGTAGGAAAATAAGCTTCTGTTAGGGAGGGAACCAAGACCAGTATTCAGGTTTCTCTCTGGGTAAGCAGACAGAAAGAGGGAGCTGTCATGGGGCTCAGTGGTACTTGCTTTATGTCTGAGAGACAGCCAGGCCAGAGAGCTCCTGCTTAAAACCATGGCATTCATGAATCAGCATTAATGGGTGCTAGAGTGCAGAGAAATGAGAAACCTGGGACAAGAGACCTGGGCCCAGGTGTGAGAGGACCTGGCTGTGGTTTGCTCCTGCTACCTGTAGCACATGACTCCATCAAGCTGGTCAGCCTCCCTGAGCCTCAGTTGCTGCATGTGTGAAATGGCAGCATAACCCTGCCTGTGGGTTTGCTATGGGCTTGCAATTGTCAGCACAAAGGAGGATGGGAGTGTTTGGCAAATTGGAAGGCTCACGATGCCCCAGGGTGCCCTTATTACCAGAAGACCGCCTAATAGGATGGAGGGAATGTGGGCTGTGAGGTCAGACAGGCGTGGGGGTGAGTCCCAGCTCTGATACTTCTTGGTCGTGCAGCTTTGGGCAAGTGCCTGGGGCTCCCTGAGTCTCAGCTCCTCTTCTGTAGATTGGGATTATAACAGATGCCCAACTCTTAGGATTAAAATGGGGGTTAAACAAGACAGGGCATAAGGAGCTCTCAGGCCCATCACCTTCTCCCTGCTAGGGACCCATTGCCCCTCACCAGATGTGAGGATGCTCCTAAGAGGCCAGCAGAAGGAACATCTCATCAAAACCCTCCATGGCCTTGGCAGTGAGACCTGATGTGGTGTGGTGACCTCAGTTTGCTCATCTCTATGACGGGGATGCTGTGTGAACTGAAAGACCCATATGGAAAGCATATAGGCCCCACTTAGCATGTAGTTAAGTGCTTGATACACACTAGCCTCTGTGACGATTATTCCTGGTTTCATCTGGGTCCCACCAGCCAATGGTTACCTGTCGATGGTTATCTGTCAGCCTGAGTCTAGATTAAATAGGAGTCCACAGCTGCCCCTTTGTACCCCATCCAGACTGAAAGTTTGGGCAGATGAGAGCAGAATATTCTGTGGTCTTGTGTCTGAGCACATCTTTGCTGCACTTTGCCCAGCACAAGCCCTAGGCTTTTAAAAAATAGCAGCTTTCTTGCTCCCAGCAGGCAGAGCTTCTGCCGTACCCTGGCTAATGATGGGCCAGCAGCTGAGTGTCGCACACAATTATTGTCTCCTGGGAAGGCAATAACCTTGTCAGGGTGTCACCTTCGATTAGGGTGGACACACAGAGGAAAGGGCCTTACCCAGCCAGACCAGGTGTGCGAGGTTCTCCAGGCCCTCGATCTTCTCAATGATGTTATTGTCCAGCTGCAGCTTCCTCAAGTTCTCAAACTGCCAGAGGTTGTCTATGCGGAGGATGTCTGAAATAATGGAAGGTGATTTCAGTCTCAGGTTAGGGTCAGAGTTTTGTGCTAGTGTACAGGAGGAGTGAGGCAGAACCACACAAAAGGGACCTAGAACTCTTCTGCCCTGCCCTGGAGTACGCAGGCACCCTGGAGATGTCGGCTGAGCATCGAGGAACATTGTGTCCCTATGAGGTGGGCGGGGATCGGTACTGCCACCCAGAGCCACAGAAAGACCTAATAGGTTTACTAGGGTGGAGCTAAAAAGTTGCTGGGGTGGAAGTGAGCTGGACCTGGCTGGGCAGGAGACTCGCTTGTGCTGTTTCTGGGGCCAGGCCAGGGACTCTCCAGGAGGCTGGTCCACCTTAGGACACAGGACACAGACAGAGGCCTTCCTTCCACAGTGTGATAAATAGAATGAAAACATGTGTCTCTGTTGGTAGGAGGGTTGATTGCCTCATTCAGCCTTTTTGGAGCACTGTTTGGCAATGTTTTTTGAAATATTTAAAGTCAGTGCCCTTTGAACTATAATTTCTCTACATGGAATCTATCTCCACACTGTATATATGTCCAAAGGAATCCCTCAGGCACGTAAGGGGCAGAAAAGCTCCCAAATGTCCATACGTAGGGGATGAGATAAGTCATCCATGCAAGAACGAGGCAGGTTCCTGATATCACGGAAGTGCCTGGCCCCTGTGGCCTGTGAGGACCACCCACGCCAGCTACACAGCTGGTTCATTCTGTTTGCTAGGTAAGCCAGAGTTTGGTTTCTGTCACTGGCAGCCAGGAGAGTTCTGAAAAACACATATGTATAAGTAAATATGTACTGTATATGTAACACTCTAGAGGCCAAACTTGTCTGCCAGGTTTTCCCAGAAGCCACGTACAGCTCTGTTGTTTATATGCTCCTTTTTTCCATATTTGCTTTTGTAATGATTTCTAAAATTTATAAAATTAGAATATGCTCATTAAGGATGGGCGCAGTGGCTCACGCCTGTAATCACAGCACTTTGGGAGGCCGAGGCGGGCGGATCACAAGTTCAAGAGATCGAGACCATCCTGGCCAATGTGGTGAAACCCTGTCTCTGCTAAAGATACAAAAAATTGGCTGGGCGTGGTGGTGCACGTCTGTAGTCCCAGCTACTTGGGAGGCTGAGGCAGGAGAATCGCTTGAACCAGGGAGGCAGAGGTTGCAGTGAGCCAAGATCGCGCCACTGCAATCCAGGTGACAGAGCGAGACTCCATCTCAAAAAAAAAAAAAAAAAGAATATGCTCATTAAAAGAACTGAAATAATACAGAAGTGAAAGAAGTTTTCAAAATTGGTGCTGTGGGCCAGGCGTGGTGGCTCACGCCTGTAATCCCAGCACTTTGGGAGGCCAAGGTAGGCAGATCAGGAGGTGAGGAGGTGGAGACCATCCTGGCTAACACAGTGAAACCCTGTCTCTCCTAAAAACACAAAAAATTAGCTGGGCGTGGTGGCGGGCACCTGTAGTCCCAGCTACTCGGGAGGCTGAGGCAGGAGAATGGCGTGAACCCAGGAGGCGGAGCTTTCAGTGAGCCGAGATTGCGCCACTGAACTCCAGCCTGGGCGACAGAGCGAGACTCCATCTCAAAAAAAAAAAAAAAGAGATGGAGACCATCCTGGCCAACATGGTGAAACCCTGTCTCTACTAAAAATACAAAAATTAGTTGGGCGTGGTGACACGCGCTTGTAATCCCAGCTACTCTGGAGGCTGAGGCAGGAGAATCGCTTGAACCCAGGAGGCAGAGGTTGCAGTGAGCCTAGATTACGCCACTGAACTCCAGCCTGGATGACAGAGTGAGACTGTTTAAAAAAAAAAAAAAATTTGGTCCTGTGGCTGGGCATGGTGGCACACACCTGTAATCCCAGCACTTTGGGAGGCCAAGGCCGGTGGATTGCTTGAGACCAGGAGTTTGAGACCAGCCTGGCCAACATGGAAAAACACTGTCTCTATAATAAAAATACAAAAATTAGCTGGTGTCCCTGTAGTCCCAGCTACTCAGGAGGCTGAGGCAGCAGAATCACTTGAACCCAGGAGGCAGAGATGCAGTGAGCCAAGATCATGCCACTGCACTGCAGCCTGGGTGACAAAGCAAGACTCTGTCTCTAAATAAATAAATAAATAAAAAAAAATAAAAATCGGTGCTGAGGCATTGTGCCTCAGAGGAGCCTGAGCCAGCCAGTCTGCTGCATCCCTGCCACGTCCCCCACTGTGTCCCCTGCCAGGACCGACTGACCTGAGCCGGGCTGCCATGGACCACACGCCCCTGCTGTGGGAGTGGCTGCCCACCTACAACCTAGGGGCCGGCCAGGGCAACTATGCATGCAGCTTGCATGGCTACAGCGTCATCCCTGCTGCCCATCCCTTGCTGCTGCCCGCCCTCCCCTTACCTCATCACAGGGATACCCAACCACCACCCCAGGGTCTACAATGACCACAGCTGGACTATCACTTGGTACCCTGCCAATGCCATCGCCATCATGAGAGGCTGTCCCGTCTGCAGGGATAGGGTGCTGGAGGACTGCTTCACCTTCCTGGGAATCCTCCTGGCCATCATCCTGTTCCCCTTTGGGTTCATCTGCTGTTTTTCCTGGAGGAAGCAAAGATGCCCCAACTGCAGAGCAGCCTTTGCTTAAAGGGAACTTACACCTGGCTTTTCTACACCCAGCTCTCTTTTTCTAATGTACAATAGTTTTATTTGATTAAGCTTCAGGACTGTTTTGTAAAGTGAGGTGCGACAGATGTGGCACGCGGGAGCCAGGGTTTCCTGGAGCGTGGAGAGGCAGCGCTGCTGCTCCTGAGGTTAATGAGAACTCAGTAAAGCACTGCTTTTATTTTTTGCAGTCTTCAATTTGAGAAAGGTGAAATATAATGTTTTCAATAAATGAGATTCATGCCAAAAAAATAAAAAATACAAATACAAATTAGTGGCTAGGTGCGGTGGCTCACACGTGTAATCCCAGCACTTTGGGAGGCCGAGGTGGGCAGATCACGAGGTCAAGAGATCGAGACCATCTTGGCCAACATGGTGAAACCCCGTCTCTACTAAAAATACAGAAATTCACTGGGTGTGGTGGTGTACACCTGTAGTCCCAGCTACTCTGGAGGCTGAGGCAAGAGAATCACTTGAACCCGGGAGGTGAAGGTTGCAGTGAGCCTAGATCGTGCCACTGCACTCTAGCCTGGCGACAGAGTGAGACTCCATCTCAAAAAAAAAAAAAAAAAAATGCTGGGCGCAGTGGCTCATACCTATAATCCTAGCACTTTGGGAGCCTGAGGCAGGCAGATTGCCTGAGCTCAGGAGTTCGAAACCAGCCTGGGCAACATGGTGAAACCCCATCTCTACTAAAATAAAAAAAATTAGCCAGGCGTGGCCGCATATGCCTGTAGTTCCAGCTACTTGGGAGGCTGAGGCAGGAGAATTGCTTGAACTCAGGAGGCAGAGGTTGCAGTGAGCTGAGATCGCACTACTGCACTCTAGCACTCCAGCCTGGGCTGGGCGGCAGAGCGAGACTCCGTCTCTACAAAAAAAAAAACAACAACAATAAAACAAAACAAACAAACAAACAAAAAAAAAACATACAGTCCAGCTGCCGTTTCAATATTCATTCAGAGGGGCAGAGCCTGCCTGTGAGGTTGTGAAAGTCCCAGTGGGAAAGTGGGGAACCCCTCCTAGCTCCCCTCCCTGCACAAAGTTCTGGGGAGGACAGGGTTCTCTGACCCAGGTCCAGAGGGGCACACCGCCCTTCCCCTAGAGCTGGATTGCTGCCCTGCACCTCTCCTGGGTTCCCAGGGCTGGGTGGGACTGCCCTTCCCTTAGAGCTGGATTGCTGCCTTGCACCTATCCTGGGTTCCCAGGGCTGGGTGGGACTGCCCTTCCCCTAGAGCCGGATTGCTGCGTAGTGCCTCTCCTGGGTTCCCAGGGCTGGGTGGGACTGGTGCCTGTTCTTCAGCTCCCTGTTTGTGGCCAGATTTCCCAGAATGATACTGGCCACAATTCCCACCTGTGCTTCCAGGGTGGGGCCAGTTCTGCCCCAGCCTCCCGGCCACCTCCCAACCCTGGGTTGGATTTTCCAGGTGCCTTTTCTGGCCCTGATCTGACAGCCCCCCAGCAGTAGCACTCCCCCTGTGGCTCCTGCACACCGGGTGCTCTGCCACACACGCCAGCATGCCGGCTTTTTCCCAGGTGTCAGCAGTTCAGGAGGAAAAGCCAAAACAACACAACAAATCAGGATGTACTTGGCAGTTAGCTCTAAATGAGTTACCAGCATGACAGGACTGCCAAAAAAAGCCGATTTAATCTTCAACAAAGACACTAAATCTGCCCCTGTGGCCACCACCTCGGCCAGGCCTGTGGTCATCACTCACTGGAGTACAGCAGTGGCCATCTTACTAGATCCTTGCCTCGGCCCCTGGCCTCCACGGTCTATCCTCACGCAGCCAGCAGGGTCCTGTGAAATCCTAAGTCCCATCCTGTCCCACTTCTGCTCAGGACCCTCCCGGGGTCCCCACTTCACTCACTGTAAGAGCCAAACACCTTCCACTGTCTCCAAGCTGACACCATGACCTCCCCGACCTGTCTCTCCACAGTGGCTTCCTCAGCAGAGATGATAAGGCGGGGTCCAGCCTGCCCCAGGCCCTTTGCACTGGCTGCTCCACTTTCCCTGGTGGATCTGCACAGCAGCTCTCTCCCTTGCCTACCTCAAGTTGTTGCTAAATTGTTACCTTCTTGGTGAAGCCCCTGGCCACTCTATAAAACACTGTACTCCACCCCCAACTTCCCTTTTCTCCTCTCCTTCCTTTTTTCCTCCACACCACATATTACGTTTAGCAAATAGTATTATTTTCCTTCTTCATTTTATTTAATTGTCCCCCATCAAGTTGAATGTCAGCTCCATGAGGACAAGGCTTTTGTCTTTTTTTGCTCATAGTTGAATCCCTAGTGCTCAGAACAGTACCTGGCATGTAACAGGCAGGTGTTCAATACTGGCTGCATGAACCTCAGGTTGGGGAGGGGAAACAGAGGGCAAGCGGTCAGCTGCAAAAGCCCCCTCCTGCCGCACCTGTTCTGTGCCCCTTTACCCCTCCCGGGGCTGTGGCTCAGGGCCCTCCCTGATTGGGTGGTCAGCCCTGGGAGCCTATGGGCTTCGTGGGGCTGTGCCTGGGCCATGCCTGACTTGCCCACTGTCGTGTCCCTGGCTCTGGCAGCAGGGCTGGACTGAGGCAGGGTCTCAATACCTCCTTGTTGTTGACTGGATGCCGGCCAGCCTAGGGGCCCCAAGACAGAGCACGAATGTGAATCAGACCAGGTCACTCTGCTGTGGCCTTGCCTGCACATGATACAAAGGGGGGTCTCAGGATCCCTGCCCACCTCTCTCACTGCCCTCGTACTGCCTCTGCCTTCACTTACTGTGCCTGGCTTGCTGTGTGAGCCAGGCACTGTGCACGTGCTGTCTCACCTTGTCCCCCCACCCAATGCTCGAGACAGGGATGACAGCCATCCCATTCCACAGACGGGACATTGAAGCAGTGAGGGTCCGCCTGGTCCTGAGCCACATCTTCTCACTCCTGATGTGCCTCCCTGCCTCAAGGGCCTGTGCTCCTCCTGCTACCAGCCTGTCTTTGGTCACCCCTTCCCTGAAGCTGCCATCCCAGTGCCCGCTCTCATTCTCCCACACTTCCTACCCTCTGCTTCTGGCTACGTGGGACTTCCTAGGCTCTGCCTGCCAGGGACCCCCACTCCAAGGACACCCATGTGGAGTTGTGTGATGGAAACAGCATAGTCTTGGGGGCTCACTTAGATTTGGCGTGGGACAATTTTATCTTGTTTTCTATTCTTATTCAGAATCCGGAGCGTCGTGGATATTCAAATGATGAAGACACTAAGTATGACGCTTTACAAACATCTGTGCTGCTCCTATGCCTTGTAACCCAGGTAGGCCCTAATGCTGATGTGGGAACCTCGACCGTGGACTTTGCATGGAATCCTGGGGCTTGAAGATGGAGCAGAGAAAGCCAGGGAGGGCCCACCCTGGCCACCACCCCTGAACCTTGGATACATACTCCGAAAGTCCAGCTGCAGGGACAGGACATCCTTGAAGAGGATGCCCTCCTGCTTGGCCAGCTGCCCGGCCTCCTCCTGGGGGCCCTGGTCCCCGACGGCCAGCTTGAGCATGTCATCGTCCATCACCCTCGGCTCCATCGAGTTGCACGGCTGGTTCATCTTCCCCCACGTTTTCCCTAAAAAACACCGCATTCTTCCTTCACGGCCTGCTTCTTTCTCTGTTTGAGGGCAGGGTCTGGCTGAGGTTTCCCCCTGTAGTGTCTTGTGGCCACTGGCACTCTGAGGAATGCCCCACGCCCAGCCCTGGGTCTGCTGCATCTCGGGGTTTGTATACTTACGCCAAGGCTGCTCCAGGGCTTCCTGGCAACCACCTGGGCCTGTCCACAGGGTTTCATCCCTTGACCCTACAGCCACAGCTGGGACCCTCGCTGGACCCACTGGACTGGTGTCCACACTGGTCTCCCTAGCCTGTGATCTTGACTCATCTTATGACTGTGGCCCTGTGTCAGGCCTCTGACTTTGTATGCCCATCCTCACTTGGGCTTGTGGGTACCAACCACTGACTGTGCTCCCTGGGCAGCCCCAGCCAGGCCTGTCAGCCTGCAGCTCCTCTTCCTTGAGCACCTCACCCCCTCCAGGCCGTCATGTGTGTATGCCCCACACCACACCACAAGCTTCTCCTGGTGCAGAGGGAGCCCCTGACCCAAGCTGCCCATTCACGTCCTCCCCGTGGGAGATGTGAAGTTGAGGCTGTGGAATGAGAGTGCCCATCGGAGCTGGCTGCTTGAGCTGGGGAGGAATAGGGAGTGTGGGCTGGCTGGGTACATAGTTAAGCAGAGAGCAAGAGGGGGAGGAGGCAGATGCACAGAGAAAAGCAGAGATGGGAACCTGGGAATCAGAAAACAAAAGACAAAGGACAGACAGATCGACACAGACAGAGGCTGCCTCCTTCTTGCTGGCTTTCCAGTCCCTAATGTCCCTAGGTCCAGGCCTCATGAGAGTTTCCTGTTTCTCACATGAAATCCTCTTCTACTTAAGCTAGCTCCAGTAGGTTATTTTTTAATTTAATTAATTTATTTTTTTTGAGACAGAGTCTCGCTCTGTCGCCCAGGCTGGGGCACAATGGCGCGGTCTCAGCTCACTGCAACGCCCGGATTCAAGCGATTCTCCTGCCTCAGCCTCCTGAGTAACTAGGATTTCAGGTGTCCACCACTACGCCTGGCTAATTTTTTGTATTTTTAGTAGAAACGGGGTTTCACCATGTTGGCCAGGCTGGTCTCAAACTCCTGACCTCAGGTGATCCACCTGCCTCCGCTTCCCAAAGTGCTGGGATTACAGGCATGAGCCACCGTGCCCAGCCTCCAGTAGATTCTGTTGCTAATGGTCCAGAGGGATTTGACTGAGACACCACAGCACAGGGGGGATCTGTAGATTTGGTCAGTCACAATGTGAGGCTGACTCCAGGCTGCCGTTCGTGGCTGGACCACATTCTCATCCTTATCAACCCTCTTGGTGAGGACATCCAGGAGGGATATTTTCCCCCACTTTCCACCCCTGATTCTTGCCTCCCTGCTGGCCCTACTTCCTATCTTTGTCTACATGCCTTCCCAGCATCTGGGCCTCCCTGAACCTCCTGTCCTTCTGCCCTGCTGGTCCCTGATGCTAGGCAGCCCCTGTGCTCTGTTTTTCATTCCACTGGGCACTGCTGGAGAAACTCCTGGTGCAGGGCTGATGGTGTCTGCTGAAAAGCCAGGTTGGGCCATACAATCCTGTTACCTGGTCTTAGAGACTTCCCTCTAAGACTGCCCTCCTCTTGCCTCCCTGACCATCCACTTGGATGCAGCTTCTGCAAATATGCATCCTCTGCCCTGAACTGTCCCTCATCAAATGTCCCAATGAGCTCTTGTGCACACTTCTCTCTTGCTTCCAGGGGAGGCATAGCCTCCACACCCTTCAACCCCTACCCCTTCTCCACCTGTGCCTTCCGTCCTCCCAAGACCTTGGTCCTTTTCCTCCCACTCTCTCCAATCTGTTCACACTGGCTCCACCTCGTTGGGGTGACTGATTCTACCCCCAAAGACAGTTCCAGACCTCGGCCTCTCTCTAGCTCCCCACTCTTATGCAATGGCTTCCCCTGCGGTTTCCCATAACTTGTCATCAACTTGTCTTTGGGGGAATTTTAATGTGTTATATTTGGCTGATGTTTTCTGCAAAGTGTTTGGCCTTTTTTTTGGGGGGGGGGTGGGGAGGTCAGGCGCGGTGGCTCACACTTGTAATCCCAGCACTTTGGGAGGCCGAGGTGGGCGGATCACAAGGTCAGGAGATCAAGACCATCCTGGCCAACATGGTGAAACCCTGACTTTATTAAAAATACAAAAATTAGCTGGGCATGGTGGCGCATGTCTGTAATCCCAGCTACTTGACAGGCTGAGGCAGGAGAATCGCTTGAACCAGGGAGTTGGAGGTTGCAGTGAGCCGAGATCGTGCACCACTGCACTCTAGCCTGGTGATAGAGCGAGACTCCATCAAGAAAAAAAAAAAAAAAAAGGTGCTATACTTTGGGAAATGACTCTTAATTTTGATTTCAAAACTTTAACTGACTTATCCCTCCTACTTCATCAGGGCCTGGTACCTGTGACAGATCAAGTTTGCTTTCAGTCAAGCCCAGCAATTGCTATGCTAGGAAATGGGGGATTGTTATTACATATGCTATTTGTTAAGCACATCAGAGCAGGATTTGGATCCTGACTGTGCATCTTTTGGCAACTCACTTCACCTATCTAAGCCTTGGCTTTCCCATCTGTAAAAGGTGGATAATTTCTCCCTTCTGCATTTGTGTGAGATCACGTATTTAGTCCACACATGGGTAGTGAGTAACTGCTATATGCTGTGAATAAAACAGACGGACTTTAACCCAGCTTCAGGCATGAATCAAACAATAATACAAATATTTAACTACAAACCATGACAATTTGTAGGTGTAGGGAACTATGAAATTGTACATTAGGGGCACCTGGCCTGGCCAAGGAAGACAGGGCTGATTGGAAGGACAAGCAGGAAAGAAGGAGGAGGTAACTTTGTGGAAAGGCCCTTTAGGTGGGAGAGAACAGACTTGTTGCACTTTGGCTGAAGTGATGCAAGTTTGGAGAGGTCTGTGGGAGTTTTGTTATTATCCTAGAATCCCTGGAAAGCACCTAGGGCTTAATAAGGGCAGCAACATTAGCTGGGCATGGTGGTGCATGCCTGTAGTCCCAGCTACCCTGGAGGCTGAGGCAGGAGAATCGCTTGAAACCGGGAGGCGGAGGTTGCGGTGAGCCGAGATCGTGCCATTGCACTCCAGCCTGGGCAACAAGAGCGAAACTCCATCTCAAAAAATAAAAAAAATAAGGGAAGCAATGTGATCAGATCTTAGTTTTTAAGAAGCTCACTCTAGCAACAGTACTGAGAATTGCAAAAGTACTGAGGTGAGAGATGACCAGGGTGTTAGCAAGATGTAGATGGGAGAAATTTCTAGAAACTTAATTTACATGTAGGGCTAATACTCACCAATATCCAGATAAGAAAACAGAAGCTAGTTAAAAAGGTTAATTAACATGCCCAACTTCATACACTTAGCACGTGGCAGAGTTCATTTTCCTAATCATGACTCAACTGTATCCAGGGTACTGGGGACTATCATTGCCACAGCTCACAGTGTTTCTCACAGTTGTCCTGGGTTCAGGGCCAAGGCCCAAACAGTCCTCTTCTATGGGGATCTTATAGTTTACCACCCAACCTGGGTCCCCTTTGACTTGCCTGATGATAGTGTTGTTGAAGACCAGAGAGGTTGGAGCTGGGGAAAGCAGCAGAGTTTTACACAACTGTCAACGGAGTGGCCTCCTCACAGATAACAGATCCAGAATTTTCCTGGGAAATGATAACCTGAAGTCAACAGGATCTGAAAACTATAGTCCCTATTGGCCATGAATTAATAAGGAGAAAATTGGTTGGGCGAGATGGCTTACACCTGTAATCCCAGCTCTTTGGGAGGCCGAGGTGGAAGGACTGCTTGAGTTCAGGAGTTCAAGACCAGCCCGGGCAACATAGGAAGACCCTGTCTCCATTTTTAAAAATAAAAAATAAATAAATAAATAAATAATGAACAAAATTTTTCTTAAAAAAGAATAAAATCAATCACTTACTGAATGCTTACTGTGTGCTCAGTGCACATGCATTATTTAAGTACATGTAAGCTCCGGAGGCCATAAAAAGGGAGTCCTAATGCCCTTATTTCCCAGCTAGGGAACCTGAGGCTCCAGGGAGGTAAAGGAACTTGTCCAAAGTCGTACAATGAGTTACTGACAGAGACGGATACAGAACTTGAGTAGCCGTATTCACATCCAAAGCGGTATATACAGTACCAAGATGAAATCATTTGATAGTTATGAGGTCAGTTATGATGGCTAAATTCTGGGAAAAGTTATCAGTGGACCGGGTACCTCTCTTTCTATGAAAGGAGGCTGGAAGACGGAACCCCTTAAAAATCCATTCTGGCCCTGCTCCCTCGGGAAATGCTTCCTTAGTATTTTTTTTTTTTTTTATTCAAAAGCTTGACAAGCCCAGGACTAAAGTGTCTTGGCTGTCTCACACGACTGTAAAGTGGCTGGGAGAGGACCTACGTGCTCATTTTATAAATGAGAAGGGCCGGGCCGGCGTTCTCCGAGAAAAAGGTCACAGGAAAGAGTTACGTCGGGCACTATCTGTCCCTGCAAGTCCTCCGGGAGCCTCAGCTCCCAGGTCTCACCTTCTCAAGCGCTGGGAACTCGGCGGTTCCACGCAGCAGACGCGTCTCCCGGTTGCTGGGGAACCAAGCGCCGCGACTTGGTTGCTAAGGGGAAGTCAGAAGGGAGACATCCTGGGTGAAAGTTGACAAGTCACGTGACCACATCTCCGTGTGGTGAAACACTCCTTACACCAACCAGCCGTAGAGAAAACAAATGTTTCTCCAATCAGTACTTTCTATGGGCGGGGATATTCCTAGATTCACCTCTGTTCCGTCCATTTGCGTGATTGACTCGTCTTTTGTCCAATAATAGTAAGAATCCTTTAGATTGACCAATATACAGAGGAATCAAAATGCGCAGCTTCCCCTTTGGGGGCGGGCCAGGGGAGGTGCCGCCACGGCTGACAGGGACTCCGGTGACCTAGCTCGCTCCTCCGCCCAATCGGACGCTGCGGGGTGGGTGGGGGCTTTGCTGACAGAGGTGTAACGACCAATAGGAGGCGGGCTTCGTAGGTGTCCCCCAATAGAGACGCGGCAAGGGGGCGGGGCCAAAGGCCCTAAGCTCGGCGTTCCAGAGAGTGGGGAGGGGGCAAGTGTCAGTCAGGACGGGAGTCCGGCGGGTTACAGCGGAGGCCTAGGTGGCAGACAGGGGGCCCGGGCCGCTGCGTGTTGTCCACCCAAGATGGAGTTCCTCCTGGGGAACCCGTTCAGCACACCAGTGGGGCAGTGCCTCGGTAAGGCCGCGTGTGGGGCAGGAGGCTGGGCAACGGCGGCCGCTGATCCGGCTGGTGAGGACCGCGGGCCTCCGCCGGGCGCCGGTGCCACTTCACGAGCGGGCTGGGCCTCCGCCAGCCGCGGGTGCCACTCCACGAGCGGGCTGGGCATCCTGGTCGTCGGGCCTTTGCCGGGCGCTTGTGCCACCTCACGGGCGGGCTGGGCATCCTGGTCGTCTGGCCTTCACTGGGCGTCGGTGCCACCTCACGGGCGGGTTGGGCATCCTGGTCGTCGGGCGTTCGCCGGGCGCCGGTGCCACCTCCCGGGGGGGCTGGGCCTTCGCCGGGTGCCGGTGCTATCCCACGGGCAGGCAGGGCATCTGTGTCCTCGGGCCTCCTCCCGGGCACTGGTGCCACCTCACGGGCGCGCCAGTGCCACTCTGCCAGGAGGCACCCCTGAGGCCCAACTTGGACTCGGAGATGCCCCAGGCTTCCCTGCCCATCAAGGCTCAGCCCTTCCTTTTGCTGCTAGAGGTGGTGCCAACTGCTGGTCTGCTTCCCCAATGCGCTTTGGGAGATGCCACTGCATGTGTCTTTATCCAGCCCAGCAGGCTCACTGCCACTGCCCCAAGGACCCAGTTCTCCCAAACCCTTTGTGGGATGTCACCTTCTTCTCCATCTTTGTCCCTCCTCTTCGGTACCAGCAACCCTCAGACTGGGCACCCTCCCAGAAATGCCCCCTGCTCCGGGACTTGCTAATTTGAGCTGCAACTCAGCTGTGCTGTAGGAGGGACTGGGATAGGAGGAGGGGCTCTTGGAGGGTGATTATCTTGGCAGGGGGATGGCATGCCTGCAGTGCCTCCCAGGAAAGAAGGGAGGCTGTGTTATTTAATGATAAGAGCCCTGGACTGGGAATCATGGAAGCCTGGACTCTAGCAGTGGTTTTGTCAGTGACTCCATATGACCTTGTGCCCTTTCTGGTTTGAAGTTCCCCTGTCTGTCAAAGTGTTTGGAGATGAGATGTGATAGATCCCTTAAAGTTCTCAAGTTTTGATATTCTTTGTAGTACTCTGCACATTGACTGTTGCTTCCTCCCCCACCTCATATTAAGTTTACCAAAGCTGAAATCTTTTGTTGGCAATGTAGAGAGAATGGTACTCAGCATTATCTGTTAATCCTATAGGGGGGATGTGGACACCTGGGGACACCAGAGATGGCCAGAATCATGGATAAGGAAAGCCCAAAGTGTAGGTAAAGGAATACTGAAATGGCCACCATATGGGACTTCCTTACTAAGAAAGCAACTTGCCTTTTTACCCAAGGCAGTGGCTTATGCCACTTGATCAGTCAAGAATGCTGATTAGTTTGTTTGAAAACTGGATTCCTCCTGGTTGGTTGAAGGACTGGTAAAACGTCTTTTATGAGCCAGGATCTTTGGTGTTCTTATGGGCCTGATTTCAGCAGTAGTGATTTGTTTATTTTCTGCTTTGCTTATGAAATTTTAGCTTACTTTCCAGCCTTTAGTGGAGCCTATAAACTTATTGAGGTCTCTCCTGTTGGCTAATTAGCATTTAGGAGCCTTTCTTTACTTTCTGGCGTAGTATCTTTTATAATGCATGAGGGACCCCAAAAGAGTGTTTTCCCACCTTTTTGACATCTTGTCTCTTGCTGCCCACTGGAGAGTCTCTGGATTCTCACTTCCTTACTTCTTCCCCATGTCCTTTTCCACTCTCTTCAGGTGCTCTTGCATGGCAGCCACACTCCAAAAACTAATTTCCAGCCAGTTAATGGAGGGAGCCAGAAAACTTGCGAGAATTGTTTTCCTTTCTGTCCCCTTTATAATAGGAAGCTCTACACCTTTAAAATGACAAGGTAGTAAATGAGGGGTAGAAGTTAAAGGGGATTTAAAATACAAATGTGGTTGGGTGCGGTGGCTCACGCCTGTAATCTCAGCACTTTGGGAGGTTGAGGCGGGCGGATCACAAGGTCAGGAGATCGAGACCATCTTGGCTAACACGGTGAAACCCCGTCTCTACTAAAAATCCAAAAAAAAAAAGAAAATTAGCCAGGCGTGGTGGCATGCGCCTGTAGTCCCAGCTACTCGGGAGGCTGAGGCAGGAGAATTGCTTGAACCCGGGAGGCGGAGTTTGCAGTGAGCTGAGATTGTGCCACTGCACTCCAGCCTGGGCGACAGAGTGAGACTCTGTCTCAAAAAACAAACAAACAACAACAACAACAACAAAAAACCAAATATAAGAGATATAGGGATATATAGCAAGTGGAAAGAGCTTGATACTTCTGTCAGGGAGACCTAAGTTGAATTTTGACCTGGCCCCCATTTCTTGGCTGTGTGACCCCAGAAAATTGTGTTGCTTTCTGAGGTTTAGTTTGTCAGTCTTCTGAGAGAGAGAGAGAGAGAGAGAAAGATTCCTATTCACAGAGTAATGTAGTTTAAATGAGATAATGTATGAAAACACTTAGCATAGTATCTGGAACATAGTAGAAGCTCAGTAAATTGAAACTGCCACTGTTAATAACAGAATATTTAAGTTAGGGTTGGATTTTCTATCTGGAGAGGATATGTGAAACAACTGGCCCGTCTGTGACCTGTGAAGGAAAATACCCTACCAGGCCCCAGGATTCACCATTGCTCATAAGATGCTTGACTAAAGATGATGATGGCTCCCCACTGCCAGGTAGCCAATAGGTCATTTCAGTTCAGTTCAGGTAAATGATTAATGGACAGAATTAGGTTCTAATGTATATTCCGTACTGTTGTGACAAAGTGTCAAAGTGACTTTCTTGATATTTAGTGTTGTTAGTATTCTTTTAAAAGAATGTGCGGGGGTGGGGGATTGGTGGGAGGGAGGGGGAATACAGAAATAAAATAACAACTACAAAGCTAATGATTAAAAACAGCAGCTGTAGGCTGGTTGTGGTGGCTCATGCCTGTAATCCCAGCACTTTGGGAGGCCAAGGTGGTGGATCACTTGAGGTCAGGAGTTGGAGGCCAGCCTGACCAATATGGTGAAACCCTGTCTCTACTAGTAATACAAAAATGAGCCGGGTGTGGTGGTGGGCGCCTGTAATCCCAGCTATTCAGGAGGCTGAGACAGGAGAATCGCTTGAACCTGGGAGGCAGAGGTTGCAGTGAGCCAAGATTGTGCCACCGCGCTCCAGCCTGGGCGACAGAGTGAGACTCTGTCTCCAAAAAAAAAAAAAAAAGGAGAGCTGGTCCCTCTCTGATCCCTGTCCTCAATGGATTTACGGTTTCAGGAGAGAAGACAGAGATGCATGAAACAATGAGTGGTGTAGATTGTAAGTGCTGAAGGAGTCAGAAACAATTCAGAAGAGGCTGGGGTGACAGGGACTGGCTTCTTTGAGTCTGAGGGCTGTTCATAAAGGATGGGTAGGAACTCTGCATGCAGAAAACAATATCATTGGGCCTAGGGACAGCTGAATGAGGCAGGGAGTGGGGCACAGGCACATCTGTGAGTACCAGTCTGAATGGAGCAGAGGTGGCTGTGGGGAGTGGTGGCAAGTAGGGTTTGGGCACAGGAGGAAGCCCTGCTCTGGATGGGTGGCATCAAAGACTACATTCTTTTTTTTTTTTTTTTTGAGATGGAGTCTCACTTCATCACCCAGGCTGGAGTGCAGTGGCACGATCTAAGCTCACTGCAACCTCCGCCCCACAAGTTCAAGCGATTCTCCTGTCTCAGCCTCCCAAGTAGCTGGGATTACTGGTGCCTGGCACCGTGCCGGGCTAATTTTTGTATTTTTAGTAGAGACAAGGTTTCACTACCTTGGCCAGGCTGGTCTTGAACTCCTGACCTCGTGATCCACCCTCCTTGGCCTCCCAAAGTGCTAGGATTATAGGAGTGAGCCATTGCGCCCGGCCCAAAGACTACGTTCTTTAACTGACTTCAACTTTTAGTCTCTTTGGACCTAATTTTCCCTGCTTATAAAATAATACTTCTCAACAGCTGCATGGGGCTTACACCTAAATAATTTTGTCTGTTCACTTCAGTAGGCAGTTATGAGTGCCTGTGGGGGGCCAGGCCTGTGCCAGGCTCTGGGGATACAAATATTAACAAGCTGCTCTTAGGGAGCCTTCGGTAGAGGTAACATGCTCACAAAAGGTGTCCTGGGTCTGTCTGAGCGGTTGGTGGAGTAATTCTTACTCTGTCTTATGCGTGGGCCTCATGTGAACATTCTAACCTGGTACGATTTAGTAGAACACTTAGCGTGTTCATCTCAAGTTAGCGGCTAAGACCACAGTCTGACATAGTTAACTGTGCATTTCTTGCATCCATCCCGCCCTTTATTCTGGAGGGCAGTTCCTGAGTAGAAAGCATGGTTTAGGGAGAGAGTAAGCTGGACAGGTGCGGTGGCTCACACCTGTAATCCAGCACTTTGGGAGGCCGTGGCGGGTGGATCACCTGAGGTTAGGAGTTCAAGACCAGCCTGGTTAATGTGGCAAAACCCCATCTCTACTAAAAATACAAAAATTAGCTGGGCATGGTGGCACGCGCGTATAATCCCAGCTACTCGGGAGGCTGAGGCGGAAGAATCCCTTGAACCTGGGAGGTGGAGGTTGCAGTGAGCCGAGATCGTGCCATTTGCACTCCAGCCTGAATGACAGAGCGAGACTGCATCTCCAAAAAAGAAAAAAAAGAGAGAGAAAGCCTAGCCATGGTGTGCGAGGCTAAGAAGTGTGGTGGAAGAAAGAGTACTTACTTGTATTTCTTAATTTTCTGTTCTGCAACAAGCTTCAAAATGTTAACTGTCTTAATCTCAGCCTTCCACAACTGCTTGGAGTTGGATGACATACATGGGGAGTTCCCCAAGTCAGGTCCATTGTGTCTGCAGCAGTTTGCAGTTTTCCTTGTGTTGGCTAGAAAAAGTTTTCAGAAAATCCTTTTCCAAGAGTAAAGTTTAGATTCAAAGATCAGTGAGTAGTTAGTTAATTCTGACCAGAATATTGGGGGTGGTGGGCATGTATTCTCTTCATTGTTCTGCTTTAATAAACAGGCAAGAAGCAGATATTCTGTTGCAGAGTTTGTTTGTAGACTGACTGGTGTTGGACATAAACTACTTCATAATATCCTGTGAATGGTAGACGTTTAACCTGGCTATTTGTACCAAGAATAGTTAGTTGTCCCTCAGATTGCTATGTGTATTAGGGTTCTCTAGAGGGACACAACTAATAGGGTAGATGTTTATATTAAGGGGAGTTTATTAAGGAGTACTGACTCACACAATCACAAGATGAGGTCCCACAGTAGGCCATCTGCAAGCTGAGAAGCAAGGAAGCCAGTCTGAGTCCCAAAGCTGAAGAACTTGGAGTCTGATGTTCAAGGGCAGGAATTTGCAAAGCCCTTTTGCTTCAGTCATTTTATTTAGTGTTCACAACCTTGTGAGATATACAGGAAGATAACTGGAAGGAACTTATAATTATTAAGTACCAACTATATGCAAACTCTGTACATAGAATCTCATTTAACCCTCACAACATTTAACTATTTGGGTGTTATCATCCCTGTATCACATAAGGAAATCGAGGCTCTGAGAAGTTAAGAGACTTGTGCAAGGTCAATGGCAGAGTGAAGCCTAGAATCTACTCCTGATCCAGTGCTCATTCTGTGCTGCCATTTATGTTACTTTTTGCACTCTGAGCTCATGATTCAGCCGCAAGGGAATCACCTGGAGGGCTTGTTAAAAGTGGATCCTACCCTCAGAGTTTCTGTTTCAGTAGGTTTGGGGTGGGAAGTAGCATTCTACATTTCTGTCAAGTTCTCTAGTGATGCTGATGCTACTGGTTCACTTCGAGAACTGTAGTTCTTGCTTTGAAGTTCTGTTTCTTTAATCTTTTCTTTATCTTTCTTCAAACATTAAATGTAGGTTTTCTTGTGGACAGGCTAAAAGAGTGATTATTTAGAATTTGTTCATTTATTTATTCAGTGGCCCTGTACTATCTGTATATAGCAAGCTGAGAATTTCCCAGTGTGTAGGTATCTAAATTAGATCAGATAGAAAGTAGTTGCAAGATTGGATAGATAAATGCAGTAAGGAAATGTAGGAGGGGAGGGGTGACCTCAGGTGGTAATAATAATAGCTAAAGGCTTTTGGGTTTTTTGTTTGTTTTTTTGTTTCTTTGTTTTCCAGATGGAGTCTTGCTCTGTTGCCCAGGGTGGAGTGCAGTGGCGCGATCTCAGCTCACTGCAACCTCCACCTCCTGGGTTTAAGGGATTCTCCTGTCTCAGCCTCCCAAGTAGCTGGGATTACAGGTGCCCACCATCATGCCCGGCTAATTTTTGTATTGTTAGTAGAGACAGGGTTTCACCATGTTGACCACGTTGGTCTCAAACTCCTGACCTCAGATGATCCACCCACCTTGGCCACCCAAAGTGCTGGGATTACAGGTGTGAGCCACCATGCCCGGCCCCGTTTTTGGGGTTTTAAAAAAAGTTTAATGTTGTATTCCTATGTGCCAGAGACTGAAGTGGGCACTTTATACATCTTGCAGTCATTCGATCCTCACAACAATGCTGTGAGGAAGGTACTGTGATTATCTCCATTTTCAGATGGGGACATTAAGACAATGAGAAAGTATGGAACCTACCTAAGGTCACACAGCTAGCAGTGAGGGAGCTATAGTCTGAATGCAGCATTCTGGCTCCAGAGCTGGTATCCTGTCACGCTGTGCTGCCCTCAGCAAGAGTAAAGTGAGGAGGAACACTGTAGGAGGGAAGGAAGAACTCAGGAAAACTCTGAGGAGGTGGTGTCTGCTGAGCAGGGCTTTGATGAATGGGGAGGATTTGGTTTGTGTAGAAATGGAAAAGGATGTTTGGTTTCTTGGCAGAGACAACTTGAGCAAATGCTGGATGTTAAGAGGTAGGCGGGGGTGATGGGATTTATTCTGTGTGCCTAGCAAAGGGGAGTGATAGGGGGTGAGACTGGGAAGGGAGGATAAGGCCTGATTGTGTGGAGGGCTTGCTTCATATGTTGGCTAAGTAGTTTGAACTATATTTTAGAGGTACTGGGGAGGCATGAAAGACTTCTAGGGAGGGGAATAGCATGGAAGCATGAATATCATTACAGAGGTAGGGAGATTTCTCCTTAGCAGTCACCAGAAGATCATTCTCTCTACCATGAAAGCCCGCTTCTGTGCAGAATTGGGGAGGGAAGGTGGGGGAAGGAGGGGGGATGTCAGCTGTGGTCAAGGGTAGGGACACTGTCTATGAAGCCCCCTCAGAAACAGAAAGGTGCCAAGGCAGGTTGATGGAGCATTGAGAAGAAGTCTAGTCTAGAGCATTTGTCCTTAATTGCCTGGACAGGTCTTAAAACCCCTGACATTGAAAGTCACGTGGGGCGTCAGCCTGCTCCTCCTCCTGCTCTGTTTATCATATGCAATGACAGGGCTGACCTATTCCCAGGGCTTTTCTAGAGGAATGCCACTGCTTAGGAGTGGGCTATCGGAATATCTAAAATTCTCATATAATTGTGCTTTTTATTTATTTATTTTTTTTGAGACAGGGTCTTGCTTTGTCGCCCAGGCTGGAATGCAGTGGCAGGATCGTAGTTAAAGCCTCAACCTACTGGGCTCAAGTGATCCTCCCGCTTCAGCCTCCCAAAGTGCTGGGATTATAGGTTTCAGCCACTGTGCCCAGCCTTTCATTGTGCTTTTTACAAAACGATGTATAACCGATAGAAAATATGAAAGATATAGAAAAAATGCAAAGGAGAAAAAAATCTCCACAATGTGCGTCCTCACAAATTTGTTGAGATGCTTATTTCACATAATGGAATACTTTTGTATTTCACTCTTCATCTTCTCATGCCTTGAAGAGGCGACATTGTAGAACAACTTTTAGCATATTTCTGTATAATCTACATTTATTTATTTATTTACTTGGGATATTAGGAAAGGAAAACGGTGTAAATACATTGCCCAGAGGAGCATCAGTTAGGGGTTGTTGCTCTTGACCTAGCAGATAAATCACCCAGAAATGTTGCGCTAACCTAGTAGTCTGAGAAGATATAAATAACATTCAGGCTTTTCCTGCTGACCCGGCTTGTTGAGGTTAAAAGAGGCGACTTTTAAAACCAGTCTCAGACTTGGTTACATATGTTATTGCTCCCTCCAACCTTCTTGATTTAGGAGATTCTCTGCTTTTCTCCATTCAGTCATCAAGCCTGATGCCCATCAGCCCTCACCTCTTCCTACAGGCAGCCTTCCTAGACCACCCTGTTTATGGTGATGAATCTCTTCTCTGAGCTCACAGTGCTTGCTATCCATATCATTCATTTGGCTCTTCTCTTATCTATAAAACAGAAAATATTACTTGTCCTCCAGGTTTTTGTGACGATTAAATGAGATAATGTGCTTAAAATCCCTAGCACGGTGTCCTGCAATCAACTAATATAGACTTCTTGATTCCTTCCCTCCACTGTTACTGTTGTTATTTATCTTGTGTTATTTATCATGTGTTTATTGCCATACCTTCTGAATAAGGCTGGAGGCTCCTCTACTTTCTGTTTCCTTGTGACCTTCACAGCACATGGTAGAGTATATTCTTCATAGTTATTCACTCTTTTTGTCACTGGTATTTAGCATCTTTGAAAGCTAACATTACTAGCCATCATTTCCTGGCCCCTCACCATGTGCCAGGCACCTTGCTGAGTGCTGTGCATACTTATCTCATTTAAAAATTTTTTTCTCTGGAAGCACTGTTATCTTCATCTTACAGGTGAAGAAATAGAGACTTAAAGGGGTTCAGAAACTTGCCCAAGGTTTCCTGGCTCAAGTAGGCGGAGCGGTCCTCTCCAGCCAGGGGCTCTAGCTCCAGCGTTTTTCTTTGTTCATGTTGCCTTTTAGACATCAAGCATGGTCTGTTTCCATTTGGACAAGAAGGAGCCTAAACTGATTTCAAATAGGAATTCCAGAAAGATAGCATAGTTCCACCAATAGGAATGTGGATTCCCATTGCTCTCTCTTTGTTCTCTTCCAGCACTTAGCACTCTTTGTTCTAGATTGGAGTCAGTCCCATCTTTGCTTCTCGATGCGACTGCTTTTGTATGAGTCCAGTAACTGTGCTAAAACTCAGTTTCCCAATCTGTAAACTGTGGTGGTGAAGGGAGTACAAGAACACTTGCACCATCACATCTTACAGGGGTCAAGTGAGTATGTAAAAGCAAAATGTGTTGTTATGTTTTACATCATTTAGACTAAATGTTCCATGAGGGCACCTGTTTCTATTTATTCTTTAAAAAAAAAACCTGATAAAATATATATAACAAAATTTACATTTTTTTTTTTTTTGAGACGGAGTCTCACTCTGTTGCCCAGGCTGGAGTGCAGTGGCACGACCTCGGCTCATTGCAACCTCTGCCTCCCAGGTTCAAGCGATTCTCCTGCCTCAGCCTCCCAAGTAGCTGGGACTACAGGCACGCGCCACCACGCCCAGCTAAATTTTTTGCAATTTTAGTAGAGATAGGGTTTCACCATGTTGGCCAGGTTGGTCTCGATCTCTTGACCTTGTGATTCCACCCACCTCAGCCTCCCAAAGTGCTGAGATTACAGGCGTGAGCCACCACACCAGGCCCAAAATTTACAATTTTAACTGGTTTTAAGTGTGCAGTTCAATGGCATTAAATATATTCACATTGGGCCAGTCGCGGTGGCTCATGCCTTTAATCCTAGCACTTTGGGAGGCCGAGGCGGGTGGATTGCCTGAGCTCAGGAGTTCGAGACCAGCCTGCGCAACACGGTGAAACCCTGTCTCTACTAAAATACAAAAAAATTAGCCGGGCATGGCAGTGTGCGCCTGTAGTCCCAGGTACTCGGGAGGCTGAAGCAGGAGAATTGCTAGAGGAGGAGGTTGCAGTGAGCTAAGATCGTGTCACTGCACTCCAGCCTGGGTGACAGAGCGAGACTCCATCCCTAAAAAAAAAAAAATATGCAACAATCACCACTGGCCATCTCTACAACTCTTCTAGTCTTGCAAAAGTGAAACAATATCTCCCTGTTCCCTCCTCCCCCCAGCCCCTGGCAACTACCATTTTACTTTGTCACTATGAATTTGACTACTCTAGGAACCTCATATAAGTGGAATCATATATTTATTATGAAACCTCATATAAATGGAATCATATAGTATTTATCCTTTCATGACTGACTTCACTTGCATAATGTCTTCAAGTTTCATCTCTATTGGAGCATGTCAAAGTTTCCTTCCTTGTTAAGGCTGTATAATATTCCATTGTGTGTTTATACCACATTTTGTTTATTCATTCTTCCATTGATGGTCACCTGAGTTGCTTCCACTTTTTGGCTATTGTAAATAATGCTGCTATGAACATGAATGTACAAATATCTATTCATGTCTGTTTTCATTTTTTTTTTTTTTTTGAGACGGAGTCTCGCTCTGTTGCCCAGGCTGGAGTGCAGTGGTGCAATCTCTGCTCACTGCAAGCTCCACCTCCCGGGTTCACGCCATTCTCCTGCCTCAGCCTCCCGAGTAGCTGGGACTACAGGCGCCTGCCACCACGCCCGGCTAATTTTTGTATTTTTAGTAGAGACAGGGTTTCATCGTGTTAGCCAGGATGGTCTCGATCTCCTCACCTCATGATGCGCCCGCCTCGGCCTCCCAAAGTGCTGGGATTACAGGTGTAAGCCACCGTGCCCGGCCCTTCAATTTTTTTTTAAGAGACACGTTCTCCTTCTGTCACCCAGGCTAGAGTACAGTGGCATGATCATAGCTCCCTGCAGCCTCGAACTTCTGAACTCGAGCAATCCTCCTGCCTTAGTCTCCTGAGTAGCTAGGACTATAGGCATGCACCACCATTCCCAGCCAATTAAAAAAAAAATTATTTTTTTGTAGTGGCAAGGCCTCCCCATGTATCCCAGACTAGTCTTAAACTCCTGGACTTCTCGGACTCAGGTGATCCTCCCATCTTGGCCTCCCAAAGTGTTGGGATTATAGGACGTGAACCCCTGCACTTGGTTCATTTTTTTTTCTTTATAGTAGCCATCCTAATGGGTATGAATTGGTGTCTCATTGTGGTTTTGATTTGCATTTTCTTCATGATTAGTGATATTGAGCATCTTTTCATGTGCTTGTTGGCCATTTGTATGTCTTCTTTGGAGAAATGTCTGTTCAAGTCCTGTGCCTAGTTTTTAATTGGGTTTTGTTGTTGTTCGGTTTTAGGAGTTCTCTATATATTCTGAATATTAATCTCTTATCAGACATGTGATTTACAAATATTTTCTCCCATTCTGTGGGTTGCCTTTTTATACTCTGTTTATAGTGTCCTTTAATGCACAAAAGTTTTAAGTCCAGTTTCTCTACTTTTTCTTTTGTTGCTTGTACCTTCCGTGTCATGCCCTTATCTTTCAGTCGAATCTAACACAATGCCTTAAAGATAAGGATGGTGCTATTAGTAGCAGTCAGAATGTCTCTCCTTACTAGGTACTGGGTTATGTAGTTTACATGCATTCTTTTCTTTAATTCCCACAACAATTCTGTAAGGCAGGTATTATCACTCTATTTTGTTTTTTTGGAGACAGACTCTCACTGTGTCACCCAGGCCTGTCAGTCATATTTTAAAAGACTAGGAAACTAAGGCTTAGAAGTGAAATAACCAGCTGGGCTCACTGGCTCATGCCTGTAATACTAGTATTCTGGGCAGCCAAGATGGGAGGATCACTTGAGCTCAGGAGTTCGAGACCAGTCTGGGCAACATGGCGAAATTCCGTCTCTACAAAAAAATACAAAAATTAGCTGGGCATGGTAGCATGCACCTGTAGTCCCAGCTACTTGGGAGGAGGCTGAGGTGGGAAGATGGCATGAGCCCAGGAGGCAGAGGTTGCTGTGAGCTGAGATTGTGCCACTACACTCCAGTCTGGTTGACAGAGCCAGAGACCCTGTCTCAGAAAAAAAAAAGTCAAGTACCTTCCTCAAGGTCTGTGGATTATCAGTGGCAGAGCAGGGATTTGAACCCAGGTCTGTGGGCAGCAGAGCTGGTGCTCTTAACCACTAAACCAGAGAGCTTAGTATTGTTTGTGGGATTGAGTGAATGAATGCCTGAATGAACTTGGTAGCTGAAAAATCTAGTAATAGTTGTCTTAAATCCAGACCTACACTAGTATTGTAAATTATGTACTCAGTTTCAGTTTTCCTCCTGTAACTCAGTGTACAAGTGTCCTCTTCATACCAGTAAGTTTTCTGAGAATTTCCTCAAAGGACGTGCTTTCTTATATCCTCGCTGAGGCACTTCTTAGTAATGGAAGACCTGTGTATTTTACTTTCTCTTTGGATTTGCCTTAGAACTACAGTGATGGATGGAGGAAAAGACGGAATTTAAACACATGCTAAATTGTCTAACTGACCAACTTGCTTTTAAGACATCACCAGCTGCTCTTTTAATCATTAATGAAGCATAAGCCTTGTAGTCTGGGAGGCATGTCAAAAATTCTGTTTCGGGTTTTGGTTTAAAATTGAGTGTAATGGAGAGAGACTGATTCTTTCATCTCAGAGAATTGGGCTGTCTTTGAGAGCTGGGGACAAGAACTGGGTCCTGTAATAGGACACTGTGGAGTTTTTTTTGCTGCTCCTCAAAGGAGAAATCACACAGATTTCTGGCACGTCATTAGTCGAAATAGGAAATGAGGCCTGAGAAATGATGTTGCTTGGGGTTTGAAAGCTGAATTTGCTAGTGGCTTCCAGAGAGCGAGAGTCTCCTATGCTAACTGTGGAAATTCTTAAACCAGCAATTCAAAGAATCAGAAGACTCTAGTTGAAAGGGTCTTAGTGGTATTTGGTCCAACCCTCTAATTTTTGCAGGTTGTGGAAACAAGGCCAGAGAGGGTGTCTGTGATGTATGACATTTCTGACAGCAAATGTGCAGGGATTTTTTTGTTGTTTTTGTCTTTTTTCTGATATCAAATGGATGTCCTACAATTGAATTCAGTTTTGACACTAACTACCTGGAGCTGGTGCGGACCCCAGAGGTTAAGGGCTCAGTCCCACAAGACTGCCCCCACTTCACATGCCAGTCACAAGTTCCTGGTTACCATCTGTACTTCCCATGACCGGCTATAAATTGGGGATTCCCGTGATGCCTTCCCCATGTTTGATCATATGCTTGAATGGCTCACAAAATTCAGGACAACACTTTACTTACATTTTCGTGACAAAGGATATAACTCAGCAACAGCCAAATGGAAGAGATTCATCGGGCAAGGTGTGGGGAAGGGGCAGAGAACTTCTGTGCCAGCCTCCCAGCACCTTTATGTGTTCAACTTGGAAGTTCTTTGAACCCCATCGTTTAGGGGTATTAATGGAGGTTTCATTATGTGGGCATGAGTGATTAAATCTGGCCATTGGTGAATAACTCAACCTCTAGTCCCTCTCCCCTTTCCGGAGGTAAGGTGGGATGAGGGTACGGCTAAAAGTTCCAACACTGAAATGTACCTTGGTCTTTCTGGCTAGGGAGCCCCAATCTCATTAGCATACAAAAGACACTTATCTCTCAGGAGATTCCAGGGGTTTTGGGTGAGGTGTGCCAGGAACCTGGACAAAGACCAAATATATATTTCTTACTGTATCACAGTAGGAGACTTGCCAAGGTCCCACAGTGACTCAGTTTTATGACTCTTACATGTCTTCCTATTTAGCTCACAGCCTCTTGCCAGTCATTTAGATATTTGTATATGGGCAGGGAGGGTAAGCATGGGGTAGTAAGTCTGTCATTTTAATGGAGTGGAAATTTTCAACTCAGCCTCATGAAGGTAAATACATTTTATTGTTTGAAAGTTAGTCTCCTGTTTTTGACTGGGCTTGGTTGGGGGTACTATTTAGCTCTAGATTTGATGGTTTAAATGAAATTAGCTCATAAAATCACCAATGGTCTTCTGTTTTATCTACTTTTTCTGGCACTGGTCCAGACCAGAGAAACCAATCCCAGGCTAGGACTGGGAAAGTCTGGGACTGTTCACTGCTCTGCTGCTGATTTGCTGTGAGACTTTGGGTGGGGCACATCCTGTCAGTTACTCATTTGAAGAGCATGGTTTGTTCGTTCGTTTGTTTTGAAGAACAGAGGTTGAACAAGCTTTCCAAGTTCATTTCAGACCTAAAGCTTAAGGCCCAAATCAAAGTGGCTTTTAGTTTTTCTTTTCTTTTTTTTTTTTTTGAGACAGAGTCTTGCTCTGTTGCCCAGGCTGGAGTGCAGTGGCACAATCTCGACTTACTGCAAGCTCCACCTCCTGGGTTCACACCATTCTCCTGCCTCAGCCTGCTGAATAGCTAGGACTACAGGCGCCCACCACCACGCCCGGCTAATTTTTTGTATTTTTAGTAGAGACGGGGTTTCACCGTGTTAGCCAGGATGGTCTTGATCTCCGGACCTCATGATCCGCCCACCTCGGCCTGGGATTACAGTCGTGAGCCACCACGCCTGGCCTAGTTTTTCTTAAGACTTACAGCTTTCCATAAGAGACTGTACATACCTATGAATCATATGTGTGTGTACGTGTGTGTGTGTATAGCCTGTGATATGTAAGTATATACACACATGTAAATACATGCACACAGGTAAATATATACATATACATATTTTATATATATTTTATATAAATATGTTATACTTTATATATATTTTGTGTAAATGTATATATATTTGCCTTCTAATGATTTTCACTGAGGTAGTTTACTTGTAGTAAAATGCATACATTTTGTTATAATTTTGACACATGCTTACATGTTGTCACCTTACCCCATCAAGATACGCACTGTCAACCTCACCCCAGAAAGCTCCCTCAGGTCCCTTCCCAGTTAATCCTCTCCTCCAACACACTGCAGAGGGAACCACTGATCTTTTATCTCTTCTAGAAGTTCATGAGTGGAGTCATACAGTATATGCTCTTTTGTGTTGAATCCCAGTGATATTTTGAAGAAGAATCATATGCATTGTTTTCTCTACCTGCCATTTTGAAAGGCTGTATAAGGGAGTGGTGGCTCATGCCTGTAATCCCAGCACTTTGGGAGGCCAAGGCAGGAGGATTGCTTGAGGCCAAAAATTTGAGGCCAGCCTGGGCAACATAGCAAGACCCTGTTTCTACAAAAAATTTAAAAATTAGCTGGGTGTGGTAGTGCTACTCCCTGTAGTCCTAGCTACTTTGGAGGCTGAGGCAGGAGGATTGCTTGAGCCCAGGAGGTGGAGACTGCAGCGAGCTATGATTGTGCCACTGTACTCTTGAGAGGTGACAGCGTGCTGGCAGCCGTTGCTCGCTCTCAGGCGCCTCCTCAGCCCCGATGCCTTCTCTGGCTGTGCTTGAGGAGCCCTTCAGCCCGCCGCTGCACTGTGAGAACCCCTCCCTGGGCTGGCCGAGGCCGGAGCCGCCTCCCTCAGCTTGCAGGGAGATGTGGAGGGAGAGGCGCGGGCGGGAACCGGGCTGCGCGTGGCGCTTGCGGGCCAGCGCGAGTTCTGGGTGGGCGTGAGCTCAGCGGGCCCAGCACCGCAGGCCCCGGGCAGTGAGGGGCTTAGCATCCAGGCCAGCAGCTGCGGAGGGTGTGCCATTCCCCCAGCAGTGCCGGCCCGCCAGTGCTGTGCTGGAATTCTCGCCGGGTCTCAGCGGTCTCCCTGCGGGGCAGGACTCTGGACCTGCAGCTCACCATGCCTGAGCCTCCCTGCCGTGGGCTCCTATGCGGCCCGAACCTCCCCAAGGAGCGCAAACCCCTGCTCCACTGCGCCCGGTCCCATCGACCGCCCAAGGGCTGAGGAGTGCAGGCGCACTGCCAGGGACTGGCAGGCAGCTCCACCTGTGACCCAGGTGTGGGATCCACTGGGTGAAGCCAGCTGGGTTTCTGAGTCTAGTGAGGACTTAGAGAACCTTTATGTCTAGCTAAGGGATTGTAAATACACCAATCAGCACTCTGTGTCTAGCTCAAGGTTTGTAAATGCACCAATCAGCACTCTGTATCTAGTTAATCTGGTGGGGACTTGGAGAATCTTTGTGTCTAGCTCAGGGATTGTAAACGCACCAATCAGCACCCTGTCAAAATAGGCCAATCAGGTCTCTGTAAAACAGACCAATCAGTTCTCTGTAAAATGGACCAATCAGCAGGATGTGGGTGGGGCCAGAGGCAGTAGTGGTAACCCACTTGGGTCCTTTTTCGTGCGGGGGAGGCTTTGTTCTTTTGCTCTTTGAAACAAATGTTGCTGCTTACTCCATGAGTCCACTGCTTTTATGAGCTGTAACACTGGCTGCAAAGGTCTGCAGTTTTTCTCTTGAGGCTGGCGCAGACCACGAACCCATTGGGAGGAATGAACAATTCCAGGCGGTAGGAGCGAACAACTTCAGACACGCTGCCTTAAGAGCTGTAACACTCACCGCGAAGGTCTGCAGCTTCACTCTTGAAGCCAGCGAGACTACGAACCCACCAGGAGGAAGAAACTCAGAACACAGCTGAACATCAGAAGGAACAAACCCCAGACACGCCGCCTTTAAGAACTGTAAAACTAACTGCGAGGGTCTATGGCTTCATTCTTGAAGTCAGTGAGACCAAGAACCCACCAATTCTGGACACACTCTAGCCTGGGTGGCAGAGCAAGACTCCATCTCTTAAAAAACAACAAAGAAGAGGCTGGGCGCAGTGGCTTATGCCTGTAATCCCAGCACTTTGGGAGTCCGAGGCAGGAGGATCACGAGGTCAGGAGATCAAGACTGTCCTGGCCAATATGGTGAAACCCTGTCTCTGCTAAAAATACAAAAAATTTATCTGGGCTTGGTGGCGTGTGCCTGTAATCCCAGCTACGTGGGAGATGGAGGCTGGAGAATCGCTTGAACCCGGGAGGCAGAGATTGAGGTGAGCAGAGATGTCGTCACTGTACTCCAGCCTGGCGACAGAGCAAGTCTCTTGTCTCAAAAACAAAAAAAAAAAAAAAAAAAAAAAAAGGAATTGTGTGGTCTGGGGTCCTGCCGTTCCCACTAGCTGCTGTGGTTTGAGAAGTGAGGGCCCTCTGCCGGTGACCACCATATTGTCTGCTGAGTATGATAGAAGAGGTGGAGAGAACAGCTTGATTTCCAGATTCTAGGTTGAGTTTGTTTCTATAATTGTTGGTGTCACAGTCTTCTCACTTGTCAGCTGGGCAAATCAGATCCACCAGCAGATGAGAGACTAACTATGACACCCGAAAATGTCACTTGTGATGGCACATTTCTGACAAGGTGCCCATGAGATGCAATCATTTCAATTCCATAAATGCTTTTTGAACATAAAGACATTGCTCTAGGGTGAGCAACAGCAAAAGAAACGGAGGTCAGGAAGGGGCTGAGCAAATGGATGGAGGAGCCACACTGCCATGGAGGTTCTGGGACCTCTCTTGGCCTTAGAGCGTAGTATCTGTGTGAGAGTTTTTTGTTTGTTTTCATAATGTGTTTAGCATGTGTTTGCTCTTAGTTTTCTCCTCCTCTAACTTAGTCCAGCCCTTGGTCATGCCTGGACCATTGCTTGAGGCTGTAAGTTAGACCAGTTCAATACCACCTAGCTGGTCTCCTCCTTCATATTCTCCCTCCCTTTCTACACTCTGGAACCTTCCAAAACTTTGGACAACTCTACCAGAAAATTTCTGGAACTCCCCATCTCCTTTAGAATGATTTATAAATAGGGCCAGGCGCGGTGGCTCACACTTGTAATCCCAGCACTTTGGGAGGCCAAGGTGGGTGGGTCATCTGAGGTCAGTAGTTCGAGACTAGCCTGGCCAACATGGCGAAACCCCGTCTCTACTAAAAATACAAAAATTAGCAGGACATGGTGGTGGGTTCCTGTAATCCCAGCTACCAGAGAGGCTGAGACAGGAGAATCATTTGAATCTGGGAGGCTGAGGTTGCAGTGAGCCAAGATTGCACCATTGCACTCTAGCCTGGGTGTCAAAAGCGAAGCTCCATCACAAAAAAAAAAAAAAAAAGAATGATTTATAAATGTAGCCTGGTGTTCAAGGCCTTCACTGACTGGGCTTCTTCCCGTCTTTTCTCTTACCAAGGTCTCTACTTACTTTGCCGTTCCCACTCCCTCCTTTTCTGTGCTCAGCATGGCCTTTGGCCCTGCAAAGCATCCCTTCTCTCTTGCTCATGGTTTAGACCAATATACCCTTTGAAACCTAACCTAGATCTTCCCACTGCCACAAAGCTGGCCCAGAAGCCTCTGAACTGCAGTGGCACTTATAACTTATATGTATTTAATAATTATCTGACTATTTGAATGCACTATGTTGAGCCGGTGGGATTTTGAATTCAAAGATGAACAATGCTTGCCCTGTCCTATGCCTGTCCTGAGAGTGGCTAACTGTACAGGGTACAAGGGAAGGCATCCTTGTGTGACTTGGAAGAAGAGGCAAGGCAATGAACATGCATAGAGCACCTGCTTGTGCAGGGGACTGTGCTGTGTTCTTTCAAGATTTTATCTCATTTAACCCTCTTGACTTTGTGAGATGGCATTTTTACCTGTGTTGTGACTTTCTCAGAATCACACAACCAACAGGATTGAAACCCAGTGAGGCCCACTACACACCCTATGTGCTCCCCCCACTCATGTGTCTTCATGTGTGTTGGGCTGGTGGGGGCAGGTCAGTGAGGTCAGCTGTGGGCTGTTTCTACACCCCATCCATGTGCATGCTGTGGGGCACAGGTTTCCTCCTGGGTTAGGGGCCAGGTGATGCTTAAGGCTCTGCCCCCATGGTGGTCCCTATTTGGGATCTGCCTCTTAAACAGTTGGTGACGCCTTTTGCAGGGACAGTGGTTCTCTGTCCTCCTGAGGTGGGGAAAGTGATCCGGGGCACTCCTGCTTGTCTCTAGCACCTTACAGGAATACTGCAGCAACCAAACTGCTGCTTCCTGATTAATTCATGCTCAAGGACCAGAATGACTCTCTGCAGTCTTTTGTTTTTATGGTGGTAAAATACACATAACATAACATTTACCTTTATTTATTTATATTTTTTTGAGACAGAGTCTCGCTCTGTTGCCCAGGCTGGAGTGCAGTGACAAGATTTCGGCTCACTGCAACCTCTGCCTCCCCAGTTCAAGCAGTTCTCCTGCCTCAGCCTCCTAAGTAGCTGGGATTACAGGTGTGACCACCACGCCTGGCTAATTTTTGTATTTTTTTTGTAGAGATGGGGTTTCGCCATGTTGGCCAGGCGGTCTCAAACTCCTGGCCTCAAGTGATCTGCCCACCTCAGCCTCCCAAATGAAGGGGTGGGGACCAGTCTGTTGGGCATGGCGTCCCAGAAGCCCCATTGCAGCCCTATTGTGGTGGGCAGGCTGCTTTTGAGAATGTGTATACACCTTTTCAACCTTCCTGTTCTGTCAGGGCAGCGGAGGAGGAAGTGTGCCTCAGGTGGCTAAGGGGCCTTCCTGCAGCAGGACCAGCATTCCATGTTGCTTCTTACTCCAGTGTTCCTCTACCCCAGAGGCTGCCTTCTCTTTGGTCTTTTGTGCATACTGGGCATCCTAAAGCTGTTTGTTTGCCCTTCAGTGAATGGGACTGACACAGAGACCCATTTTTGTTTTTAAAAATTATAAAATATAGGCTGGGTGTGGTGGCTCACACCTGTAATCCCAGCACTTTGGGAGGCTGAGGCTGGAGGATCTCCTGAGCCCAGGAGTTTGAGACCAGCCTAGGCAACACAGTAAGACCTTGTTGCTACAAAGAATATTTAAAAACTTAGCCAGGCGTGGCAGCACGCACCTGTGGTCCCAGCTCCTCAGGAGGCTGAGGCAGGAGGATTGCTTGAGCCTGGGAAGGTCGAGGCTGCAGTGAGGTAAGATCACACCACTGCACTCCAGCCTGGGAACAGAGTGAAATCCTGTCTCAAAAAAAAAAAAAAAAAAAAAAAAAAAAAAAAAGAAAATAAAGAAGCACTTACTGTATAAAGAGTGAGCCCTTAATTTCTCAGCCCAACTAGGCTCCCCAGAGGTAATCAGCTGCTTAGTGTGTGGCGCATGTTCCATGAAGTTTCTTTTGTATAAATGGGATCCTACTGTAGGCTTCATTTTACAGCTCGCTTTTGTTTTGCCATGTCATTGTACATTTTGGAGACCTTTCCATGGCAACATAATTAGATCTATCTCATTGTGCAAGCATTCCACAGAATGGATGTACAGTTTATATAGCCATCCTCCTCCTGGTGGGCAGTGGCTTTCTTGTCCTTATAAGTAATACTGGAACAGCATATCTTTGTGCATTTCTATATTTGTGTAGTTTAGATTCCTAGGGACAAAATGCTCATGTCAGACTATAAGAGTATTGGAAATTTTGATGGAGACTGCCAAATTGCCCTCTAAATGAGCCCCTCACCAACAGAGCCCGAGTGACTGTTTGCCTTGCACTCTCATCAGTACTGGGCATCTTTTAATTTCTACACATCTGAGGAGGGGAAAAGGCATTTGGTTGTTGGTCCACATTGTCTAATGGAAAACCACCTCTAAGATGTGTGGATGAAAGTTGCCTTCGGCTAACTTCCTTCCTAAGCACCACGTCCCCATGGAAATGCAGAGGTAGAGAATGCCTGCTGGTGGAGCTGCCCAGACTCGTTCCTCCTGCATCCTTGGCCTCCCCTTGCCCTGTAAAAAGGCTATGCAAGACCTTTACGTTTCTTGAAAGGTTTTTTGCTAAAAACCCTTTGGTCACCATTCTTCAGTTAATTTTCATATGGTTTTTATTTATTTGCCTTACCTGTCTGCTACTCCTGAGGAAACCAAATTTTTCTGTTGCCACTCCAGGGCAGCAACTTTTTATGCACAAACTCAAATTCCCTGCATTTTACTGGTGACACATGAGGCTTGAGAATCTACAGTGTCTACCCAAGTACTAAATGTTCCTCCTTTTCATCTCTAACCCAGTAAGACAAAGTGAGATCAGGCATTTTGTATATTCTTTAATTCTAGTCAGAACAGAGAAGTATGATTCTGTTTCCTCTAAATCTTATGAACGTTCTCAGAGACTGGATCTCAGATCTGGTCCCTGCCAGAGTTAGGAAAGGGCTGGGTGGGCGAGGGAACTGCCGTCTACTGGGTGCTGGTCATTTTCCTTGCAGCCCCGCAAGGGAGTGGGTATTATCATCTAGGATTTATGGATGAGGCTGATTGACATCCCAGAAGCCTCTCAGGGAGTAGGTAGCAGAACCAAAACTTGAACAGGTCTGCCCCACACTAAAGCCCTTACCTGGCTTGTTAGGTTGGCTCCAGGTAGATCCCTGGAGACATCCTGCCAGGGATCTTCCCCCTAGTGGGGAAGATGAAACAGCACCCCCTTCCTGGTAGGTCCTCCCTGCCCATAGGCCACCAGAAAGAAGAAACTGCAGTGTCTGATCTTTCTTTTCCCTCTGCACCAAGGCTCTGGCCTAGGTTTTCCCAGATCTTGCAGTTTCCATTCTCCTGGGGACTACCTTCATGGTTTTCCCTTATCTATGAGCCACCTATGCTGTCACAGATTTTCTGTGTATTGACTAACTTTTTTTACTTGGGCACATTTTCTTTTAAAAGGCTTCTATCACTCTCAATTGAAAAGTAGTTTCACTTGGCATTAATCTAAAGTAACATAAAAATTAAAATAAATAAATACATTGAAATCAAAGCAAGATTCTTCTAGCAGGATCCTGTTGTCTGCCTAAGGCTCCCCGCCAAGACTCACTCTCATTAGAATGGGAGCATACAAAGTATTGGAACAGCGACCAGGTGCAGTGCCATGCCACTTAAGCCCAGGAGCTTGAGGCCGGCCTTGGTAAGATAGCATGACCCTGTCTCTAAAAAAAAAAAAAAGAGAGGCTAGGCATAGTGACTCACGCCTGTAATACCAGCATTTTGGGAGGCTAAGGCAGGCAGATCACTTTAGGTCAGGAGTTCGAGACAAGCGCGGCCAACTTGGTAAAACCCTGTCTCTACTAAAAATTCAAAAAAAGGAGCCGGGTATAGTGGTGCATTCCAGTAATCCCAGCTACTCGGAAGACTGAGGCACAAGAATTGTTTGAGCCCAGGAGGTGGAGGTTGCAGTGAGCCAAGAGCGCACCACTGCACTCCAGCCTGGGCGACAGAGTGATACGCCATCTCAAAAAATAAAAATAGGCCTGGTGTGGTGACTCACACCTGTAATCCCAGCACTTTGGGAGGCCGAGGCGGGCAGATCACGAGGTCAGGAGATCGAGAAACATGGTGAAACCCCATCTCTACTAAAATACAAAAAAAAATTAGCCAGGCATGGTGGTGGGCGCCTGTAGTCCCAGCTACTCGGGAGGCTGAGGCGGGAGAATGGTGTGAACCCGGGAGGCGGAGCTTGCAGTGAGTTGAGATTGTGCCACTGCACTCTAGCCTGGGTGACAGAGCAAGACTCTGTCTCAAAAAAATAAATAAATAAAATTTAAAAAATAAAAATAAAAAATAGAGAGAGAGAACAGATTCAGTGTTATAACATTGCCCTGGCCCACCTAAACTTGCCCACTGGTGATCTGCAGGCCACTCTCTGAGGAGTGCTCTTCTGCCTTCTGGCCACTGGACTGTGCACCTTTTCGGGACACACCACCAGCCTTCTGGCCGTTGCTTCTGTCCTTCCTTCCCCAGGATGGCTGTCTCATCTGCTTCTCGCTTATGTGGGAGATTCTGCTCCTGCAAGGTGAGGCTTGGATGCCACACTTACTGAGATATGTCCTCTGACCAGAGAGCCACTGTCTTCACCCCAGGTGCCCTGATGACTCCCTGTTAACTTTTTTCATATACCCACCCTGGCACAGGTCAGATTGTAGCATCGGAGTGGGGTGGTATTTATCCTGTAAGACTCTAGCTGCTGGAAGGGGCACTTTGTAACATTTATTCTCCTGACCCAGTTGGGCCTCCTTGGGGGCTGAGACAGGCTCTTGTCAGAGATGAAGCCTTGTGATGTGGCATTGTCTGCACTGGGCCCTATGCTCTATGCTCTGCCGTGCTAGATGTTCAGTAATGTCGTGGATGGTGAGCTGGGTTTTCCTGGCACGAGTTCCACACTGCTGTTCCCCATTGGAGAACATCACCTAGCACTGGGAAAAGATGAAGGTGGAGACCCTTAATGGCAGGTGGCAAGAATAAATATATTTGGGGTAAAAGGCTCCTGTGTGAGAAACGCATGGCATGAAACCCACATGGAGGGTCCCTGAGAACACTCAATTAAGGTGTCCCTGACCTGCTTTCACCTCATGGCTCCAGCTCCCCATTCTCTGGTCTATGGGACAGTCACTCTGTATGTGGCCCCTTCTGGCATTTTGACCCCTGCTTGGCACTCTTAACTTTTTGGCTTTGCCCAATACTTACTCTGAGCAGCCCTGGCTCTGTACTCCAACTCTTTCCCCCCACCCCTCACAGGGTCAGCACAGATCATGGGGGTCTTTGATCCATCAGGCAATAGGAGGGAGGCTGGGTGTGGAGAGTGTGGGGTTGATAGGGGGAAGCAAGCCCTTCCTAGGACCCCTGCCTTGCTCTGGGCACTCCGCTGATCTCACTCTTAGCAAGAGGGGGTGTGAACTGAAGGCAGAGCCACAGGGCTGCTCAGCAAGGCTGTGCTCTGGGGCTGCTTTCACTCTAAGAAAGGGCCACCTTTTTTTTTTGAGGTGAAGTCTCACTCTGTCACCCAGGCTGGAGTTCAGTGGCATGGTCCCAGCTCACTGCAACCTCCACCTCCCGGGTTCAAGTCATTCTCCTGCCTTAGCCTCCCGAGTAGCTGGGATTACAGACGTGCACCACCATACCTGGCTGATTTTTGTTTTGTATTTTTAGTAGAGACGGGGTTTCACCATGTTGGCCAAGCTGGTCTCAAACCTGACCTCAAGTGATCTGCCTGCCTTGGCCTCCCAAAGTGCTGTGATTACAGGTGTGAGCCACCACACCTGGCCAAGGGGGCACATTTTTTGATTGCACAGAAGCTCCATATGGGCTAGCAGCAGCTCTGGGGGGCTATTGCCCTCCCCAGCTGTACTTGACACTCTCTCCAAGGTAGGGACTAGGGCGTATTTATCTTGGTATCAAGATTATCCAGTACAGCAAGTCTCAGTGAAAGGTTGATAAACAGAATTTAGTACACTTGGTCTTTCAAAATGAAACTATTTGACTAAGGAACTTAATGAAAGACAAACATTGTATCATGATACAGTCATTTAATGTCTCTGAGCCTTAGTTTCCTCAATTATGACTAATATATATCTCTTAGAATTGTTTAATGTTCAAATTGGATAATGCATGTAAAGCACTTGACTCATTAATTTTCTTTTCCTCCATCAAAAGTATTTCTGAAATGAGTGGATTCTGAATTTGGACTGTAACCAGGTATATTCTGGAAAGAGTATATATTTAAAAAAAAATAGAACAAAGATTTTTCTTTATTTTAACAGTGTGACCCCTCATGCTACCAAAAGAAATTAAAAATGAATACAACTTGTTGTACTTTCTGGAAAGAACAAAATCTTCAAAATCAGACTTCACTTTGAGTCCCAGCTCCAGTAACCTCTTTGAGCCTGAGCTTCCTCATCTGTAAAATGAGGATAGAAGTCCTATTTTTAAAAGTATGTGTCGGGGCATTAAATGAGACGTTTGCTAGGGCTACCATAACAAAATACCACAGACTGGAAGGCTTAACCGAACTTATTTTCTCATAGTTCTGGAGGCTGAAAATCCAAGATCAAGCTGCAGGTTTGGCTTCTTCAGAAGCCTCTTTCCGTGGCTTGCCAACAGCTACTGTCTTGCTGTGTCCTCACATGGTCATTCCTCTGTGCATGCATGATTGGATTAGGGCCCCATTTTAACTTAATCACTTCTTTAAAGACCCTGTCTCCAAATTCAATCAGTCATATTGTGAGGTACTGGTGCTTAGGGCTTCAACATGAGAACTTGAGGATGGCACAATTTAGCCTACAATATTTGCAAAACAGAAAGCTCACTGGCCTGGGCACGGTGGCTCATGTCTATAATCCCAGCACTTTGGGAGGCTGAGGCAGCAGGATCACTTGAGCCCAGGAGTTCAAGACCAGCATGGGCAATATAGTGAGACCCCCCCACCGTATAAAACTGAAAAGCTCACTGGATGGTAGTAGCTCTTCCTATTTAAATCCCAGTTCTAGTGTTCTTTCCTGTTCCTTGCTGAAGATTGTATTTACTGTGTGGGATTGTCCTGAGGGCTGGTATAACTAGTTAGTACTTTCCTAACCCTGAGGCACTTCTGTTAAAATTAGATCAACACTTAGGCTGGCACGGTGGCGTACGCCTGTAATCCCAGCACTTTGGGAGGCTGAGGAGGGCTGATCACTTGAGGTCAGGAGCTCGAGACCAGCCTGGCCAACGTGGTAAAACTCCATTTCTACTAAAAATACAAAAATTAGCCAGGCGTGGTGGCACATCCCTGTAGTCCCAGCTGCTTGGGAGGCTGAGGCAGGAGAATGGCTTGAACCCAGGAGGCAGAGGTTGCAGTGAGCCAAGATTGTGCCATTGCGCTCCAGCCTGGGCGATAGAGTGAGACTCTGTCTTAAAAAAAAAAATTAGATCAATACTTAGACCAATATAATGAGCTGATGTTTAGAGAGCAAAACAGGCCTCCTGCAGCCTCTGCACCCATGAGCCTAGCTTAGGGTCAGTAACTTGTGGTTTAGCAAAAAACAGACTTAACTTTATAATGTTAGCAAAGGATTAAGTTTTAAATATATCAGAATCGAGATGGGAAAGAAACCTAACAAAGTGCTAATAAAAAATAGAATTGGGTAAAAATATTATGTTTCATGAAAGAAGCCAGACACAAACAGCTATATATTGTATGATTGCATTTATAAGAAATGTTCAGAATAGACACATCTATATAGAGAAAAGGCAGATTAGTGGTTGTAGGAGGCTGGGAGAGGGGGAATGGGAAGTGACTGCTAACAGGTACAGGATTTATTTTTAGGATGATGAATATATTCTAGAGTTACATAGTGGTGATGGTTGCACAACTCTGTGAATATATGTACTAATGCCACTGAATTGTACACTTCAAGAGGGTAGATTTCATGGTATGTAAATTATATCTCAATAAAGCTCTTATACAAAATTGAATTACGGCAGGGTGCGGTGGTTTATTCCTATAATCCCAGCACTTTCGGAGGCTGAGGCAGGCAGATTGCTGGAGCCCAGGGGTTGGAGACCAGCCTGGTCTCCAACATGATGAAACCCCGTCTTACCAAAAAATATGAAAAATTTAGCCAGGCAGGCGTGATGGTGCACCCCAGTAGTCCCAGCTACTCATGAGGCTGAGGTGGGAGGATCACCTGAGCCCGGGAGGTTGAGACTGCAGTGAGCCATGATTGTGCCACTGCACTCCAGCCTGGGTGACACTGAGACCTTGTCTCAAAAATAGACATCTTTTTTAAAAAATAAAAAAAGAAAAAAGATTGAATTAGGGTGGTGGCAGACTTATGTGACTAGCTTTTCTTCTTTTTTCTTCCAGTTTTCTATAATTACTTTTTCTCTTTTTTTAAATGGAAAGAGTCCTACATTTCATTAAGATACTTAAGATCCAGTTTTATGTGGTGCTGAATTATAGCTATGCAGAGAAAGTCTCCGTGAAATATTAAGGTCACTTTTGCTCACAAAATATCAATGATTAACTAAGATGTATAGGCTGTAAATAGAGAGAAGATGGGTATGTATGTGATAAGGAAGTTTAATGAAGTTTCATCCTATGTAATGTGGGTCTCCCTAAGAGAGGGTCTATCTTTTCATCAATAGCAGATCTGTGGTCTGTATTGTCTGATGAAGTCCACCTGGTATTGCACATTGAAATCCATGTTTGTTTTGATGTATAAGTGTTCTCTCAGAGAACAGCTACTTCCCAGTTTGACACTGTTTTCAATCCAGTGCCAATGCCAAGAGATTTCTGAGCCATATATATATTTTTAATGTAAGTTAAATAATTCATCAAGGAATGAGAGAGAGAGAGAGAGAGAGTGTGTGTGTGTGTGTGTGTGTGTATGTGTGTGTGTGGTGAAACATTTGGCTCTTTCCACCTAATTTTTAACCTTGTTGGTCCTACTGGCAATCTGTTTCTTAGCTAATGACTGCATAAAATCATCTCTGAAAAGAAAGCTAAAGACTTTTGCATTACCTTTTGCCAGTTTCTGCTTTAAATCCACCCTTTGGTATTTGCAAAGGTCAGATGAGCTATTTTGGTGTCCACGGCCCTGATTAATGGGAAATCCTACATTTCCATTGGCCCCGGAGGATGAAGGATTAGTGTGGCGGCGGCAGTGCGGGCAGCATCTGCTGCAATGTCAGGAGTACGGTGTTGGGAATTGCAGGAGCATCCGGCCTATGAAAAATGGAGGAGGAGGGGAGCTCCACTAGTACTAGCCCCAGATGAGTTTTTCTCCATTGCCATCAGGCAGACATCTCTGGGAGCATTTGTTCTCCTCTGTTAGGCCTTGTCGCTAAGCATTTAATATGGAGAGCACAAGTGCGGACCTCCTGTTTCCCCGCCGGAAGGCTTCCATAGCTCCCTGTTAGTCGGCATGTTTGTGTTCAGCTTTTCACCTCTCCTTGTAGGAGACGTTGGTTTTATACTATGTTAAATAAAAATCATTGTGTTAGCTCATAGATTTTCACAAGAGAAGCAGGTGCCTGGTGCTTTGGGGAGAATAACTCCAAATATGGGAATCTCTTTCCCCACCCAAGAGCAGATGGTCTGCGTTAGTTTGTCTTGTGACCTTTCTTTGCTTCTAAGACACCAAATCTCTGATCCCACGGATCATAAATATTCTTTAGGTTTGCAGCCATGGAGGTGAAGGGAGCGTCAAGCTGTCGGTGTCATTTTCCATTTGTCTGGAACCTTTCAAAGAAACTGTTACAGCATTTTTAGGCACTGAATTAGCCTCCTGCAGCCGTGAGCTTACAGACTCATGAAGGGCACCGCAGCAAGGCTGCCTCAGCCAAGGTCAGGAAGGAGCCCTCTGCTCAGCATCCCTTTGCTCAGCATCCTGCCGTCCTCACCTGTCCACTCACCAGGCAGCCTCTCACGGCAGCCACTTTGTGCCAGGCACCATGATGGCTTGCACAACCCCTGCCTGCCTATCCGGGGGCTGCATTATTTATGTCGCTAGTAGTGTTAATAAGCACCTTGTATTGATCACCTTGTCTGCTGCCTCTCCCTGCCCTAGAGCCCACCTTCTCATCCAGAGGAAGACCCTCAAGTGCAGTGTGGGGGTGCTCTGATAATGTAGCAGCATGCACTGAGAGGGGCAGAGTAAGGACTGCCTTCACAAAGGAGGTGACATCTGAGCTGCTCTCTGGTAGGAGTTTACCTGGAGGGGGAGGGATGTGCAAGGAAGAGAGAACATTGGAGAAAAGGGGCCTGTATGTTTGTGGCAGCTAGACCTTGGGCTCTGGATGTTCACGTGGGGCCCTGGCAAGGGGTAGGAAGTGGAAGTCAGGGCTGGTTAGAGATAGTCACCCTGAGGATCAGGTTGAGGAGTGTAGACCTTATCTGAAGTGAAGTGGGGAGATCTGGGAGGTTTTTAATACTTAGGGGGAAGATGAGATCAGATTTTCTGTTTGGTGCAGACCACCTGGGGCAGTGTGGAGTGTAGACTATGGAAAGAGAGAGTGGAGGAAGTGATAACAATGAGGAGGCTGCAGCAGCAATCCCCAAGAGAGATCTGGAGGCAGCTCAGCCTTCGGGCTCCCCTTTCCATGCATTTGCACTGGCTGCTCCTTCTCTCCTTTGCCTTCACATTCCTACATTCTCTTTTGGATCATCCACATTCTCTCCATACCCAAGTGTTGTTACCTTGCTGAGGCCTTTTCTGCACTCTCCAGGCAGCAGGATTCAGCCCTCTGTCGCACCCCAGCAGCAGGCTGGTCTGCCACTATCTGACCCCTATAGAGACTGCTTTGCCTTCCTAACTCCCTAGCTCTAATTAGCAGCACTTTGGACCCATATCAAGATGGAAAGAAGAAAGGGTTTTTTAAAGTGACTGTTACAGTGGATTGGAGAGGACTCAGAATTTGGGGACAGAACATACCCCAGTTTGAGACCTGCTTCTGCCTTATGCTTTCTCCAGGAGATGAAGTATTTTTTTATTTTTGCTTTTTCTTATCATAGAAAATTTCAAGCATAGATATGAATTGGGAGAACAGTGTAATGAACCTCTGTGTACCCATGACTCAGCTTCTAAGCATCTGGCCAATCCAATCTTGTTTCATCTAATCATCCTCCCCTCCCACTCTGCATTATTTTGAAGCAGATTCCAGGCATCATATTACTTTATAATAATTACTTTATAAATACTGAAATAGATAAAGGGCTCTAAAAGATAAACAGCTTTTTGTTTACTTCTAACAGTCTTCATGTCTCTGAGCCCCAAGTTCTCATCTGTAAAATGGAATGGTGATGGCCCATCCCAGGGCTGTCGCGACTAAAGCTGGCAAAAGCCTTTCCTGGAATTCTGACTGCTTCCTTTTCTATACTAACTACCGTGCTGATGTGACTGCTTATAGTACCATTGTAATGACAATAAGAACAGTCTTTGGAGCAGACAAACCCAAGTCACATTCTCATCCCAACACTGTATCTTTTGGGGCAAATTACTTACTCTGAGCCTACTAAGTAGCCTCATTTTTTAAAATGGGGGACATAATACCTCCCTCATAGGGTTGTTTTGAGATTTAAAAGGGAAGGTGTACATATCGGCCCATACATATCGGCCCATAATAAGATCTTAATACTTAGTAACTAGTATTATAAATGTCCTTTAAATTGATATGATTTTCTGGTTAGTATAGTAATCCTGCGAAGTATATAGTTTTTAATCCCCATTTTACATATGATATGATTGAGGGTTAAAGCCAGGATTAATGAACTTGCCTGAGATCTTGGGGCTAATACATTACAGAGCCAGGAGTTTGAGCCCAGGTCTGCCTGACCCCAAGGCCCCCATCCTTATTACTGCTATTTATTAATGGAACCTTGCAATGTGGCCTTGTGAAAAAGAACATGCTGATCTTGGGTCAGGCAGATCAGGGTCGTCTGGTCCTTACTTTTGTCTGCTGTTTTCAGCTAGTGCTGGTTTTTTATAAGCTGGTGAACTGGATTACAAATTTTCCTTAGACTCCTTTGTCCATATCTTCTGCCTTCTTTCTGCCTCTCGTTTTAGGAGCTGTTAGTTCTCATAAGCCCCTGTAATGGAGAGAAGTAGAGAGAACAGAACATTCAAATAAAAAGTTCATGCACATCAGCTCTTTTGTGCTACGTTTTTGTGGGAAAGTGGCTGAGACTTTTGTATTTTAGAGATGAGGTCTTGCTGTGTTGTCCAGGTTGGACTTGACCTTCTGGCCTCAAGGGATCCTTCCACCTTCCCTCCCTAGTAGCAGGGACTATAGGTGCATGCCACTGCGCCTGGCTTAGAGGCTGAAACTCTTTAAGGCAAAATGAGGTTCATAGGTTATCTGTGGATTTTTGTTTTTCAGTCAGCCGAGTTAGTGAGGCATGGACAGGGCTTATGTATCCATTTCCACTGTAAAATTGCTAAGAATGGATCATTGGAAGATAATAAATGTGGCAGAGCCAGAAATCAAACCCAGGCCTGACCAACTCACTGCCTGGCTGGTTCCATTGTTCCACTCTGCCTTTAGGGACGGGCAGGTGAGGGACCCACAGGGAAGACTTAGACTGCCCGTGGATATCTCCTCGTGGCTTGGAATCCCTATTCTAAAAGATCTGATCTAGTTCTGGCTTAATGGGAGTCAGCGTAATGATGATTCTCAGCTTTTTGTCTAGCTTTTTCACATATGTTTTGTTTTCCTGCTGCCATGAAGTTTAAACTTGTTTAAAACCAAGATTTTAAACAAGGAAGCCAAGCATATAAGGGAGTCGTCCATAGTCATCCGAGGGCAGAGCCAGGACACAAGTGCCATCCTTGGACTGCGACCAGTCCTCTTCCTGCACTTCCCTCTGGAAAGCCCACTTCCTGCAAAGCCCTCTGGAATTGCTCAGCAGTAGTGCCCCAACCATCATGTAAGGAAAAGAATTTCGAGTTGGAACAGGAACTTCAGGGGGCCAGTAGCCCCTCCCCAAAGTTCTCAGAGAAGGGGCAGTTAGCAAACGTAGAAGCCTTTCTTACTGAGATGACCCTTCCACCTGTTCACTGGAGAAATGGTCTCCAGTAGCTCTGTTCTGGGGTGCTATCTCTGGACAGCCATCTTCAGAAGTGTAGTTTCCCCTAAGAAAACACTAGAACAGATTTTAGCAGAAGATTGAGAATCCCAATGGTACAAATCTTACAAGTATGATTTGCAAGCATCATAGAGAAGCCTCCTTTTTGGGTAGGAATGCAAAACCAATCACCTCATTGCTCGAATGACAGTCTGGCTTTCTTGGGATCCAGCCAAGAAAACAATTTATGAGACTGACCCACACACTTAACTAGCTAAAGCTTTGGGCTGTAATCCAGAATCCTTATTATGGAAAGCAGAGTTAAAACTGTTCCCTTTGAAACCCTGTGGCTATTTATTTGAATTAGCGAGGTCACCCCAATGACAGCTGTGGAGACCAGCCTTTAATTAGGAAAAGAATTTGCCTTGAACTTCATCGGAATGGCATTGCTGAGGGTCTTGAGTGCTTTTCTTCCTTCATTCTTTCAGGCTTACCTTATTCCTGCTCTTTGTTCAGGAGTCACAGCTCATTTCTTCCCTGAAAGCCTGACTTCTCCATGCTCTGCACCCACAGGACTCTCTCCTGGCTATGGCATGCCAGAGTCCATCCCTGAGCTGGGTGGGGGCAGTGCTGACTCTGAAATTCAAATTCTCCCTCATATTGGCAGCATGACTTTTTGGACAAGTTATCATACTTTTCTGAGCCTCATCTTCCTCATCTGTAAAATGATTCTAATAGTATTTATTGCATAGGGTTGTATAAAGCTACCAATTATTGATTACTCTTGCTATATGCCAGCCACTCTTATCAGTGCTTGACCCGTATAAGCTCATCTCATCTGAGTAACAACCCTATGCAGCAGAACTCTTCTTCCTTTTTTTTTTTTTTTTTTTTTTTTTTGAGATAGAGTCTTGCTCTGTCGCCCAGCCTGGAATGCAGAGGCGTGATCTCAGCTCACTGCGACCTCCGCCTCCTGGGTTCAAGTGATTCTCATGCTTCAGCCTCTCAGGCAGCTGGGATTACAGGCACCCGCCACCACACCTGGCTAGTTTTTGTATTTTTAGTAGAGATGAGGTTTCACCATGTTGGCCAGGCTGGTCTTGAACTCCTGACCTCAAGTGATCCTCCCGACTTGGCCTCCCAGAGTGCTAGGATTTACAGGCATGAGCCACCACACCTGGCCCAAAGCAGAATTCTTAACACTTCCATTTTATAGATGAGGAAGTAGAGGCTACTACAGAGCCTCCTACATAATGGGGACTCAACAAATGTGTTTATTGAGTTTGAATCTTTCCCTTACTTATACTTTCATTACATTTATAATCTCTGCCCTATGTTTAACTTTTCTCTAAGAATATTGAATGTGTCAATTTTATCTTCAAATTTACTTTTTAAACTTTGTGTTATAGAAAATTTTAAACATGCAAAAGTAGAATAGTATAATGAACTTCTACAAACCCTTTATAGAACTTCAACAATTATCAACTCATGACCTATTAGATTTTGTCAATATGCATACCCTGCCCATATTATTTTGAAGTAAGTCCCCCAAATCATATTATTTCAGCATATATTTCAATATGTATCTCTAAAAGAAAATGACTCATTTTAGAAACAATCACAATACTGTGATTGTACTTTTAAAATGTAATTTCCTATCATGTATCCAACTAGTGTTCAAAATTTTTAGTTGTCTCATAATGTCATATATTTTTTAAGACTGAATAGAATCTGCTAAGGTCTATCACAAGTACAGTGAGGTGACTGTGGGCAGTGGCTGGGCACAGCCCATCTGGGAGGCCTCCCATCAGATGAAAGTTAAGGTTCTTTTCAACTCTAAAAGCCAGCTGCCAACTTTTTGCCTGGTATTCGTCTCAACACCAAAAGTTAGGCACTGTTAGGGAGAGAAAGTCACACTAGAGAGGGCTGGCCTCTCTTTGCAAAGGTTTAATTCAGATGGAAGATACTTCAGTAATGGGTAGAAACAAATTACTTAGAGGCTGTCTGTATATCAAGGTTCTTCATTTTATCCTTTTCATCCCATTACTGAGTAGCTGCATTATAACTTATTGGTGAAACACTTGGGTTCAGAGGTCAGACAGAATGGAATTCTAGTCCAGGTGCCACTGCTTGCTGTGTGTGTGTCTGGGCAAGTCATTTAGCTTCTCTGGGCGGCCCCACCCCAGTGTATAGAAAGTGAGAATTATAAGTTTCGACCTAGACCGGGTGTGGTGGCTAATGCTTATAATCCCAGTACTTTAGGAGGCCAAGGTGGGGCGGTCACTTTAGCAAGACCTCTTTACAAAATATTAAAAAAAAAAAAAAACCCTTTCAACCTTTGCCTCATGGTGAGGATTAAATAAAGTAATGAGTTAAGGCATGTAGGATATTATAAGTCAGTAAAGGTTAGGTAGTATTGGTTTGTGACTATCTGCCTGCTGGGTTGCGTCCCTGTGCATTTATGAGTATGTGGGTAGAAGTGGAATCTGGAGAGATTTGTAACCTCATGCCTATCTTGAGTCTCATTGGCTTTTTCCAGAGCACGTCGTCACTCCATTCTCTAGTGGAGGATTGAGTGGCTCCTGTATTCCTCCCCAGTGCCTCTCCTGGTAGTCATTTATTATATAGAACATCCTAGTCAGAGCGGGACTGTTGTCAGCCTTATGTTACCAGTGAAGAAGGCAGCTTCAGGCCACTGCAGTGAAATCAAAGGCACCAAGGGTCTAAGAGGTAGAAGGAGCTCTCTGGGTTGCTGAGGGCAAGGTCTTAGGCACAGCAGGCACCCCTTCTAGAACGTCCTGCCAGGTGGCTACCCGCCCAGACTTGTATACCTCCAGTAATGGAAAACTCATTATCTCATAGGCAGCACATCCCACGTTGGTCTCTTCTCCAGTTAAATGAAAATGACTTGCTTAATTGGATCTAACTGCCTCCCTCTCATTTCTACCTGTAGTCCTGGGTCCTCTCCTCTTCCCATTGCACCACGCTGGGTGAGAGGGAGTAACACAGAGGGAGGTCTCTGCTCTTGGTGGCATTGTGTTCTGGAGAGAGCCCTCCAAAGCAGAGCCACCGTATGGCAAAATCCCAGTCAAGCCTTTGTGTGGACATCAGTGGAGACCTTTCTGTGAGTGGCAGGAATGGAGTGTGGTTCTCTATTAGGCAGTGTCAGATGCAGGTGGACTGGTGAGACATGAAGGAGACCAATGCGGGAGCTGTCTTTAAGCTTAAGAGCTATGATTTGGAGCCCAGTGTGGAGTGCTAACCTTTCCACATGCCCCCCTCCACTGTGCAGCTCTCTCAAATGTACTTTGTTATGCTCTTGCATGAGTGGTGTTCACCTCTGCATTATTTAGTGTCATTTATCCTTGCACTTTCTCATTCCTACAGCCTGCAGGAAAAGAGACTGTAGCATGTGGGCTGTGTGTCATTGCTGAGCAGTTTGTCAGCCTTAGAAAGCTGCTCATGAGCTGAGAGCACATGATACCAGCAGGTGACGCAAAGCCTGCATGACTTGGGGTCCTCAATCACTGGGAAAGGCCCTCCCCCACTGGTGACACAAAAAGGCAGGAAAGAACCTTTGTTTCATCTGGTTCATATGTGACAGCCTTCATTTGCTACAGATCTTTGGCCCTCACCATTCTTACCTGTGAAAGTCCCCTAATCCGAGCCTGATGGGACCCAGGTGTGAGGCATTGATCATGGCTGGTTATTCATCAGGGGTGGATATTGGCACACAGGCTACCATTTCCTTATTGGTTGACTCTGATCAAAGATAAAAATAAAAATGTCGGTGTTCCTTGAATAGGATTACAGTAGAATGCTTGTTACAAAACCGGAGGAGGGAATTCATTAGGCTTTTATGATCATCACTTCTGTGGGAGGAAGGGTTCATGTTGAATAGCCTGCCAGATAACTCTGGAATATGTACCACTGGAGTAGGGACAATTTGCCAGGCATTGCTCTCCTTTATCCTTTGGGGCTGCAGGGACAGATGGCCTCCAGCCTTCTTTCTGCTCCCCTGGCATTTGTCACAACATGCTATGGGTCAGGAGACCCTAAGCAGAAAGATCGTGGGAGGTCAGCACGGCAGGGTACAAGAGGCCAGTTCAACTCTGAGCCCTCATGGTATGAGGCAGCTTTAGAACAATGTGGAAGAATCAAAGAGGTTGAACTTAGACTGTTAAAAAGCCTTTTTCCCCTGAAAATTTGAAAGCAGAAAGAAATGTAGAGAAGTAGAGAAAAATTTTCATTATCCCACTACACAAAGGTTACTACTATAAACATTTTGGTGTATTTTCTTCCTGTATTATTAAAACATTTTTCTTTACAGAGATAATGCTGTAAGTACAATTTTGTGCCCTGTTTTTCCCACTTAATATAGAATAATCATTTTTAATTAAAAAACAGCTTATAAATATCATTATTAAATGACTACATAATATTCCCTTATGTGGATGAATACATTGCATTTCATGTTACCATTCCTCTAATGTTGGACATTTAGATTATTTCTTTTCTTTTTTTCCTTGCTATTATAATTAATGCAGTGATAAACATCTTAGGGCTTATATCTTTGCATTTCAGATTATTTACATATAATAAATTCCTTTAAATAGAATTACCATGTCAAAGGGTATGCTTGTTTTTAAGTTTCTTATTCTCCAAAAAATTTATATTGCTTTACATATGCTTAGTTTTTATGGAGACCCCACCTAACCTGGCCCAGGTTGGGGCAGGGGCACTAGTGTGAGGAACAGGGTTGGGGAAAACTTCCTGGAAGAAGGGTTTTAGGCCACATCCTGAAGGTGTTAAATGTTAACAAGAGTAGAAGCAGATAGGATGGTGGGGAGAGACTGTCCTAGATATCCAGGCAGAGAGAACAGAATGTGTGAAAACCCAGAGCTGCTGAAGGGCACACGCCTGGGGGAGCTAAGGCCAGAGGCCGAAGGGAGGGTGGAGAGAGATGGGCTGCAGAGGAAGACAGGGCAGGAGCAAGCGAGGCCAAGTGACAGAATGTAGACTTTGTCCTAACAGCAGTGGGAAACCGTAAAGGAGCTATAAATGCAGGCCAGTGACATGATGAGATTTGCATTCCAGAAAAGCCACTAGCTGCTGGGTGGAGGATGGACTGGGTAGGATAGGAGGGGAAGACCTCCCTTCTGGGAGACCAGTTCAGACTGTTGCACAAGGCAGGCACCACCAGTGTGAGTCATTCCTCAGAATTTGCTAAATTGATAGGTGGAAGTGCATTTCACTTAAATTTTCATTTCTGTAATTCCTGCTGAGGTTGAATATTTTTAGGTTGATTTGCCAACTGTATTTCATCACTTGTGACCTCGTTCCTTATGTCCTAATGGCTCTTGGAGCATGATGGCATCATTGGTGGACTTTAGAGATGGTATAATAAGGTGTATAATTCAGCTTTGCATTGGATCCCATAGAGACCCAGGGAGGAGGTGACTTGCCCTGGGTCCCTGGGACCAGGATTGGGGCTTCCAGGTGCACCATCCTCTGCTTTCTCCAGTCCTCTAAGCTACCTCCTAGAGCAGGCACAGTTACCAGGACCTTGGAAAGCACAGCTCGGCAAGCTCAAGGTCTACTGACAAGAAAGAGCAGTAAGAGGATGTGGAGAAGGTCACTTTTCTGCCATTCAGATTTGGAGGAAGAGGTTCAGAATGCAGCAAGCCCAATTTAAATCAAGGAGTTCTTAACAACTGGGGGCATCTTTGTTTCAGAAGAAGCTCAGCTAAGGCTGTTATTTGCCAACAGATTATAAGCATTTGCTAGAGTAGAAAGATGTATAGAGAATAGAGCCTTCAGTATGAAGTTACCTCCCTAGACCTGACTCACAGTTCAGCTGCCTCCCCAAAGTTAACAGCATCCAACTTGTAGATCTTGCCTATTAATGTATTTATTAGTTTGCTTGTTTGATAGCCACAGAGGCTTCCTGAGGAAATTGTGGGCAAGGGTTTGCCGAGAATGTACCAATTGGAAAAACTTTTCTTAATAGCTGGCTGCTTTCTATGCTGTGGGGTCTTGTGCATTTTGGTTCCTCTCAGAGGGTGGCTGGCTTTGTATGCAGTGCACATGGTGCCCTGAGTTCCACTCTAATTGCTATGTGCAGGATAGCTGAGTGCAGCACGGTGGCTGAGTAATGAACCCGCATTTCTCTTTGCAGCTTCTCTATTAGGAAATCTCAGGAACCTGGAGCCTGTGTTTCATTCTGAAGGTTTTCCCCTGTTAAATCTGAATGATTTCAGATTGTTAAAACACTACCATTGTAGGCAGTGGCCTTGTCACCGTGCCCTGCATACACAGTCATGCCCTTGCTTTGGATGCCGTTCTTATTTGCCTTTTAATTTTACCCAAAGACCAGATAAGATGAAATATCGCATATTGTTATTTCTGATGGCTGTATAGGTCGACACATTTTTAAAAATCATAAATCTTGTTACAAAATAAATATGTATTTTTAGGAGAAAAATTTTAGAAATTATCCCCCTAAACAAAACAAAACAAAACAAAACACAGTAAGACATAATTACTCTCACTACTAAGATGTTTGCCATTGTTACCGTATCAGGGGCTAGCCTTTCAGGCTTTGTTCCTTTGCCTAGGTATATACTGTTTTTTTGTGTGGTTTTTATTTTTGAGACAGGGTTTCACTCTGTCTCCCTGGCTGGATTTAATGACATCATAGCTCACTGCAGCCTTGATCCCCGGGCTCAAGTGATACCCCTCCCTCAGCCTCCCAAGTAGCTGAGACTACAGGAGCACACCAACATATCTGGCTAATTTCAACACTGTTTTTGTAGAGACAAAGTCTCACTATGTTGCCCAGGCTGGTCTTGAACTCCTGGGCTTAAGCAGTCCTCCCACCTTGGCCTCCTAAAGTGCTGGGATTGGAGCACTTTGAAAATGGCTACCATGCCCAGCCAGGTATACACTTTTAATATAAAACTGTACATACTTTTAATATAAAATATAAAAAATATACTAGTTTGTGTCTTGATTTCCCCCCACTTAATGTGTGATGCACACTTGCCTACTCAGATTTTTTTTTCCTAACCTAGTATCTAAATGTGTCTGTGGATTAGGGGCAAGCCTTTCCAGGCAGTGAGTCACCTTGTGGGATAATACTGTCATCTCAGGCAGGGTCTCATGCTTCAGCCATGTTTTGGGCCCAAGTCACATTCTTTAAATATTGTCTAGGGTGGCAGATCATCATCTTTTGAAGGATGGATTTGATTAAAAAAATAAGCCAATACTTTTTCACACCCCAGTGTTGGATGCTGAGCAAGGCCATTTAGGCAAACTTGAGTTGTGGTTGTAACAAACGAGTGGGTTTTCTGGGTGACTTGTAGGGGAAGGAAAGAGGATGAGAGTAAATATCCATCAGACAACTATTATGGCTCCACCAGGCTAAACATTTTAAAGCCAGATCTAGACCTCTGCATAAGTACTGTAAGTGTGGTGGTGGCCCTCAAAATGATGCTTAGGGGGCATCAGAACCTCCTGGGGAGCTTGGTGAAAAGCCCATGAGGCCAGGATTGATGGGGGTCAAGGGAAAGAGGCCCCAAGGGAATATGAACCTCATCTGTAATTGCAGTAGACACTGTTCCACAGGCTCCCAATACCTGTTCCTCATTTCTTCTTTTCTGACGGAGTCTGATTTTGTTTGGATTGCCTATGTGCCCAGCTATATTCTCTTACTTAGTTTCCCTTGCAGCTAGGGGTGACTGTATGACACAGCTCTGGCCTATGAACAAGAGGCAGGAGCTCCTGAGGAGAGCACCTCTTCATAAATAAGATGGCAAAGTCCTTTGGCCCTTTCGTGTTCTTCCTGCCTGCTTTATAGACTGCCAGGTAGAGCAGTGGTGCCTTGCAGCTGGAAGGATGGAAAGGAGGGAAGCCTCAGGCCAAGGATGGCAGAGGAAGAAGACAAAAAGTTCCTGGGTCCTTTATGGAATCCTTGAGTGGATTCCATAAATCCACTCCAGCTCTATACTGCCTGCTTCTAGATTTCTTCTTGTTCCCTGAGAAAAATAACCCCCATCTGTTTAAACGACTGTTAGTTTTTTAATTGCTTGCAGCTGAATGCAATCATAACTGATAAGGTAATGTTTTAATATTTTACAAGGGGGAAATGTATTTACATATTGTGCAATTAAAAATGAAAAATAATTTAAATCCCCACAGATTTCTGGGCCCCACATCAGATGCACTGAAACAGAATCTTTGAATCTTTGGGGATGGGACTCATGTAGCTATATTTTTAACAAACTCTACAGATGATTCGGGTGCACAATAAAATGGGAGAACCATTTCCATATTTATTAATAGTATTAACTCCATTTTATAGATAAGAACATTGAGGCCCAAGGAGTTGAAACACCTTACCCCAATATTTTAAAGTAAGATTTGCATGTAGTTCTGTCTGGTTCCAAAGTACATTCCCCACCACATCCCATGCCTGCTCCAGAGAGGCCTGGCTTTCCCCCAACAATACAGCCATGCTACTTCTGAGGGGAACTTCTAAAATAGAAGATTCAACTGTTTGTAAAACAGTTTTACACTGCTGCCCAGGGACAACATTACCATAATTCATCTATCCCCAGGAAACAAAGGGACGTATGTTTTCTGGCATGTTTGTTAAAAAAGAGGGCTGGGCACGGTAACTCATACCTGTAATCCCAGCACTTTGGAAGGCTAAGGCAGGAGGATTGCTTGAGGCCAGGAGTTTGAGACCAACCTGGGCAAAGTACCAAGACTCTGTCTCTACAAAAAATAAAAATAAAATAATAAGAATAATGAAATAAAAAGCATGTTCATAAGTTCTTGGTCTTGTCTTCTACTTTCAAAACAAAAATTCTTTGAAATTAGCTTTTTCCATAGATTTTCTAGGGTTAAGTCACTTAAGAATTACTAGAACATCTCACCCATGAAAGGTAATTATGGTTGTTTTATGAGTGTGGAAGACATATAGCTGGTAAGTACTAGAATAGTCTCCTGTGAGTTATTAGAACTCACAATATTCATGTTGTACCAAATTAGCCATCAAGAACTGATAGATTTTATCTGTAGTTTATCAAGGCATTGGTCAGTGATATACATTCATAACAATTAAACACACACCAGCTCCCCTTGATGAGATCTTTGGGTAAGGTGGCCACCTCGGGTTATATTAATGTGATTTGCATGGGTATTTGGAGACCTGTATGATAAGAATTATTTTCTGACAAGGAAGAGGATCTTTATTGTGTGAAATAGGAAGTCAGTGTGTTGAGACCCTCAAGGGGCTAACAGTGTCACGTGTGTAAAGTTTGGCCCAGGAGTTATAGGAGCTTTGCGTTCTGAACCTGGATCTGGCATGAAGCTACTGCATGTCAGACTCTCTGATCTAATTCCAAACAGTCAGGCTTTTAGATAACTCTGCAACTCCATTTTTGAGGTCCCCTCATGTGTAAGGTCTTCTGGGAGATGCTTCATTGTATTGCCTTTCAAGGAGCTCATTTTGTACGGGGGAGGGGGAGAGAAGACAGATACCCAAGTCTCTATTGTGCCAGCTATTGCTCCCCCAGTTCTCCTGAGGACTCCTGTGTGCCAGGCCCTGTTTCTGTTCTATAGATGTGGAAACTGAGGCTCAGAGACATTTAGTTATTTGGTTAGGATCACACAGCATATAAGCAGCTGAATCAGATTTGAGCTCAATTGGTCTGACTCCAAAGATCTTGCTGCCACTTCTGCATGACTTTGCCTTGTTGGTGCTCTGCCTTGCTTGGCAGTGCAGAGGCATGGGCTGCGTGGTAGAATGAGACCTCTTTTGATTGGAGAATTGGGGAAATCTGTAGAAGAGGAAGGATTTAAAGAGGATAGGATGGGTAAAAATAGGTAGTAACGAAAAGGTGGGGATGTGTTCTTGGAAAGAGGAGTCTGGTTTGGTTGAATGTGTAGTTCTTTGTGGGGATGGGATGGGGCAAAATAGGAAAAGAGAGGCTGCAAAAGTAACTGGGACAAATGGTAAAGGGCAGTTAATACCAGGCTAAGTTACAGGAAGAACATTTTATATTTTATATGAAACTGTTGTTGAAGACATTCCATATTATGCTATTCATTATTCCTTAATATGAGTGACTGCAATAAATCTCAAAACTTACTGTTAGGGAAAAAAAATCCCCATCCTAGAGGAATGCCTTTTATTCTGCCTTTAATCAGCAAGGAAGGACTGTGGAAACTCATTGTCTTTCCCTTCTTGCCCAGGCCACCAGGAAGCATGGGCCTAATTAGTGTCTAGTTGCAATAACTGTCTTATCTCTCTGGTTCTTGGTAAAACATTTCTTCTTTTATTCCATTTGGTTTTCAGCCTTCTTGTTTTATTTGTCTTGGGTATAAATTATTACTAAAATTACCCTAAATTCCTTTTGGAAGTAAATGGAACATACCCTTCTTGTACCATCACAAGGAAAGTTAATAAAGGGCTGGAACAGGGCAGTGATGTGACCAAAGCTTGTTTCAAAACATTTTCATGGCATATTGATGAGCTGATTGCAAGAGGCTGCTGGGGAAGGGTATTTTATCTCTTGGACAAGATGTGGAATAAGTCAGACTTAGGAGCCCCAAGTGTCAGGAGGGGCCTGCCAGGTGTCTGTCTACCGTGAGGGTCTCTGCAGTCCTCCTTGTGCCTACCAAGTTCAAAGTTAGGTCCTACACATTCCCAGACCCCCCTTTTTTTTAACCACTTTCACAAGAGTCTCTGATTTGGTCATTTCCTAAGACCATCTGGACCAATTTTTTGGTTTTTGTTAGGAGAATGGGCTAAAGTTTGTATGTTGGTAATTCTCTATACCCCACTTTCTGGAGCACTTAAGGCAACACTCGGTAAAATGACTGCATAATGAGTAGTGTCAGCATTCCAGTCCAACAAAAAGAGGCTGTCTCATGGTCTGATAACCTTAAGGACTTCAGGCTTGGCAGTCTCATTTCTGAAGAACTAGAATGGAGTGTCTTTTTTGTTTTGTTTTTGGAATGGAGTGTCTTAACCATGGTGCTCTTGCCTTCCTGTGTGTGCCCAGGCATGGGCTCTGTATCTCTGCTAGTGGTCTTCATAAAGACACAGAGACAGCCCTCCCAACAGAGCTGTCACTCACTCTCTGTAGTACCTCACTCATCGCAGCTGCCTTGCTGTTGTGGAAATTCATGTTGTGTTTAACTTGTCTAAGTGTTCATACCAACAGTCACAGCTAAAGCTCTAGGGCAGAAGTGGTATCTGACTGAGGCCAGGGATTGGTGAATAACCTGTTGAAAGTGTGTGCAGAATTGTGTGTGTAATTCTCTGGAAAGGTCTTATCAGATTTTCAAAGGGAATGTATTCTTCCTTTAACATCTTATCCAAAAAGTTAACTACTGCTCTGAAAAATGACAGTCTATGGATTTCTTCCTGACATTCTTTTTTTTGTTTTTGAGATGGAGTTTTTGCTGTTGTTGCCCAGGCTGGAGTACAATGGTGCGATCTCGGCTCACCACAACCTCCGCTTCCCGGGTTCAAGCGATTCTCCTGCCTCGGCCTCCTGAGTAGCTGGGATTACAGGCACATTCCACCACGCCTGGCTAATTTTGTATTTTTAGTAGAGATGGGGTTTCTCCACGTTGGTCAGGCTGGTCTGGAACTCCCGATCTCAGGTGATCCACCTGCCTCCCAAAGTGCTGGGATTACAGGCGTGAGCCACCACGCCCAGGCTCTGACATTCTTGAATATCCCTATCAACCCCTCTCACCCACCCAAAGCCTGCTGCTCAAAGCAGCTCTAAGCAGAAGAGATGGAGAAACATTCAGACTGGGTGGAGCATGGCCCAGGCTGTGTTGCTGCCCACTTCTGTCTAGATGGGCAGTTCTTGACTTCCCCGCCTGACGCTGCTGAGCAGCCACAGTCCCGACTGCATTCTGGCTTGTACCCTTTACTATAGTGCCAGCCACAGAGAGCAGCCATGCAGCATTTTTAAGTAGCCAAGGAAAGGCCCGTTCTCACAGCAGTGCTTGGGGAATCTTCAGACTTGGTATTAGGAACCATAGCAATGAGACTTGTTACAAGCTTGCAAAACAAAATGGGATTTTTCTGTGTGGTCCAGCAAGGATCTAGACAGAAAGTCTGCTTGATTTTGTTTTGCCTTGCTGGCTTCATAAACCCACGTAGCAGAAGCACTTTGTGAATCAGAAATGGAAGCATTGTTCTCTGATACTGAGGAATGCCTTTCCTGAATGGCTACTGTGGGTGGGAATAGCTCTAAAGAAAAAAAAAATCCTGAGACACAGACAGCAGCTATTTATGTTCTATTCTGTTTGACACACATTATTGAATACCTACTGTGTGCTGGTAAAATTCATGGTGCATCAGGGAAGGCAGGTCCATGAGGAACCATTAGACAAGCAATAGGGGCTGGATGAGCCTCAGCAAGTGAGGACTGTGAGATCCCAGAAGAGTGCAATTAATTCATCTCGTGTGTGCATGCTCACGCGGGGGCCGTCTGGGGCCCTCACTGAGAGGAGGCAACGAGCTGAGTGTTAAAGGGAGGGTGTCGCCTTCTGTGTTCTCTTTTGACCCTTTCCATTATGTGAGCATGCATTTTTACCTTGTGGTGATTAGTATGCACATAATATTTTATCCTGCCTGTTTTCCTCTTAGCATTCCTATGCCGATTTCCACTTAGCGACTAGGCTGAAGTATTTATCATTTTAAAAAGCCACGTAGCGTTTTTGCCTTATTGATGTACCCTCGTTGCTTAGCCATCTTCTCGTTTGTTGGGAGCAGCAGTGTTTTTCTCAATTATGCATCTTTGCAGAATCAGCTCTCCCCTTCCCCCTTATTTATTTCCTTAGGGGGCTATTGCCGGGTCAAAGTTATGAATGGTTTTATGCTGTCTCCTACTGATTTTTTTTGTTGTTACAGAAAATTTCAGACATATACAAAAGGAAAAAGATGACTATAATGAACCCCCACATACTCATCATTGAGCTTCTACAATTATCAATTCATGGCAGTTTTGGTTCATCCATAGCCCCACACACTTTTATCCTGGATTATTTTTCAGTAAATCCCAGACATCATATAATTTCATCTATGAATACCTAAGTATGCATTTCTAAAAGATAAGGAATCTTTTTAAAAGTATAGCTGACTGGGTGTGGTGGTTCATGCCTGTAATCCCAACACTTTGGGAGGCCTGGGTAACATAGTGAAACCCTGGCTGTACCACGAATACAAAAATTAGCCAGGTGTGGTGGCACATGCCTGTAGTCCCAGCTACTCAGGAGGCTGAGGGTGGGAGGCTCACTTGAGCCTGGAAGGTTGAGGCTGCAGTGAGCCAAGATTGTGCCGCTGCATTCCCAGCCTGAGTGACTGAGTGAGATCCTGTCTCAAAAAAAAAAAAAAAAAGTATAGCCAACAGCTTATTATCATATCTAAAATAAATTAATCATAATCCTTAATATCATAAAATATCTAGTCATCCAACTGACAGTTTAAGATTCCCTAGTGTTTTCTGTGGCCATTCTCACGAGGCCAAATGTTTATTTGCTCCACCATGTTCTTCAGGGAATGTTTCCCTTGATGTATCACATTGAGGTTGAGTTCTTTATCAAGAAAGGTCTGCATGCAGGTCCTGGCCTCAGAAAGAGATGGAGGGAAAGAAGAAGGGATAAAGAGAGGCCTCTCTCCACAGCCTCTGCAGCTGGCCTCATGTGGTTTGCGCCACATAGGGTGGTAGGTTCTCTCTGCCCGTTACTCACATGGTAAACCCAGCTGTGCTGCTTTATCCACATACCAGCTTGACTTGGTACAGTGTGCTGAAAATAATGTCGGGCCTGTCCCTTTGGACTCCACCCCCATTGAAGAATGCAGTTTCATGCTGTTGGTTTTTTTAGTGCTAAAGAAACTAGATAGATACTGTGTTTATTTTTCTACAGTAAAAATCCGAAAAGCTAGGAAAATGCCTATTCCCTGTTGGATTTTGATCTTATTTGCATGTTTCCCTTGGCAAGCTTTGTTTCGTATTATTCAAGGTGACCCACTTAGAACTACTGTTTAAAGTCACATTGTCATTAATAAGTTACACAACCTGTGTGTGATAAGTCTGTTAGCCCTGAATATTGTATAAACAGGAATACATGCTTGTGTTGGGGCTCTTCTTCATATTTAAATATGGTTACATTTCTTTTTCTTTTTCTTTCTTCCTTTTTTTTGAGACAGAGTCCCTCTCTGTCGCCCAGACAGGAGTGCAGTGGTGTGATCCTTGCTCACTGCAACCTCTGCCTCCCAGGTTCAAGCGATTCTTGTGCCTCAACCTCTCAAGTAGCTGGGATTACAGGCGTGTGCTACCAGGCCCAGCTAATTTTTGTATATTTTGTAAAGATGGAGTTTCACCATGTTGGCTGGTCTTGAACTCCTGAGCTCAAGCAATCCGCCCGCCTCGGCCTCCAAAACTGCTGGGATTACAGGTGTAATCCATCACACCAGGCCCAAATATGGTTACATTTAAATGTAATCTTCCCTGTTTGTTCTCACTGTTGATATTCGTGACCTTTCTATGTTGATGAATAGGAGTAATTTCCCAGATGATCTAGAACCCTATTGTATTTGGCTTTGGAATGTGAAACACGTGTACATTTATGTCCGCATCTCCCCTTGTGCCAGTCCAGACTGGCTCTCAGTTTGGTCCTCCTTAACTAGCTGGGTACCCTGGGTGACCTCCTTTGGGACAAGGGAGAGTTAGCAGGGAGGCCTGGTCAGAATAAAATGCCTTTTGAGAGATATTGGGGTTACCAGGCTTTTATCCTTAAGTCTGTATGTTCAGACTAAGTAATGAAGCTTACTTATGTTTAGGCCAGCTTGAAAGCTTGTACCTAGCTTTTTTTTTTTTTTTTCTCCAAGAGACAGAGTTTTACTCTGTCCCCCAGGCTAGAATACAGTGGTATGATCACAACTCACTGCGGCCTCGACATCCTGTGCTCAAGTGATCCTCTCACCTCAGCCTGTGGAGTAGCTGGGACTACAGGTGCGTGCCACTGAGCCCTGCTAATTTTTAAATTTTTGGTAGAGACAAGGTCTTGCTGTGTTACCCAGGCTGGTTTTGAATTCCTGGGCTCAAGTGGACTTCCTGCCTTGGCCTTCCAAAGTGCTGGGATTATGGGCATGAGGCACCACGACTAACCTATAGCCTATACCTAGCTTTTTTTTTTTTTTTTTGAGACAGGGTCTCACTGTGTCACCCAGGCTAGAGTACAGTGGCACCATCATAGCTTACTGCAGCCTCCATCTCCTGGGCTCAAGCGATCTTCCTACCTCAGCCTCCCAAGTAGCTGGGACTATAGGCATGCGTTACCACATCTGGCTAATTTTTTTTTTTTTTTTTTTTTTTGGTAGACACGAGGTGAGGTCGCTATGTTGGCCAGGCTGGTCTTGAACTCCTGAGCTCAAGAGATCCTCCCACCTCAGCGTGGCAAAGTGCTGGGATTAGAGGCATGAGCCACTGCGCCTGGGCTATACCTGGCTATTTTTGATGGAAGAATTAAATAACTGGCTTTTAGTTTTGGTCATTAGTTTGCCACTTTCTTTCTTAGTCTTTTGCTGTATAATATCCTCTTTCCTTCTTTTTGTAACAGTAATAACATAAAAAATTTTTAAAGTTTGCCTTTAAGCCAAATACTTCAACACACTGATTATTTTCACTTTTTCCCATTTATCTTCCAGGCATTATCCATATGCATGTTTTTTTAAAAATCAATTTTGTGTCTTTTTTTTCTTACATCATTACAAAATGTTTCTATATGGTTTTAAGAATTATTACTTATAATGGCTGTATTAGGTTGTTCTTGCATTGCCATAAAGAAATACCTGAGACTAGGTAATTTATAAAAGAGGTTTATTTGGCTCATGGTTTTGCAGGCTGTATAGGAAGCATAGTACTGGCAGCTGCTTCTGAGGAGGCTTCAGGAAGCTTTTACTCATGGCAGAAGGGGAAGGGAGAGCAGGCACCTCACATGGTGAAAACAGGAACAAAAAACAGAGAGAGAGAGTGGAGGAGGGAGTGCCACACACTTTTAACTGACCAGATATTGCAAGAATTATCACAAAGACATCATCAAGGCATGAAGGATCTGCCCACCAGGCCCTACCTCCAGCATTGGGAACTACAATTCAACATAAGATTTGGGTGGGGACAAATATCCAAACTATATCAATAGCTATATAATATTCAGTGGAATCAATATACTATATTTAATCATCACTTTTTTATTTTATATTTGAGAAGTTTTAAGAATTTTATTTTATTTTTGAGGCAGGGTCTCACTCTGTCCCTCAGGCTGGAGTGCAGTGATGTGATCACGGTTCGCTGCAGCCTCAGTCTTCCGTGCTGAAGCAATACTCCTATCTCAGCCTCTTGAGTAGCTGGGGACTACAGGCATGTACCACCATGCCTGGCTAATTTTGTATTTTTTGTAGAGGCAAGGTTTATGTTGCTCAGGCTGGTCTCAAACTCCTGGGCTTAAGTGATCCTCCTGCTTGAGCCACTGCACCCAGCTAAGGATTTTAAATAATACTACATTGAACACATTCCTAGTAGCTTTTCTCCCATTTTTCAACAGCTTTATTGAGATATAATTCATATGCCATACAATTCACCCATTTACAATGTACAAGTCAGTGGTTTTTAGTATAGTCACAGAGTTTTTTTTAAAAAACATTGTATTCACAGCGTTGTTCAGCCATTACCACAATCAGTTTTAGAACATTTTCATCATTCCGTACCCATTAGCAATCACTCCCCATTTCCCCCAGCCCTTCCAACCCCAGGCAATCACTAATCTATTTTCTGTCTCTATAGATTTGCCTATTCTGGACATTTTATATAAATGGAATCATACAATATGTAGTCATTTTTACCTTTGTTTTTGTTTTTGTTTGAGACAGAGTCTTGCTCTGTTGCCCATTCTGGAGTGCAGTGGCGCGATCTCGGCTCACTGCAACCTCTGCTCCTGGGTTCAAGTAATTCTCCTGCCTCAGCCTCCCGAGTAGCTGGGATTACAGGTGCATACCACCATGCCTGGCTAATTTTTGTATTTTTTTAGTGGAGACGGGGTTTCACCATGTTGGCCAGGCTGGTCTCAAACTCCTGACCTTATGATCTGCCCACCTCGACCTCCCAAAGTGCTGAGATTACAGGCGACAGCCACCGCGCCCGGCCTTTTTTTTTCTTTTTTAGACACAAGTTCTTGCTCTGTCTCTCAGACTGGAGTGTCTCCCAGCCTCCAGTTCCTGGGCTTAAGTGATCCTCTTGCCTCCCAAGTATCTTTTTTACCATTTTAAAGATGTGTATAACATAAAATCTACAATTTTAACTTTTTTCTTTTGAGATGGGGTCTCACCCTCTTGCCCAGGCTGGAGTGCAGTGGTGCGATCACGACTCACTGTAGCCTTGACCTCCTAGCCTCAAGTGATCCTCCTGCCTCAGGCTCTGGAGTAGGTGAAACTACAGATGCTCACCACTGCGCCCAGCTAATTAAAAAAAAATTTTTTTTTGTAGAGACAGGGTCTCCCTATGTTGCCCAGGCTTAAAAATACATGTTAATACAAGTGTTGAAGTTTTACCATGGGTGTTTGTTGTTGTTGTTGTTGTTGTTGTTTTGTTGTTGTTGTTTGAGATGGAGTTTCACTCTTGTCGCCCAGACTGGAATGCAGTGGCGCGATCTCGGCTCACTGCAACCTCCACCTCCCGGGTTCAAGTGATTCTCCTGCCTCAGCCTCCCAAATAGCTGGGATTACAGGCACCCACCACCACGCCTGGCTAATTTTTTTGTATGTTTAGTAGAGACCAGGATTTCATCAAGTTGGCCAGGCTGGTCTTGAACTCTTGATCTCAGGCGATCCGCCTGCCTTGGCCTTCCAAAGTGCTGGGATTACAGGCGTGAGCCACTGCGCCCAGCCAACACTGTGGCTTTAATGAGCACAGCAGGTATGAGCCCTGGGAAACTTCTGGGAGTCTTTCTCCTGGTGTGGAATTTTGTAATCACTCTTTGAGGCCTTTTTATAGCCTTGTTCCTGGTGATGCCTGCGGTCCCTGGTTGGCCTCACAGGCTAGTTGGTGCCTGGCCAACAGATTGCAGCCTTGTCCTGGTCCTCTCTGCTCACACTCCAGGAGGCAGTTAAGGTGGCCACTTCACTATTCCACCTGGAGGCTGCAATAAAAGCATTGGAGACAGTCACCCTCCCCTTCTGCTTCCCCGCTGGAATTCCGTCTTTCCTGAGATGCAGTCCACAGAATACACAAGTTAAGAATTGTGGTTCATATTTATTGCGCCCTCACTATGTTCCAGGTTCCCTGTTTCGTGTCTTATATCACTAACTTATTTGATCTTAACCACACCCTGTGAGGAGGTACAATTGTTTTGCCCGTTTTATGGATGAAATTCAGAGAGCGTGAGAAATGTGTCCTAGGTCAGAGAGAGCCAAGACTGACCCCCAGTCCCCAGATTCAAAGCCATGACCTTGACCAACATGCTGTCCTGTCTCCTTTTCTCACTGAGCAGTTGTGATAACCTGCCCCCTGCTTCCTGCCTGCAGTCTCTCCACTCCACTACAGCCCCCATGCTGTTACCAGAGCGATCTGTCTCAGACATAAATATTCTTGTCACTCCTGTTGAAAAGCCCCATGTTGCCTCCTGTGGAAAGCCCAGACTCCTTAGAGAAAATGAAAGGACACTCCAGAGCTGGCCTCCTCTCACCGCTCCCCTTCACCGAGGCCCTGGCCCTGGGAGGCTGTTTGCATAGCCTATGATGTTCCTCTCTCTTCAAATTCCTGCTCTTTCCTTGTACCAGGCCCATTTCTTAGCTTTCACAGTCCCCTCTGCTCCCCTGTTCAGCCTCAGGTCTGTGCCCTGTGTCCTGGATGGCTGGCTGCAGGTCTTTCCTGGGGAGTGCTTTCAGTGTAGGGGCTCCATCTTACTTCTTTCCATCCCAGTCTGGCAGGGAGAGGCCTCACAGTTGAAGTTTTTAAATTGAGCTGGGAAGTCTTTGGATAATCCTTCCCAAGGAGTGGCATTCACATCTCTGGGATGTGTCTCTGTCATCGGGAGAAGCTCAAAAAAAAGGCTGGTGACAGTGTGGCACACTGTGAAATTCTCAGGCACACCTCCTCTCTTCTCTGAGAGTGCTGGTGGTGAATGGTGGGCACGAGGGCGAGGGGAACAGCCCCTGGGAGGCGCTCTGGGGAAGAAGAAATTGGCAGCAAAGCAGACTGCACGAAGAGGCCGAGAGGAAGACAGGACAGGTGAATCCCACCCCCCCACCCCGCCCCCACTTTCCCTTATCTGCTCTGCTTTAAGCAGAAACTGTAACCTGATCACCAGGTCACAGAGAAACTTTGATCCTCCCAGCCACCCCCACCTGTCTGACATTAGAGCACAGCCTGCTAGGCTGGGACAAGCTGGCCACAGCCCCCTCTTCCCCAAAGCCTGGCACCATCTTGGGGCCTGGCTGGCTCCTGCAGAGGCCTTTCCTCCCCCATGGCCAATTTCCATCCTGGCCCTAAATTGGCCTCTTCCCCCAGCTACTCTCACACACTGACTCACACGTAAGTTATTCCATTAAGTACAAAGAACGGCATACATCAAATACCAGTGGCTCTGCTTCTAGAGAGCACACCCCAAATGCATTTTAAATCTGTGGATCCTCCTCAAGGGAATTCCAGTTAAAAAAGAACTTGGGTCAGCAGCCTCGGGCCTGTGTGGCTAACAAGCTTCTGTTTTCTCTGTTGTTTGGCTGGCCTGAAGGGTTCCTTTGTTTGGGGAGTGGGAGGATGTGGTGTCCTAATGAGGCCAGGGTGTGGAATTGGGGCTCACACAGAGCTGTCCTTTAGAACTGAGCTCTCCAGACAGGAGAATAAGTTGGGGAGTTTGAGAGTTTATTGGTCTTTAAAGAAAACAGAAGGTTTCAAAGAGAGGAAAACAAAATGCAGTGTGGTATTCTGGATCGGATCATGAGCAGAAAAAGGGCATTATTGGAAAAACTGGAGAAATCCAAATAACATCTGGAGTTCAGTTAATAGTACTATACCAATGTTAACTTTTTAGTTTTGGCCTGTGTGCAGTGGTTATGTAAGATGTGAACTGCCTGCAACGGTGGCTCACACCTGTAATCCCAGCACTTTGAAGGCTGAGGCGGGTGGATCACCTGAGGTCAGGAGTTTGAGACCAGCCTGGCCAACATGGTGAAACCCCCGTCTCTACTAAAAATACAAAAATTAGCTGGGCATGGTGGCGGGCGCCTGTAATCCCAGCTACTCAGGAGACTGAGGCAGGAGAATTGCTTGAACTCAGGAGGCAGAGGTTTCAGTGAGCCGAGATCGCACCACTGCACTCCAGCCTGGGCAACAGGGTGATACTCCGTCTCAAGAAAAAGAAAAAAAGCCGGGCGCAGTGGCTCACTCCTGTAATCCCAGAACTTTGGGAGGCCAAGGCGGGTGGATCACGAGGTCAGGAGTTCGAGACCAGCCTGGCCAACATTGTGAAACCCCGTCTCTACTAAAAATACACAAATTAGCTGGTGTGGTGACAGACACATGTAGTCCCAGCTGCTTGGGAGACTGAGGCTGGAGAATTGCTTGAACCCGGGAGCCGGCGGTTGTGGTGAGCTGAGATTGTACCACTGCACTCCAGCCTGGGCAACAGAGCGAGACTCCATCTCAAAAAAAAAAAAAAAAAAAAAAATATTGAACATTAGCGGAAACGGTGAGAAGAGCAAATGAGAACTCTGTTCTATCTTTGCAACTTTTCAGTAAATATAAAATTATTCCAAAATAAAAGATGTATTAATTAAAAAAAAAAAGAACGAGAGAATAAAGTGACCCAGCATCTAATTTAACTTGACACTTTCACCAGCACTCTCTTTTACACTTAAGACTTCACCTAAAAATCAGGAGGGTCTTTAGACTTCACCTAAAAATCAGGAGGGTGGGCTGCATCCAATACTCTGGACCGTCTATTGTGGAGGCCAGGGTCTTCTTTGCCTCTGTGACCCTCTACCTGAGGATGGATCAGGGTCCAAGGCCAGGCTTACCAGGAAGACCTGGGTCATGTGGTTGGCAGTATTGCTACCTCCTCTCTGCACACTGTGGGGCTAGTCACCCCACCAGGCTTCATTTTCTTCCTATTAGAGAGAGAGAACCTTCCTGGCGGCTGGGGCGTGGGATGGTAGGGTTAAATGAGGTAATGTCTGTCAAGAACCTGGCTCAAACCAAATAAACAGGTTTTCATTCTCTCTTCTGTTTCTCCATTTTTTTGGTGAAAAGAATGAGAGCCATTTCCTTGAAGACTTGAGACCAGTGGTTCAATGGTAGCTTTAAGGGCAAGAAACTGCCCATAGGGAACTTGCAACAACACCGTGGCCCCTCCTCCCCCATGCCCCACTTCCTGGGGTCCAGGAAATGTGGACTTATGGGGAATCTTTTTACTAGATGGTCTCTAAGACCTCTTGGAGTTTTAATGCTTGGATTCTTAAGGAAATTGTGGTGTGCCTGCTCCTTTACCCTACAGGTGGGGCAAGCCAAGTTTGGGGGCTTCCTTCTGGAAGCATGGAGGTCTTCCTGGCTCAGTAACCCAGAAATCCAGAAAGCTAGAGCTCCCAGGGTTTTGAATCTGATGGGTGTAGCTTGTGGATGGCTGTTTACCTGTAGGTGGCAGTGGTGACACGGGAATGGGAGAGGAGGGGGGTGCAAGGGGAGGGCACTGGCAGAGCTCCTTTCAGAAGAGCTGTAATAAAGTTAGAAGTAACAGCAAGGAAAGGTCCTCTGTATTAGAGGCTCTGTCAGGTGTTTTCTGTATTATTTAGTCTCCTCTAACAGCCACTGTGTGAGAGAGTGCTGTTATTGCAGCATTTTGCAGCAGTCCAAAAGGCTTGGAGAGGTCAAGTTATTGCCTGTAGTCACACAGTAATTGGCAGAACTAGAACTCACCAAAATCTGAGTTCACACTCCCTGTTCTAGACTCCATTATAATGCACATTTCTCCTGCTTCTAAGTCTGAAGGGAGAACCGGGGACAGCTGGGAACCGAGCTCTCATCTCACCAGACTGCCCAGTGCCTGTCACCTGGGGGCCTCAGAAGGGTTTATAATCATCATTTTACTTATAAAGGGCCCTCATCAGCATAAAGCCAGGCCTTCTTGACATGAAGATGTCCTGCCTCCAAGCAGCTTCCAGTTTAGGTTGGGGTTGGGGGCCAAGAAGATACTTAACGGCTCATTAAGCCGGTAAGATTTGAAAAAGTTCTCAGAACATTAGAATGGTCTTGAAGGCTCAGTCCTTGTGTGAACTGTACTATCAGGTGCTGGAGCCCATCAGAGGGCCTCTCTTGTGGGCGGCAGCAAAGAAGGTTCTGGAGAGGACGTTGGATGGGAGCTAGATATGGGCAGATAGGCTGGAGAGAAGGCTTTCCAGACAGAAGTCTGAGGTGACTTTCTCAGGGCTTGCAAAGACCTGCAGATCCTGTTATGGTTCCTGTTTTCACCCTCTTGCAATTTTTTATGGAATAAGGACTCAAATGGGTCTTCTCTTCAGCTTTGTTTGCTCTCATGGTGTATGACTGTGTTTTGTAAAAATATATATAGGCGCAACGATGCTGCCTTTCACCACTTCTATTCAACATGGTATTGGAAATTGTAGCCAGAGCAGTTAGGGAAGAAAAAGAAATAAAAGGCATCTCAATGGGAAAGGAAGGAGTAAAATTATCTCTGTTCCCTGATGACATGACTTTACATGTAGAAAACCTTGAAGATACCACAAAACAAAAAAAAAAAGAAAAACTGCTAGAGCGAATAACATAAATTTACCAAAGCTGCAGGATACAAAATCAACATTCAAAAATCAGTTGTGTTTCTGTTAATATACATTAACAATGAACAATCTGAAAAGAAAAGAAAACAATTCCATTTACACTAGCCTCTAAAAAAATAAAATACCTAGGAATTAACCAAGGCAGCAAAAAATTGTGCACCGAAAACTATAAAACGTTGCTGAAAGAAATTAAAGAAGAAAGAAGACATAAATATATGGAAAAACATCCTGTGTTCATAGATGGGAAGACAGTTTTTTTTTAAGGCAGCCTCATTGTGTTGCCCAGGTTGGAGTGCAGTGGCTCAATTACGGCTCAGTGCAGCCTTGACCTCCCGGGCTCAAGTCATCCTCCCACCTTAGCCTCCTGAGTAGATGAAATGACAGGTGTAAGCCACCACTCCTGGCTAATTTTTAAATTTTTTGTAGGGATGGGGTCTCCTTATGTTGCCCAGGCTGTTCTTAAACTCCTGAGCTCAAGCAGTCTTCCCACCTTGGCCTCCCAAAGTGATGGGATTTACAGGCATGAGCTGGCCTGGGAAGCTAATATTTTTAAGATGACAACACTACCCAAAGTGATCTACAGATGTAATGAAATCCCAGTTAAAATTGCAATGAAGCCAGGCATGGTGGCATGCACATGTATTCCCAGCTACTTGGAAGGCTAAGATGGGAGGATTGCTTGAGCCCAGGAGTTTGAGTCCAGACTGGGCAACATAGCAAGACCCTGTCTCTGAAAAAAAAAAAAAAAAAAAAAAAAAAAAAAGACCAATGGTATTTTTTTCAGAAATAGAAAAATCCATCCTAAAATTCACATGAAATCTCAAGGGACCCCAAATAGCCAAACAACCTTTAATTTTTATTTATTTTTATTTATTTTTTTGAGATGGGGTCTTGCTCTGTCGCCCAGGCTGGAGTGCAGTGATGTGATTTTGGCTCATTTTGCAACCTCTGCCTCCCAGGTTCGAGTGATTCTCCTGGCTCAGCCTCCCAAGCACCTGGGACAACAGGTGTGCGCCACCACGCCCAGCTAATTTTTTAAATTTTTTAATTTTTTTAGATGGAGTTTCACTCTGTCTCCCAGGCTGGAGTGCAGTGGCGTGATCTCGGCTCATTGCAACCTCTGCCTGCTGAGTTCAAGTGACTCTCCTGCCTCAGCCTCCGGAGTAGCTGGGACTATAGGTGTGTGCCCCTGCGCCCAGCTAATTTATGTATTTTTAGTAGAGATGGGGTTTCACCATGTTGGTTGGCCAGGATGGTCTCAATCTCTTGACCTCGTGATCCACCTGCCTCGGCCTCCCAAAATGCTGGGATTACAGGTGTGAGCCACTGTGCCTGGCTAATTTTTGTATTTTTAGTAGAGACAGGGTTTCACTGTGTTGACCAGACTGGTGTCAAACTCCTAACCTCATGAGATCCACTCACCTCGGCCTCCCAAAGTATCGGGATTACAGGCGTGAGCCACTGCGCCTGGCCCTAAACAACCTTTAAAAAGAACAAAGTTGGAGGACTCACACTTCCTGATTTCAAAACTTACTTCAAAACTATAATAATCACAACATCATGGTATTGGAATAAGGAAAGACACATGGACCAATGGAATAAAGTAGAGAACTCAGAAATAAACTCTCCCGTATATGGTCAATTGATTTTCAGCAAGGGTGCCAAAAGTATTTAGAGGGGAAAGGACAGTCTTTTCAACAAATGGTGCTGGGAAAACTGAATATCCACATGCAAAAGAGTGAAGTCGGACCATTATCTTATACCATATGCAAAAATGAACCCCAAACAGACCAAAGACCTAAACATAAGAGCGAAGGGAAAACTATAAAAATCTTAAAATAGGCCGGGCGCGGTGATTCATGCCTGTAATCCCAGCACTTTGGGAGGCCAAGGCAGGCAGATCACGAGGTCAGGAGATCGAGACCATCCTGGCTAACACAGTGAAACCCCGTCTCTACTAAAAATACAAAAAATTAGCCTGGCATAGTGGTGGGCGCCTGTAGTCTCAGCTACTCAGGAGGCTGAGGCAGGAGAAGGGCGTGAACCCAGGAGGTAGAGCTTGCAGTGAGCTGAGATCGCGCCACTGCACTCCAGCCTGGGTGACAGCGCAAGACTCCATCTCAAAAAAAAAAAAAAAAATCTTAAAAAGGGGAAATCATGACATTGGATTTAGCAAAGATTTCTGAGATATGGTACCAAAACCACAGGCAACAAAAGAAAAAATAGATAAATGGGACAATCAAAATTTAAAACTTTTGTGCATTAAAAGATACAATCAAGAGAGTGAAAAGACAACCATAAAATAGGCGGGATTAATATTCAGAATATATAAAGAACTCTTACAGCTTAACAACCAAAAAAAAAAAAAAAAACCTACTCAGTTTAAAAATGGAGCCAAGCATTGTGGCTCATGCCTGTGATCCTAGTACTTTGGGGGGCCAAGGCAAGAGGATCACTTGAGGCCAGGCGTTCAAGATCAGCCTGGGTAACATAGCAAGACCCCATCTCTACATAAATTTTTTTAAAGAAAATTATCTAGTTGTGGTGGTGCATCCCTGAAGTCCCAGCTACTTGGGAGGCTGAGGTGGGAGGATTGCTTGAGACCAGGATTTCAAGGTTGCAATGAGCTATGCTGCTATGATTGGGCCACTGCACTCCATTCTAGGTGACAAAGTGAGATCCTGTCTCTTAAAAAAAAGGGGTGAGGGGCCAAAAAAATTGAATAGATATGTCTCCAAAGAAGATATACAAATGGCCAAAAAGCACATGAAAAAATGCTCAACATCAGTAGTCATTAGAGAAATACAAAACAAAACCACACTGGGATACCACTTCACACCTGGTAAGCCAGGATCCCATCATTGAATTGGTGGTACCAATATTTGATCCTAGTTCTGTCTCTAAAGCCTGGATGTTTGCATGATATAGTCTCACCTGCTAGCAAAGCCTGAGTTTGGATCTGAAGTTAATATCTTGGAGGAATTCTGAAACTACCCCATCCTAACTCTCAATTCATGAAAGGATACCATCACCACTATTTTAATAAAAGTTTAATACAATCCACACTTCGCCGATACTCAGATAATAACATAGAAGACCTCTGTACAGGCTGGAAGTATCCTTGTTTTACTGGATGCAGCTATGGTGAAGTGACACTTGTTTTTTACGTAACAAACTAGATAGAACTCACACATCCAAACAAAAGCTATACTTTACAAGCAGTGACAGCACACTCCAAAAATATAGCTGTTGCTCAAAACATTTGTGCAACAGTCTTCTGTCTGCATTAAAAAGCCTCATTGTTTTATTTACTGCTCTTTTTAAATTTTTTTTTACCTAAAAAAGATATATCCCTAACCTTTTCTCTTTATTCATCACACTTGGCACTCAAAGACTCAAAGACTTGACCACCCAGGTGCCTCCAAGCCCCTGCTCTGAGAAAGCAACCCCACCCCCAAATAGTAAGAATCTGACTTCACATGAATGCAATACACAGCCAGAGGACTGGGCAGGGGCTAGGAGGCTCTTGAGATTTGGAGCAATCTTAACCAAAGTCAGTCCTCAGATGGCACCAGGCTGGCAGTTACAGAAGCAGTATTTGATACTTGTCTACAAGATGGGGAAAGTGGAGGAGGAGAGGAAGGGATGAGAATGCATGTCAGCAATGGTTAAGAGCCAGATAGGCCCCAGAGATGCCATACCCCCTCTCTGCCCTTTTCATGCATGTGGGAAAGAGAGTAAAAGTCATAAAGCCAGCAAGGAGCAGACCTGGGCCTAACAGGGAAATCAGAGCCCCCCAAGGGAGGGCAGGCAGGCCTAGGAAGAATGGGGGTGGTGGTAGGCACATCTGTTTAGAGAAGAAAAGACTGAGGGCAGAGGTTCCAGGAAGGTTAAGGGGGAGGACACAATGTAGCCACTGAGACAGCAGTGTGCCCTGTCACCCTATGGCTTATCCAGACACAGAATGAGCCCCAGGTGTGCTGGGAGCCTGCAGCAGTGAAATGGTGCCTGCCTCCTGCCCCTGCTCTTCCTGCAGCTGTCTCTGAACACCCCTCCTCTGTCCACGCCCAGAGGGAATGACTCACCACCTGGGTCACACACAGCAGGGGCATGTCTGCAGCCATAAATCCAGCAGCCTCCTCAAGAGGAGACTTATCCTGATGGAAGCAGCTTTGCCTGCGGGCCTGGACTTGCTACTCTTTTGAGCCAGGAAGGGGAGAGGCCAGCTGGCTAGGGGGTAGTAGTCTCTCCCCTTCACAGAACTCAAGCTGTGGCACAGACTCTCATGGAGAAGAAAGTACAGAGATTGCACTTTGGTAGGGCTACAAGGGATACAGTCTTGGGAGGCTTAATAGAGGAAATATTAAATCAATGAAACCTCGTTTCCAAGTTCGGTTTAGCAGCAGAATCCATTAACCTTATATTCACCCTTTCCTTTCCTCTTATGATACTGGGGAAGGGTTCAAAGGCATGATAACTTATCCTCAGGGTCAGTGCATTCTATTCAATTACTGGGATTTGAGTTTTCAAGCTAAAAGATATATACCCATTTTGATTATAAAGAACCAACCCAAAAAGAATGCTTCTTTCTTTTCATTTTGCAGAAAATGCCACACAAACACAACCATGGGTATTTAGCTCTACTGAAACAGATGAGGGAAGTAAGGCTGACAGAGGAGCTCAAATCAGTTCTGATTTTTCTCTTCATAAAAGAATTTCCATTCTGCAGCATTCATTCAGGAAGCACTCATGAAGAGCCTACCAGGTGCCGGCCCTGGCCTGGGGCTGGGCTTAGAGCCGGGGCAGGATGGCCCGGCATCTGCTCCATGGAGCTCACAGCCCAGCCTAGGCTGGCAACTCCAGTCTGCCCCAGTTTCCAGTTCTGTCCATTCCCCTTGCAGCTCAGCATGGATGAAGCTTTGAAATCCAGCTCTCCCTCTCCCTCTCCCTCTCCCGTCTCCCCACGGTCTCCCCCGTCTCCCCACGGTCTCCCTCTCCCTCTCCCGTCTCCCCACGGTCTCCCTCTCCCTCTGTTTCCACGGTCTCCCTCTCATGCCGAGCCGAAGCTGGACTGTACTGCTGCCATCTCGGCTCACTGCAACCTCCCTGCCTGATTCTCCTGCCTCAGCCTGCCGAGTGCCTGCGATTGCAGGCACCCGCTGCCACGCCTGACTGGTTTTCGTATTTTTTTTGGTGGAGACGGGGTTTCGCTGTGTTGGCCTGGCCGGTCTCCAGCTCCTAACCGCGAGCGATCCGCCAGCCTCGGCCTCCCGAGGTGCCGGGATTGCAGACGGAGTCTCGTTCACTCAGTGCTCAGTGGTGCCCCGGCTGGAGTGCAGTGGCATGATCTCGGCTCGCTACAACCTCCAACTCCCAGCCGCCTGCCTTGGCCTCCCAAAGTGCCGAGATTGCAGCCTCTGCCCGGCCGCCACCCCGTCTGGGAAGTGAGGAGCGTCTCTGCCTGGCCGCCCATCGTCTGGGATGTGAGGAGCCCCTCTGCCTGGCTGCCCAGTCTGGGAAGTGAGGAGCGTCTCCGTCCGGCCGCCATCCCACCTAGGAAGTGAGGAGCGCCTCTTCCCGGCCGCCATCCCATCTAGGAAGTGAAGAGCGTCTCTGCCCGGCCGCCCATCGTCTGAGATGTGGGGAGCGCCTCTGCCCCGCCGCCCCGTCTGGGATGTGAGGAGCGCCTCTGCCAGGCCGTGACCCCGTCTGGGAGGTGAGGAGTGTCTCTGCCCGGCCACCCCGTCTGAGAAGTGAGGAGACCCTCTGCCTGGCAACCGCCCCGTCTGAGAAGTGAGGAGCCCCTCTGCCCAGCAGCCGCCCCGTCTGAGAAGTGAGGAGCCTCTCCGCCCGGCAGCCACCCCGTCTGGGAAGTGAGGAGCGTCTCCGCCCGGCAGCCACCCCGTCCGGGAGGGAGGTGGGGGGGTCAGCCCCCCGCCCGGCCAGCCGCCCCGTCCGGGAGGTGAGGGGCGCCTCTGCCCAGCCGCCCCTACTGGGAAGTGAGGAGCCCCTCTGCCCGGCCACCACCCCGTCTGGGAGGTGTGCCCAGCGGCTCATTGAGAACCGGCCATGATGACAGTGGCGGTTTTGTGGAATAGAAAGGCGGGAAAGGTGGGGAAAAGATTGAGAAATCGGATGGTTGCCGTGTCTGTGTAGAAAGAAGTAGACATGGGAGACTTTTCATTTTGTTCTGTACTAAGAAAAATTCTTCTGCCTTGGGATCCTGTTGATCTGTGACCTTACCCCCAACCCTGTGCTCTCTGAAACATGTGCTGTGTCCACTCAGGGTTAAATGGATTAAGGGCGGTGCAAGATGTGCTTTGTTAAACAGATGCTTGAAGGCAGCATGCTCGTTAAGAGTCGTCACCACTCCCTAATCTCAAGTACCCAGGGACACAAACACTGCGGAAGGCCGCAGGGTCCTCTGCCTAGGAAAACCAGAGACCTTTGTTCACTTGTTTATCTGCTGACCTTCCCTCCACTATTGTCCTATGACCCTGCCAAATCCCCCTCTGTGAGAAACACCCAAGAATGATCAATAAAAAATAAAAAAATTAAAAAAAAAAAAGAATTTCCAGCTAATCAAGAGCAAAGTTGGATCTGATTGCCTCTGGAACTAAGGCCACTCAATGTGGGCTCCCTCACTCAGTCCTGTCCCCAGGCCAGAGGAAAGCAAAGTTCAGTCTCATTTATTTTGTCACCTAAATCGTCAAAACCTAAAATAAAACCTGGTGCAACAGCAGAAACACAAGTGTTCTAGGGAACAGTGGGGCAAGTCCTTCCCACCAGCCAGCCCTCTGGACGGATAATTGTAAAGTGCTGACCTCTCTGGTGATATGCTAATGGCCAAGGACTGGGCTGGGGAAGAGGCTGGGTAGGGTAGGCCAGGCTGGGCTGGACTGGACAGGGCAGGGCAGGCCTGAGCTCGGGTAATCAGATACGGCTCCCATTAAATCTTCAGTGCAAGAGCAGCATAGCATCCTGATGCCGTTGCCATGGCATTTTCTCTCGCCTGGGGTAGGACCCAGGCCAGGATGCCCTGAAGCCTTGACGCTGACAGCAGTGATAGTGCTGGCTCTGAGCATGGTTTTTCTGCCCACCCACCCTCCTATGTTCTCTGAAACCTAAGGCAGCCCTGTTTGGAGGAGCCTCGCAATCCAGCGGCTTGGCTTTTTGGCTGCCGCTTTCTACACTTTGATGTTAAATATAGTGACTTCAGAAGCAGCCAACACCAGAAGGCAAAAGAGGACTGGTTTTAGCATTTTGCATTCAGCAACATCCTTTTGGTGAGAATGGAGAAGAAAACAGCCAAATGATCTACCTCCCCAACCATCAAGAGTGTTGGGGCTGGGCACAGTGGCTCACGCCTGTAATCCCAGCACTTTGGGAGGCTGAGGTGGGTGGAGCACCTGAGGTCAGGAGTTCGAGACCAGTCTGGCCAACGTGCCGAAACCCATCTCTACTACAAATACAAAAATTAGCCAGGCATGGTGGCACGTGCCTGTAATCCCAGCTACTCGGGAGGCTGAGACAGGAGAATTGCTTGAACCCAGGAGGTAAAGGTTGCAGTGAGCCGAGATCACACCATTGCGCTCCAGCCTGCACAATGGAGTGAGACTCTGTCTCACATAAAAATAATAATAATAATAATAGTAATAATCACTGAATCCCACCCCATACCATTCAAAGTAGAACCTCTGGGGCATGAGGCTCAGGTATTGGTGCTCTCTAGAAGCTCCCCAGGTGGTTCTCGTGTACAGCCAGGGCTGAGATCCATAACTTAGAGGAAGGGTTGCTAATGCAGTCATTCATCTGATGTAAATGCATTGCACTACTGCCAAGTGCTGGGCACTGGGGACCCAGTGGAAGGCAAGACAGACCTAGTCCCTGCCCTCACAGAGCTCACATCCCAGAGGGGGAAGGGAGTCAAGTGACCCTGGCTGTAGTCCTGGCTCTGCCACTGACGATCCTGAGCTCCTGGACCTTTCCCTTTTCTTCTGCGGGCCCCGGGTTTCCCGTCAAAGGAGGCTACAGACCCAAATGATCTCTGATCCCCACCCTGCTACTCCCTGACCCAGCAGTCCATTGACCTATGTATAATTTTTCTGTCTTTTTTGGTGGTGGTTTTTAAAATACACATAACATTAAATTTATCATTTTAACCATTCAACAAAAAGTTTTTTAAGAGACAGGGTCTTACTCTGTTGCCTAGGCTGGAATGCAGTGGCTCAATCATATCTCACTGCAGCCTCAAACTCCTGGACTTAAGCAATCTTCCTGCCTCAGCCTCATTAGTAGTTAGGACCACAGGCACAAGCCACTATGCCCAGCTAATTTTTAAATTTTTTGTAGAAACAATGTCTTGCTATGTTGCCCAAGCTGTTGTCAAATCCTGGATTCAAGTAACCCTCCTGCCTCAGCCTCCCAAAGTTCTGAGATTACAGGTGTGAGCCATTTTGCCTGGCCCATTTTAACCATTTTAAAGTATACAGTTCAGTGGCATTAAGTATGTTCACATTGTGTGCAACCATCAACAACCATCTCCAGAACTCTTTCATTTTCCCCAAACTGAAATTCTGTGTTCATTAAACAATAACTCCCCATTCCCCCACCCCCACACCCCCCAGCAGCCTCTGGCAACCACCATTCTACTTTCTGTCTTTAAATTTGACTATTCTAGGTACCTGATTGTAAGTAGAATCATCTAGTATTTGTCTTGGTGAAAGGCTTATTTCACTTAGCACAAGGCCCTCAAGGTTCAGCCATATTGTGCATGCAATAGGATTTCCTTCCTTTTTAAGGCTGAATAATAATCCATTATATGTATATCCATTTGGCTTATCCATTCTTTAATTGATGGACACAGGCTGTTTACACCTTTTGGCTCTTGTGACTATTGCTGCTATGAACATGACTCTGCAAATATCTCCTCAAGGCCCTGCTTTCAGTTCTTTTGGGTATATACTCAGAAGTAAAATTGCTAGATCATAGGGTAATGCTATGTTTTTTGTTTGTTTGTTTGTTTTTGTTTTTGAGACGGAGTCTGGCTCTGTCGCCCGGGTTGGAATGCAGTGACATGAACTTGGCTCACTGCAAGCTCCGCCTCCTGGGTTTACGCCATTCTCCTGCCTCAGCCTCCTGAGTAGCTGGAACGACAGGTGCCCACCACCACACCTGGCTAATTTTTTGTATTTTTAGTAGAGACGGGGTTTCACCATGTTAGCCAGATGGTCTCGATCTCCTGACCTGGTGATCCATCCTCCTTGGCCTCCCAAAGTGCTGGGATTACAGACGTGAGCCACCGCGCCTGGCTGGGTAATTCTGTGTTTTAACTACCGTCCTGTTTTCCATAGCAGCTATATCATTTTACATTTCCATCAAAAGTGTAAAGGGGTTCCAATTTGTCTATATCCTTGCCAACACTTGTTATTTTCTATTTTTTTGATAGTAGCCATCCTAATGGGTGTGAGGTGATATTTCATTGTGTTTTTGACTTGCACTTCCCTAATGCTTAGTGATGTTGAACCTCTTTTCACATACTTGTTAGTCATTTATATATCTTCTTTGGAGAAATGTCTATTGAAGTCCTTTCCCATTTTTTAATTGGATAGTTTGGGTTTTTTTGTTATTAAGCTATAGGAGTTCTTTACGTAGTCTGGATATTAACCCCTTATCATATATATAATTTTGCAAATATTTTCTTCCTCTGCAGGTTCACTGTGTTGTGTCCTTTGATGCCTGGAAGTTTTTATTTTGATGTAGTTCAAAATTTTTCTTTTGTTGCCTGTGCTTTTGGTGTCATATCCATGAGATGATTGCCAAATCTAGTGTCATGAAGTTTTTTCACTATGTTTTCTTCTAAGAGTTTTTTAGTTTGAGCTCTTACATTTATGTCTTTGATCCATTTGGAGTAAATTTTTGTATATGGTGTAAGATAAAGGGTCCAAGTTCATTCTTTTGCATGTGGCAATCCAATTTTCACAGCACCATTTGTTGAAAATACTGTCCTTTCCTCATTGAGTGGTCAGAAAGTCATTTTGTGGATGAGATAAAATAATGTACGTGAAACACCCAACACCACACCTACAGTGGCTTGATAACCAATGGTCCTTTCTTTCTCCCCCTTATCTGAAATGTAGTTTTTAACTACTGCAATTGATTTTTAATAATCCCAATAGCAAATACCTGTATAGTACTGACTGTGTGCTAGGCTCTGTTCTAAGTGTTTCATGTATATCAACCCATTTAATTTTCATAACAAATATATCAGGTAAGTGCTGTTGTTTTCACTAGCTTTGGCACCTAGAAGTTAAGTAATTTACCCAAGACCACACAACTAGTAAGTAGTGGAGCCTGTATTTGAACCTAGGTAGTTTGGCTCCAGACTCTACGGGTTCATAAACCTAATATCCTCATGTTTGGGGTGATTTTTGATGGCTTAGGCCTGTCATAAGCTTTTCAGTCTAGAGTTTGGTGAATGAAGAACCTCGTTATAACATCAGCCCTCAGGCCAGGACCTTTCCCGGGTGTTCTCTTGTGATAATAGCACTCCTAGAATGGCTCTGTTGGCTCAGCCCATCTGCTTGGGAGAAGAATGTGGTGGTTCTGGTCTCTTCCCATTTCCTGCCAAGGCCCACTTATTCCAGGAGAAATGTAAACCCATTTTCTCTCTGATTTCACAGAAAAGGCAACAGATGGCTCCCTGCAAAGTGAGGATTGGACGTTGAATATGGAGATCTGTGACATCATCAATGAGACGGAGGAAGGGTACGTGTGCCCCCCTCTCCTGGGAAGCCTCTCTGAGCTTTTAGGGGCCACTCAAAGCTTGTCAGGGCCTAAGGGTGGCAGGTTTTATTTTTTGTTTTGTTCCTAGTATGTTTGGTTTGGCATCGAATAAGCTGACACTCTGAATTATCTGTCCTTTTTGTCTTCATCCCTCCCCCACTTGCCCAATGGCAGTGCTTGGAGGTAGAACAGGGATGACCTCCTTTAATCACCTGCTTTTAATCACAAGTGGAAATGAAGCTGCTTGATTACTTGGTTCCCAGTGGCCATTAGTCTCTGCAGCCCAAGTGTCACCTCGTCCCTCCCCTCCTCCCTGGCCTCTGCCTCTCCTTCACAGCCTGTCTCTGCCCTGGTTTGCCAGGAGTCAGAGAGCACCACCGTGTCCATGGAGGGAGGTCCAGGGCATGGGGCAGACACGGCCGGGAGTGGGAAAGCGGCATGAGTGGACTTAGAACACGTTGCCCCTCCTGCATTCCTGCACTGCTGGATCCGTTCCTGTTGTTATTTCCTGAATCCTCTTTTGTTTTACAGCTGCACTCTATTTGTACTTCTTCCAAACTGGTCTGTATTTAGCCCTCTGTCCATACCACTAACACTTACTTTACTGTAGCCATGCCCTCTTAAACCATTTTCAGGAGTGGCAAGGAGAGCAGCTGGGACTCAGGCATCCCTGGGCTGGCATCTCAGCACTGTCACTCTAGCCTTGCCATGTGTGAACTGGGGACCAGCCTCTCAAGCTTGGTCCTGCTTTCATGCAACAAATATTTCTCGAATGACTACCTTGTGCCAGGCCCTATTGTAAATACTGAGGACACAGCAGTGAACAAGATAGATTCCTTCCCCTTGGGGAGCGGCCAGTCTAGAGTAGTAGGGAGGCAGGCCATAAACAAGATAATTAAACATATAACCTGGTCAGATGAGGACAAGACTGTGGAAGGGAGATGGGGAGAGAGGAGGCTGGGAATTAGCAATGTTAAATAGAGTGATCAAGAAAAGTCTTGGCTGGGCTCGGTGGGTCACATCTGTAATCCTAGCACCTTGGGAGGCCAAGGTGGGCCAGTTGCTTGAGCCCAGGAATTCGAGACCAGCCTGGGCAACACGGTTGAATCTTGTCTTTACAAAAAATACAAAAGTTAGCCAGGCGTGGTGGTGCACACCTGTAGTCCCAACTACTTGGGAGGCTGAGGTGGGAGGATCACTTGAGCCCAGGAGGTCGAGGCTGCAGTGAGCCATGAGCATGCCACTGTACTCCAGTTTTGGTGACAGAGAAAAACCCTGTCTCAAAAAAAAAAAAAATGAAAAGAGAAGACAAAACAACAGAAAAGTCTCATTTAGAAGGTGACATTGAACAAAGACTTGAAGGAGATGAGGGAGTAGGGGGTGAGGATTATACAAGGGAAGAACTGTCAAGGCTCATGGAACAGCAAACCCAGAAGTCCTGGGACAGAGGGTGTCTGATGTGTTTGAGGAATAGCAAGGTGGCTAATGGGCCCGGAGCAGAGTGGTCAAAGAAGAGAGTACCTGGAGAGGAAGTTACCGACATACTGGGGACCCAGATAACACAGGGCCATGTAGAACCAGAGCAACTCTGGCTTCAACCTTTTTGGAGATTCAAGCAGAGGAGTGGTGTGGTCCCACTCTTATTGGAAAGAGATCACTCAGTCTACTGTGTTCAGAGTGGCCTGACTGGGGGCAGGCCAAGGACAATGCAGAAAACCCAGCGATGGCCTGGCATAGTGGCGTGCACCTGCAATCCCAGCACTGTACGAGGCTGAGGCAGGAAGATTGCTTACGCCTAGGAGTTCGAGGCTGTGATGAACCAGGACGGTGTCACTGCATTCTAGCCTGGGCGACAGAGTAAGACCCTGTCTCTAAAAAGAAAAAAGAAGAAAGAAAACCCAGTGAGGAGGTTATCACAGTAATACTGGTGTGAGATGATGATTAGAAGTGATGGGATTCTGAATGTGTTAGATGGTAGAGCCAATGGAATTGGCTGACATAAGACAGGAATGAAGAGTTAAGGGAAATTGCAAGGTTTGGGGCCTGAACAACCATGGGATGGAGCTGCTGTTTCCTGAGGTGGAGCAGGCTGGGGAGCAGAGATCAGCAGTAGATCTTTGCTGCCAGCCAGGCTCCTGGAAGATGTGACAGGGAACTGCACAGGGAACTTGAGTTGGGGGCAGTGGCCTGCACTGGATGAAAACGTGGGAGTCTTTGGTGAAAGGTGGCATATTTTCACCAGCTAAATATAGGTGATCAGCTTGGTGCCTGGTACACAGACGTGACTCACAAATAGTTGTTAGGGACTACACATCTCTAATCCCATCGTCACTGGGCTCCGAGTGGCTACCTTCCTCACGTCCTCCTAACATGCCACTCATTCACTTGTTTGTCCAGTCATCTGGCCATGTTTACTGACCCCCAGGGGTGGAGGTATAGCAGCTACGGGATGCCAAGGTGAATGTTCCAGCCTGCCCTTGAACGCTCACCTGGCAGGACTGGCAAGGGCTGTGGCCAAGGCCTGTCCCTGATGCCATGGTCCCAGAGGGAAAGGTGGGTATCAATGCTTCCTGGAGGGGCTGTCTTCCAGGATGGCAGGAGAAATGTGTCCCGTAGCCAAGGGTGGCATCAAAAGGGCCAGTGTGTCAAGGGATACAAGCTGTCTAGGATAGACAGGGTGACATTGGGGGAGCGGGAGGGTCTGGAATCCGGCTGGAAAGGTAGTCAAGGTCAGGTGCTGCATTCTCTGGTGTCTGCACTTTACCCTAGAGGTGGACCTCTGCTTCGACCCCTTCCCTCCTACCCCTTCCTGCTGCACAACGACCAAGTTGCTCCCTTGCTAACAAGCCTTCAGGGGTTTCGCAGGCACTTAGGTTAAAAACCCCAACCAGGCCCCTCATGAGGAGCCCCAGACCCCTCGGCAGCTCCACTTTGAGCTCTTCAACCCTGCTGATCTTTCAGCTCCTTGAATTTTCCATATTCCTGGGCCCAGCTTGAAATTCTCTACAGATTTGAGCAATATACAAATATGTTGGCAACTCTTATTTTCCAGTGAATTGCTCAAATATCTCTATGGCTTGAGGGCAGGAAGCCCAGGAACCCCAGGAGCTTCCTTATTCTGAAGGGGCCAATGCCTTCTTTTTCAAATCCTCAATTCCCAGAAGGCTGGTCACACACATCTTTCTCTTCAAGTGGCTAAAGCTCCTGTTGCTACCTTTTTGAGTGAGAGCACCTCAGTGATTCCTGAGAATGTTTTCTTGTTGCCTCTGCTGTGAGGTGTCTCAAAATCTCTTCCTAGCAAGGTGCAGTGGCTCATGCCTGTAGTCCCACCTATTCAGAAGGCTGAGGCAGGAGGATTGCTTGAGCCTAGGTGTTTGAGACCAGCCTAGGAAATGTAGTGAGACCCCATATCTTAAAAATAATAATAATAATAATAATCTCTTCCTGAGTGAAAGAAACTCCCACAAGTTGGACTGACAGTAGGGCACCCCACCCACCCCTTTGTGCCCTCCCTGAAGGCCTCTGACCTGCTGTCCCTTCTGTTCTCGTCACCTCTTTCACTAAGTAGATCCCGTCATTCACTGGATCTCTCAGTTTGAATCTCATTTCCCTAACCCCTTCCCCTCCTGATTTGGACAAGTCCTCTGTTATATGATTTCATAACCCGTGTTGTACTGATGCTCATCACAGTTTAAACTTACAGATCTGTGGGACGGTTGTTAGTGTCTGTCTTGCCCTGCAACCCCCGCAAGGCTGTGATCTCCATGAGGACAGGATTTCCATCTGTTTTACCCAACATTTTTTTTTTTTTTTTTTGAGATGGAGTCTCGCTCTGTCGCCCAGGCTGGAGTGCAGTGGCGCGATCTCGGCTCACTGCAAGCTCCGCCTCCCGGGTTCATGCCATTCTCCTGCCTCAGCCTCCTGAGTAGCTGGGACTACAGGCGCCCGCCACCACGCCCAGCTAATTTTTTTTGTATTTTTAGTAGAGACGGAGTTTCACCATGGTCTCGATCCCCTTACCTCGTGATCCGCCCGCCTCAGCCTCCCAAAGTGCTGGGATTACAGGCGTGAGCCACCGCGCCCAGCCAATTACTCAACATTTTGTCCCTAGCACCTAGCACAATGCATTTGATTAGCTGTTAATAAATATTTGTTAAATAAGTGAATAAATGAATGAAGTCTCTAAGGTACTCACAGTCTGATGAGGAATGCAGGCATATAAACATATGCATAACGAGTGCTGGGTGGGGGGCAGGGAGAGAGAGAGAAGCTATATATAGCTACGGAGACTAGTGCAGTGGCAGTGGTCAGCCTTGGGACTTTTGGCAGCAAAGCCTTCTTGGAGGAAGTGACACCAGACTGGAGTCTTACAGAGTGCCAGGGTATCAGCCAGATGAGGCAGGTGGATGAAGGGGAGGAAGGTGGACACCACAGGCTGGAGCAATTCTAGGTCACCACTCGCTTATTGTGCGAGCCTGTGTGAGTTACTTCATCTCCCTGTGTCTGTGTCCCATTTCCTCACTTATAAAATGGGGTTGCCAATAATACCTATCTCATAGGGTTGTTACAAGGATTAAAGGAGTAAATATATATGATGTATCTGGCTACATAACTGTATCTTCATATCCATACTATATCTATGTGGATGTACTATTTCACTTTAAAGATTTCCATTGCCCATGACTTTTGTCATCACTTTCATTTGGGTGTCAGTTATCTGCCCAGTCTTGGTGACTATCTTGGTGGATTCACTGCCCTTACCCTGTCTGCTGTCTGTGAGCACTTGGCATGTGCCACGCCCTGCAGGCCCTGTGTCCAGCCCTGCAGTGCATCATCACAAGCAGCGCCCCCTACCCCCAACAGTTCTATATGGTAGTGACAGCCTGTTTCAGTGTTAAGGAAACTGAGGCTGAGTAGTTTGGTCACTTGCCAAAGGCCTTGCAGCACAGCTTGGAAGGGCACATGCAGGATGCAAGCACAGGCTCACCTGGCCGCAGCCACTGAAGTGCTGCCTGCACTTCTTGTATTTGTGCAATACTTTACCAATGGGAGGCTGTGGTCCTGGTGGGTGCAGATTGGTAAACTGCCCGAAAGGCCTCTCCTTGGGCTTTCCCTAATGTCCAGAGCTGAGGTCACCATCAGCCTGAGGAATGCTGATGCCTAAGGCCTTGATGACAGTCCTTCAGGCATTAACCAGGAGTGGCTGACTGAATAACCTACCTGGGACTGTTTTTATTTATTTATTTATTTTTGAGGTGGAGTTTTGCTCTTGTCGCCCAGGCTGGAGTGCAATGGTGTGATCTCAGCTCACCACAACCACCGCCTCCCAGGCTCAAGCAATTCTCCTGCCTCAGCCTCCTGAGTAGCTGGGATTATAGGTGTGTACCACCACGCCCGGCTAATTTTGTATTTTTAGTAGAGACAGGGTTTCACCATGTTGGCCAGGCTGGTCTTGAACTCCTGACCTCCCACCTGCCTTGGGCTTCTAAAGTGCTGGGATTACAGGCGTGAGCCAGAGCACCCAGCTGGGACTGTTTTAGACTCTGTTTTCCAGGCCTCACCTCAGACCTACACAATCAAGGCACAGCTTGTGGATTTGGGAATGGCACTACAGGTGACTCTGATGTGCAGCTCTCATGAGGAACCCCTGACCTGGGTCATTTACATGGCCATCTCTGGACCCTCCTCAGCTCATAGAATCTTTGTGTTCTATCTTCTAAGCTGGAGAGGGCACAGAGGAGGAACTGAAGACATGCAATAGAGCAAGATAATAATGGGGAGGGCATGTTCAGGGTGACAGAAGAGGGGCAGCCATGTCCTCCTTGGGGGTGATGAGGAGAAAGCTTTTCCAGAGAGTAGTCCTGAAGCTGAAGGACAAAGATACAAAGGCTGTGGCTGGAGGGATGACAGGAGGCTTGTTTGGGGATCAGGGAAGAGTTCTTATAAGTCTAGGGTCCAGGGAGACTTTGAGGAGCCTGATCATGGCCCAGAGGCCAAATCACGAGGCTGTGAGCACTGCCTGAGGAGCCTGACCTTTCCCCTGAAAGCTGCTAGGGCTTGATGCCATCTCAACACAGGCCACTGATTCTTCCTGATCCTTTCTTTCTGCTCCATCTTGGCTCTTGACACATGCTTCTGTCTCTTCTCCTGGTTTCCAACTCCACACTATCTAATCTGCTGCAGCTTCTTGAAACTTTGTGTTTCCTTTGACATGACTTTGATCCTCCTCTCTGAAGCTTTTCCCCCGGGGAGAGAGATAAATACTTGCTTTTGTGCTCACCCATCACTCTCGGCCAGTACTTCCCAGAGCCTATGGATGAATTTTCATTTTAAACCTCATCCAGGAAGCTGCTGACTGTCTGATTTCCCACCCCGTGGCCCCCACACCAGGAGAGCCCTGAGTGTGCTGGTCCTCTGCCAGCCAGAAATGATTGCAGCCCTCAGGCGCTCTTCCTATTTTCCTGTTCCATGGAAGTTCAAGAGGACAGAAGAGAGGACTGAGGGGTGTGGCAGCTGTGGGTCAGGGACAGCAGTGGTTTGGCAGAGCCTTGGAGAGAGGAAATCAGTCCATGCTGTTGGCCAGTAGCCACTGAATTTCATCAGCTCTCATGCCACAAACAGCCTTCAAAGCAGAGAGCCGGTTAAGTCCCATATTTGCAGAAATCAGCATCCCCTTTTGGAAATGGCAGCCGTACTGCAGACATACTTGGCCTTGGGCCCAGTCCCCATGGAGCCTTGTGTCTGTCTCATCAGCCCTTTGACCCAGGGGCCAAGAATTCCTACAGGGCAGCCATATGTCAAGCTGGGAATGGGAAACAGGTGATTCAGGGTGTTTTAAAATTTTCTTCTAGTAGCCTTGCTCCTTAAACTTTTTTTCTTTCTTTCTCTCTTTTTTTTTTTTTTTTTTGAGATGGAGTCTTACTCTGTCACCCAGGCTGGAGTGCAGTGGCATAATCTCAGCTCACTGCAACCTTCACATCTCAGGTTCAAGCAATTCTCTTGCCTCAGCCTCCAGAGTACCTGGGACTACAGGCACACATCACCATGCCCAGCTAATTTTTTTGTATTTTTAGTAGAGACAGGGTTTCACCATGTTGGCCAGGCTGGTCTTGAACTCCTGACCTCAAGTGATCCACCCATCTCGGCCTCCCAAAGTCCTGGGATTACAGGAATGAGCCATAATGCTGGACACACTTTCTCTTTTTTATTTTTATGGAGATGAAGTTTCACTCTTGTCGCCCAGGCTGGAGTACAATGGCGTGATCTCAGCTCACTGCAACCTCCGTCTCCCAGGTTCAAGCGATTCTCCTGCCTCAGCCTCCCGAGCAGCTAGGATTACAGGCAGCTGCCACCACACCCAGCTAATTTTTGTATATTTCAGTAAAGACGGGGTTTCACCATGTTGGCCAGGCTGGTCTCAAACTCCTGTCCTCAGGTTATCCACCTGCCTTGGTCTCCCAAAGTGCTGGGATTACAGACTGTGAGCCACCATGCCCGGCCCAGTTTCTCTTAAATTAAGCTGATTAGCAGAGCATCAACCCTTTCCCCTCCTCAACTTCCTCATACACATTTGAAGGGGCCTTTTCATTTGGTAGAGTATAAATGTTTTAAAACTGTAGGAATAGGAGATCCCTGACTTAACAAACGTGCAAGCTGGGAAAGACCAGTATATTGACACATAGATTAGTGGAAGGCTGGAACCCATGTGTGATTGCAAAGCGCTGGCCCACAGCCGGACTGAGGGCTCCCCAGAGCATAGGGTGATGGGTCAGGTCAGCACAGGGGCTTTGTGCCAGGGGCAGCTGCTAGGCCCACAGCTTTGTTGAATCCTGAGTTAGAATAAATTAAATTACATGTTAGACACAAGACCTACATGTAATATGTATACTTAGAGGGCTGCCTGGGAATCCTGACTCTAAGGTATAAGAGTAATTAAGGAAGAACTCACTCCAACTTCCAAACAGCTCCACTCCAACTTTTGGACAGAGCCCATTTGTGAACTGAGTACTGTCTATAATTCTGCAAGATTTTATCTGGGAATCCACCTCAGATCTGTCACCTAAAAACACAAAACTTGTTGGGTTTTAAGGAGACTCACTTAAGCTTTCTCTGGGAAAAGGAGTTCCATGGAATTCAGGAAGAGCCGGGCATCCAGGGCTCACAAGGACCTGGCACGCTCTCTTCTGTGTCTCTCATATGGTTTCTCTGGAAAAACTCTCTTCTATGTACCCACACACCAGTGGGTTAGTTAGGGTTTTGAATAAATAATACTTGCATGTGATACAGAATTCAAGAGGTCTGCAAAAAGGCAGTCCAGTGAAAAACCTCCCTCCGCCTTTGGTTCCCTTCCTTAGGGGCAGCCACAGTTACCAGGTTGTTATAGCTCTTTCTAGAGAGTCTCTTCCCTACGCTGGCACCTGTGCTATGTATGTTTGCTTTCCTTCTATAACTCAACTAATAGCAAGCTTTGTACACTGTTATGCAAAGAACTTTATGCACATGTCTTTGAGTTTGGTGTATATTGGTGCATGAGTTTCTTTATTCTTTTTTGCAGCTGCATAGTATTCCATTGTGTCAATGATTTAATTTAACCTGTTGTGTATTGATGGACATTCAGTTTGTTCCCAGTCTTTTACATTTACAAACATGCTGCAGCCAGCAAATAGTCTTGCATATATACTAGTTCACATATCTGTAGGATCGTGTCCTCAAGTGGGATTGTAAGTATCTTTATATGTCTGTTCTTTTTTCCAGGCCAAAGGATGCCATTCGAGCCCTGAAGAAGCGGCTCAACGGGAACCGGAACTACAGAGAGGTGATGCTGGCATTAACAGTGAGTGCTATTCTCCTTGAGGAGAGAAGTCATCTGGGGAACTCCTTGCTCCTGGCCTTGCCCCCCTCACAGGGCCTTCCCTCTGCCCACTTAGCACAACCTCTGAATGGCTTGGTGCCTGGGCCACTGGAGTCCAGCAAAGCCTTCTGGTATTGCCTTTGGGTTTTCCTGTCCTCTGAAACAGGGAGTGGTGAGCTTCAATTTGGTAAATGTATACGAGCAGAAGATAAGGTGTGTGCAGTGCTGTCAGGTACAGAAGCCCAGAGCAGAGGAGCTAAAGGTTTTGGGTGGGTCCCTTTTCTGTCACCAGCCTGCTCTGAGACTGAGACCAACTCCTTCTCTAGATATCAGTTTCCTCTTTGTAAAAATGTTGGCCAGGCGCGGTGACTCACACCTGTAATCCCAGCACTTTGGGAGGCTGAAGCGGGAGGATCTCAAGGTCAGGAGTTCAAGACCAGCCTGGCCAACATAGTGAAACCCAGTCTCTACTAAAAATACAAAAATTAGCCAGGCATGGTGGCAGGTGCCTGTAGTCCCAGCTACTCAGGAGGCTGAGGCAGGAGAATTGCTTGAACCCGGGAGGTGGAGGTTGCCGTGAGCTGAGATCGCACCACTGCACTCCAGCTTGGGCAACAGAGTGAGACTTCGTCTCAAAAAAAAAAAAAAAAAAAAAGTTAACTTCCACCTATTGAGTACCTGCCCCTGCCTGGGACTGTGCTGAACTTTTTGGACATTAATGAATATGTTTACAACCACCCTCCAAAAGAGATTTTACTATCCTCCCCCGTACAGATGATGAAACTGAGGCTCAGAGAGGTCTGGAGGTTTACCCAGCCTTCACAGCTAGTGAGGTGTACTGAGCTGTGGATTGCCATCATAAAGTGGTCTTTTGCATGGGGTAAAAACTGAAAATAGCTACAAAGACTCTTGAAAAAGTCAGCCAAGTGATTTTTTTCAGGAAGGAACAGACCAGATTTTTGCCCTTACCAAAGCTGTCAGAGAATTTAAAAAGACGACTTCAGGTGTTATTTCTGTCTTGAGAACTAACAGTTTTTCAGATGTGGCAAAATCTGGGCCACAGTGAGTTCTTAAAATAGAAACTGTAACAGGTCACCAGGTCAACTTCTCTGGGGCTTTGAAATAGTAGGTTATTTATCCAAAACAACCATGTTTCCTTTTAAAGCAGAGAACCTGTTTGGATTTTTTGCCCAAGCGAAACCCCAAAACTTATTAAGAGAGTTCTGCCAGGGAATTGGGATTTGAATAATAAAGGAGAAAAGACTGGTTGAGAAATAGGGAGTTGAAGCTTTTATTTTATTTTTTCTCAGAATTTGAGCCACAGCATTCACTAAACCAGGAGTGATGCCCAAAACGAGTGGCTTTCAATAACTCATATCACGAGGGAATGAGCTCTAATATATCAGGGAATTTTACTGCTATCTAAAACATCTCCATTTACACACCCAACTTCATGGTAATCGTGTTGGATGGAAATCTTTCTAAAGTGAACTCTGCGTTTACTTGCCTTCCTCTAGCAGGGCATGATGGACACTGTTTGACCTTTCCTTGGGTTAGGTCTTCACTACAAACCCAGCCATGCCTTTGGGAGGCCTGTGAAATGCGCAGGGCTGCCGTCCCTACACTGAGGCCCCATCCTAGCGCGCTTTGCATGGTCTCACGTCTGCTGATAGGGCTTCACTTACTCTCTTAGTCACTTTCAGTCCTCCTGTTTCCTGTGGCCCTCTCCGGACTTCATATCTGTACCCACCAAAATTGTTAATATTTACCCAAAATAAGTTAGTAAGAAGCCCTGAGGGGCTCTCTGCTTGTGTCTTCATTTGTGGACTTAAACATCACTTCTGATTGCTTAGAGGCCCCGTTTACTTTCTCCATGGCTTTTGGCTTCATTCTGGAAAATTACCACTGTATGTTTCATGCCTTTCAACCTATAGGGACAAAACTGCCAGGGTCCTGTTTGGCAGGGTGGCCTAAAGCGGCTCTTGCCAGCCCAGGGAGGACCTCCTAGATCTCCTGCTCAGATAGGCTTTGGGGCTGCTCTGTGGCACATGCATCTCTGTCCAGGGCACTTCCAAGACCAGGCTGGGACACACTGACCTTGAGGACTGCTGTGCAGGAGAAACTAAGCATGTATTCCCTAATGGCGGGCAGTGGTTCCTGCCACTGTTGCTCTGAGAGTGGAGTGGAGCCCCAGGCTGCTCTACTCCTCAGACCTATGCCTGTTTTTCCAATTCTCTTCCCCACTCATAATTGCAGCCTCACCTTTCCCACCTGCTTCTCACAAAATAAAGCATACTTCTTGCCATCTGCCTTGACCCCAACACCCCACTGCCTGAGTTGGGAGGAAGGTTTTAGAGAATCCTAGAGAGAAGGGTGCCTGTAAGGCCCTTGAGAACAGAAAGAACCCCTCTGGTTCATTTCAGTGCCCCCATGGATCACTACAAGAGAGTGAATGCCAATTACCTCACGGTTACCAGAATCAGGCACAAGCAGAGACTCAGAAAGGAAAATGCCTCCTTGGCTTAGTAAAACCTGTGGTCACTCAGAGGCCCTGAGGGTGCTAACCTCCAGAATCTTCCTTGGCAAGCCCAGAGGAACCCGGGGCCTCCTAAGGTGCAGCCAGCAGCAAGGCAAGGAACGATTCTGGCTGGCTGCGGAGCTGCCTGGCATGGGGAGTCCCAGCTTTGGCCTCCTAGGTTAAGTTACATGGTACCTCTGATCCTCAGCTTCCTCATCTCTAAAATGGGATGATTCCCATCTTACAGGGTTATTTCAAGGACCAAAGGGGGGAACAATAAATCTAACACATGTTGCCTGTCATCTGAGGCACTCTTAGCTGATGTGGCTGCTTGGAGGAGAGCTGTGAGGGAGGGATGGCCCTGTGGCCTCAAGGTGGGCGAGGAGACTGGGGCTCCAGAGAAGGCTAATCACAGCTCTTGTGCTCCTTCTGGCACTGACTGACAATTTGTACCTAGATCAATGTCTTCACCTTTCTAAACCTCTTAACTCTAAAACATGGGATATTAAGGTCCACTTAAGGAGAAGTAATTAGTTGTGAGAATTGGATAAAACTCCATATGTTATGGAAGGATCTCTCATAGTGCCTGGCATATAGTCGCATTCAGTCAGTGTTCCAGTTATGGACCTTTCTTTACGGCTATGTTTTGTCCAGGTAAAGCCCACTTGCTTGGACCTAGCCCTGTGGGATGGCTGCAGAAGTTAACCAGTGGTTGGATTAGTTTGGGCAAATGAGAATAATTGAGGTAGTCAGAAATGTTCCCTGTTGCTGGTGACATCGTTTTGAGGAGGCATTCCCCAGTTAGTAGACTGTGGCACTGGGGGCTGTTGGCATGGGAAGGGCCAGGTAATCCTATGGGTTGGTTTACACAGTGCTGGGAAGTTCAGAGCACTCCCAGTTGGCACCTCCGAATTCCAAGAGGCTACATACCTGTCCTATGGGAGGATAAGAGGCCATCCCCTTCGTCGTGTGTACAGCAGCCTTCTGAACAGTAATCACGTAATCATGGTCATCAGTTATTGGGCACCTCCCCTATGCAGGATACTTTGCTATGTGCATTATTTTATGCATGCATGCATGCATGTATGTATGTATGTATGTATGTATGTATGTATGTATGTATGTTTTTGAGACAGAGTTTTGTTCTGTTGCCTGAGCTGGAGTGCAATGGCGCGATCTTAGCTCATTGCAACCTCCACCTCCCAGGTTCAAGCGATTCTCCTGCCTCAGCCTCCCAAGTAGCTGGGATTACAGGCATGTGCCACCAAGCCTGGCTAGTTTTTGTATTTGTAGTAGACGCAGGGCTTCGCCGTGTTGGCTAGGCTGGTCTTGAATTCCTGACCTCAGGTGATCCACCTGCCTCGGCCTCCCAAAGTGCTGGGATTACAGGCATGAACCACTATGCCCGGCCTATGCTTTAAACGTATTCTTGCTAATCTTTCCAACAATCTTGCAAGGGAGAGCTCATCATCTCTGCTTTACAGATGAGGATGCTGAGGCTCAGAAAGATCTGTCCTGGGCCATTCAGGGAGAAAGTGGTGGAGCTGAGGTTCAAGCTCTCACTGACCGTCTGGCCAGAACCAGTATGCTGGGCTTTTCTGAGCAGCTAAAGCCTGTGTCACTTGTTTTCCCAGACAAGGGAGGAGCAGGCAGGGTCTGAATTGAACATGGACATTAAAGTCACCTGGCAGCTGAGGTCCACAAACCATTTGTCAAGAGTGGAAAATCCTTTGTCATTGCCAATTTTGGTTGCAGAAGCAGGGTTGAGTGGGGGATGTGTGTGTGCATTTGCTTTCTCACATATAAGGGCCAGTAACTCACTAAGCAATTCAAGCTGTCATAGCAGCCTCCTCTTGTGACAGAGCCCATGTCCGATTGGCTAATGCCTTATACCCAGAGGCCCAGAGAGAGGAGTTAAAATGCTAATTTTCAGGGACCGCTCAGTCATTTTGATCCCATTAAAACACTAGCATCCTTCTCATGCAAAACTGGTGCCTCAATTACCAACTAATTGCCTGATTATTGTGCAGGGACAGGAGACTTCAGTCAGTAAGGGGCTGCTGTCATCCCTGGAGAATGGAGTGTGGGAATGCGTGTGCCATGCAGGTTTGGCTCTGGAGGAGACGTGTCAGAAAGCTGATCTAGGAGCAAGACAGAGGGGATGGTGGAAACTCAGCTGCGCTCCTCAGTTCCCAGTGTCTTCTCCAGCTCCCACTGGGGTGACCCTTTTCCTTCCCTCCCCACATCAGGTGCTGGAGACATGTGTGAAGAACTGTGGCCACCGCTTCCACATCCTTGTGGCCAACCGAGATTTCATCGACAGTGTTCTGGTCAAAATTATATCTCCCAAGAACAACCCTCCCACCATTGTACAGGACAAAGTGCTTGCTCTGATCCAGGTAGGTTGGACCCCTTGCCCAATTTGTTGGAACAGAGTAAGATGAAGTCTCTTATTGATGAGTCCTCATGCTCTCCCACCATTTGGAGGAAAAAAAAAATGGAGACTTCTACATTTAAAATATTTGGTGCAAAATACTTCAAAAAAAATTCTCATCCCACTGGAATGAAATTCTAATTGATGGCTCTCCAGCCAGTTAACAGAGCCTTCCTGAAGCTTTCTGGGTGCCATCCCTCTGCTGCTCACAAAGGCAGGTAGGGTGGCCTCAACAGGCCTCTGAGAAAACTTGGAGTAGGAAGAACCATGTTAGAGCTACGTGCGGGTTTGGTGAGGTCACAGGGCAGGGGCCAACTCTGGGTCAGGCGGAGCAAGGTAAGGGGCTGGGGATGGTGTTAAGGGATGTTTCACTGAGGAGATGACATTTCCATTGGACCCTGAAGAATGATGGGGAGTTTGGTGGAAAAGTCAGTGGGAGAGACTTCACAGGCAGGGAGAATAGCATGTGCAAAGGCCCAGACGCATCAAAGAGAGCAGTTGGCATATTTGGGTTGTATTTGTTATCACTCACTGTGTTACAAATTACCTCAAAACATACCTTCAAACGGAAAATGTTCATTATCTCTTAGTTTCTGTGGGCCAGGAATTCAGGAGCAGGTGGCTGGGCAATTCTGGCTTGGAGTCTCTCTTGAGGTTGCATTGTCTGAAGGCTCGACTATAGCTGGAGGCTCCACTTCCACCATGGTGCACCCACATGGCTGTTGGCAGGAAGCCTCAGTTCCTTGATGACTATTGGCAAGAGACCTGAGTTTATCACCATGTGGACATCAAGATTAGGTCTTGATGACCTAGCCTTGGAAGTCACATACCATTTTTTTCTGTTATATTCTATTTGTTAGAAGGGAGTCACCAGGCCTAGCCTCAAGAGTAGGGGAAATAAACTCCATCTCTTGAAGAAAGGAGGATCAAATAATTTGTGGACATGTTGTAGAGACCACTATGTGGGGAAGGGGGTGTAATGAAGAATGTTGGGGGCAGGGCTTGGGGTGGGGGAGCAGGCAGGAGATGGGACCAGAAGGATGCCCAGAGGCCAGTGGCCATGCATGCTGAGGAGGCATGCTTGGTCCTGTAGGCAGTGGGAAGACATCGAAGGGCTCTGAGCTGGGATGTGTGCAGACCTGGGTTTTAGACAGAGCACGTGGTGACACAGAAGGCACATAAGTCAACAGGCACATCCAGCCTGGGTGATTAGTGCTGTGGCAGAGGCAAGACAAGGGCCTGCAGGAGCCAAGAGGAGAGACAAACCTAGGGCTGGGCGTGGGGCTCCAGCAAGGGCAAAGGGAGGCAACCAGGCAGAGGCAGCGGAGAATGCAGGAAGTGGAGTGCCGGGGCAGGCCGGGCTCTCAGATGGGTCAGGTGTGCAGCTGGAGAGGAGCCTCTGTCCATTCCCTGTGCTCACTTCCCTCTGCCTGAAAGGTCTTTCCCCAGCTTTCAGAGCAGTGACTCCTCCTCCTCATTCACAGGTGCCTCGGAGGCCTCCAGCTGGTTTTAAGCACACACACTCTCTGTCTCACATCATCCTTTTTTGTGGTCTTCAAGACTGGCTTTGCTAACATTTCTTTTGTCTGCCTCATTCTTCGTTCCCTAAGAACCCAGGGACATGCTGTCCCCAGGGTCTAGAGCAGTGTAATGTGTAGAGCGGGTGTTCAGTATTTCTTTATAATGAATGAGTGAATGTAGTTAATTCTGAGGAACTCTGGGAGGCCTTCCCCTGTTTACCCTAGGGTTGTCCCTCGTCCCTGTTCTGCCCACCCAATATCCTTCTGTCTCTCTGTCTCCCTCTGACACACACACACACACACACACACACACACACACACGTGTGCATGCACTTTACCTTCCTCATACACCCCACTCTACCACAGCCCTTCCTTCTGGGGCTGCACTCCCCTACCTCAATACCCCCAGGAATTCATGTTAGGAAAACAAATGGTGGCTTCTTCTCACAAAGCATGTCCTGTGGTAGAGCTTTCTGACCCCGAGGCCTGTCTGCAGGGTGGCGGGCCCAGCAGGGTGGCTAGCCTACCGCATGGCAAGCACAGTTATCACAAGGGGTGTGAACTGCACTGTCCCTGCTGACTGTGTGGGGACCATGGCTGAGGGCAGACACAGCCTTCTTCACTGGCTGTGGCCCACACCTCTACCCTGAGGATGCCTGTCCCCGCACACCCTGCCCTCACCTCCAAGCTTTCCTATCAGGATCACCCCTCCACACTTTCCAGCTCCTCCTAGCTTTTACCCAGTCCTGCTGCTAACCTCAGACAGGTGTACTAATTTATTGTGGGCATGTACCACCTTATCTGTAAAATGGAACTTGGGGTTCTTGCCTGTCTGCTCTCAATCCTGAGCCCATGAGATCAGCCCAAGGTGTGAAGTGGCCAGCACCATGTTCTGAGGCCTCCCCCTGCTGGTCTGGCAGTAGCAGTGTGTGCTGGCCATGGGGACCTGAGCAGAACAGGGCCTTGAGATGCCTCACAAGCTTCTGCCTGGCTGGACAGTTTCCTGGTCCAGCTGTGAAAAGCATGGGCTTCAGATAAGGGTGCTACTCCTAGATGGGGGTTGATAACCCAGCTGGAGAGTGTTCTTCCTCTCCAGATTTGCAGTGTTCCTGAAGAGCTCTTACCTTTGGTAACGGCTGCCCAGCAGAGGACAGCAGGCAGCATTCAGCTGTGGGTGGCTTGGCTTCTGTAACAGGGTGAACCAATGGAATAAACAGGATCCCTAGCCCTTTCTTTTTTTTAAACTTTTAATTGAATTATAATATATATACAGGAAATCACACATAAAAGTGTATACAACTTGATAAATTTTCACAAACTGAACATGTAACCAGCCCCTGCATCTAGAAACAGAATATGACCACACCCAAAACCTCCCACCTTCCGGATGACCACTTGCCTGAGCTCTCACAGCATAGACGAGTCTTCTCTGTTCCTGAACTTCATCCAGAGTGCTCTGTTGCCTCTGCTGTGTTTGTGGGTGTCACACGCATTGTTGCCTGTGATTCTAGGTCTTTCGTTGCCATTGCTGTGCCAAGTCCTGTTGTGTGAACACACTACAGTTTATTTACCCCTCCCACTGTTGATGGGGACTTGGTGTTTGCAGTTTGGGGGTACTGTGAAAAATGCTGCTATGAGCATCTAGCACTTGACTTTTCTTGAGCATATATATATTCCTTTTTAATGGGAATATATTAAGTTGAATATGTGAAAGTGCCATCTTTGTTGGTCAAAAATGGCCAAATATTAGCAATTTCATATGTATCCACCTCATACCGGGGTGTGAGGTTGCTGTGTGGTGGGGAATGGGCTCCACTGGGCTCTTGGGTGTTCTCAGCCACCAGCACCCAAGAATGTTAGTTGCTTCGCATCCTCACCCACACACCCTGTTTTCAATCTTCTTCATTAGAGCATGGAGTAGCATTGCATTGGGTCAACCTTTTTTTAGCCCCTTTGAGAAAGAAAGTACTTTTATTTGCATGTTGAATATACTTTAGAAAACTTAAGACTCCCCCAGAGACTCTGACAATTCCCCCAGGAGAGAAAGTGCTGCTCCCACCATGAGACAAGAATGGGGTTGGAGGTGACAGGTCACTGGCTGCCTTGCCAGCCTGTGAGTTGGTAGCAGCTCTCATATCAATGCGGCTAGGCTGAGAGGAGGTTCAGCTAAGTGTGGGGTGCCAGAGCGGTAACAGACTTCTCTGCACCATCGTGGTATCAGGATGCTTCTTGGTGCTCTTCAGAGAAGTGGGACAGGGTCAGTCCTGGCCCTACCCTCAGGGAGCCTGCAGTTTAACTGGAGAAGCAAAGGTTTGCAGATGACAGAGGGTGAGGGCCCAGCCAGGAAGGACTTAAACTGGCTTTTGACTGTTTGTGGCTTGGGGGTGGAGTGGGGTACAGCCTTAACCTTTCCATTATGGAAAAGTAGATCGAATGTGTTAGCACTTGAAAAGCTTTCAAGGTAAAGGGGCCACACAGACGTGCCTCCCTAACACCTCCTGCCTGTGAGGCATGGTTGGGGGTCCTGGCAGAGGTAGAACCCATGGCTCTGATTACCAGCTGCTGGCCAAAGCCCACTGCCCCTTTGGTTGCCCTGAGGATGGTGGAAGCAGAGCTGCAGCCAGATTGAGGGGAAGGGGGAGGTTGGGCTCCACACTAGCTTTTCCAAAGTCCCCCTGTGCCTATAGGGAAGTGGGTGATAGAGCTCATCCGTGCATATCTGCCTGCCCCCAGCCCACCTTCTGATTCCCTTTCAGAGTGCCATTCGCAGGCATGGTCAGCCTACCCAGTGGCACCTTTGCCATCAGTAGCACCCTGGCCAACTGCAAAGAGAATCCAGCTGATGCCTACCCCTCCTTTCCCCACTGTACTCCTTCCTTTCCCGTATGGGGGCTTTCTGTCTTCTGGCTGCCCTCCAGCCATCCGTAGCCACCCCATCCCCCTCAACCCGCCAAAAGACAGACCCAGCAGTGTGGTTCTGGTACTTTTTACCAACATGTGCGAGGGCTCAGTCGGCTTACCCGCACCACAGGATCTGCCTTTCTGGATGGAGCCGGTCTCCCTGGGAGGATGGGAGGAAAGACACATTGAGAGTGGTGCAGCCTGGTTGGTAGCTTGCTGACACTCACTTCTACCCCCAGGGGCACCAAAGACTTCCCTTCCGGCAGCTTTCAGCTTCACCCCTATGTTTTCACCTCATGCCTTGGCTGGTGTTTTGGCTTGTGTCCCTTTTTGTTTGCTTACATTAAGTCCCATTTGTTGAGAAGACAAAAAGGATGCTCCCACTCTATGCCATCCCTGAGCCTTTCCCTTGAAATTGTTTTCAGGAGCGGAAATGGAGTCATCCTGGCAGAGTCACCTCAGTGTGGTCATGCCTCTCCAGCCCCCCTCCCCATGCCCCAGCAATAGTCTAACCATATGCACTTTCCACTGAAGAAAGTGAACTGATTGGGGTGGGGATGGGAGTGGGGACAGGAGAAACTGGAGGTGTGTGTTCTTTGAAGACGTCAGAGCCTGGTAGCTGGGCTCTGGCCAGATTCTGTGTGGACAGCAGCTCCCTGGGGACCCTGTCACTGGGAATAGGAAGTCTGGTCTGGGGCATAAGCAGGAGCTGACAGAAGCTCCCTTCTATCCAAAGGCATCCCAGAGCCCATAGTTTAAATCAGCAATGGTTTATTGGTCTGAAATTTGATGATTCAAAGCTTTGTCAAAACTTTCAGGGATACAGAAATGAATAGGTTATGGTTTATGTTTGTTTCTGGTTTTATTCTGGGGTTTTGTATACGGTCCAAAGGAATGAAGGAGATCTGAATTGATCTCTTTCCTTTTTTCTCCTCATTAGACCTTCCTCTGGGTCTTCCAAGCCCCTAATCTTGTAGCCACAGGCAGGAAAAGAAGGCTTCCAGTGAACTGACCACTTGGCCATTAACCAGCTAGCTCCTGTGACAGGCCCTCAGAGTGTGCTCACACCGCTGCATCACTTTGCTTTCTGAAAAGGCAGCTTTAAGAGGGGGCAGCCTCCCCCACCCTCAGTGCTGCTCTCAGGCTTCAGGTTAAGCACTCCAAGAGTGGCCAGACCTCCTGAGGCTTGCCACATCTTCTCTAGGGAGTATTCTCAGCTGGGTCAGCCTTCCAGCACCCCTCCTTTGTCACTGTCACTTCAGTCTGTTGACAGCCTAAGTGGCCATCTTTCCTCTGTTCTCTGAAGTAGGAAAATAAGGATGCTTAGTAACTGTGAGAACTGAATTCAGTTTAACCTGATAAATGTTGACTGACTGCCTTCTCTGTACACGGGTGAGAGACTCGGTGTCTGCCTTCAAAAGGTGTCTGGGCTGGGCGCAGTTGGCTCATGTCTGTAATCCCAGCACTTTGGGAAGCCAAGGTGGGTGAATCCCTTGAGTCCAGGAGTTCAAGACCAGCCTAGGCCACATGATGAAACCCCATTTCTACAAAAAATACAAAAATTAGCCAGGTATGGTGGCACATGCTTATAGTCCCAGCTACTCTGGAGGCTAAAGTGGGAGGATTGCTTGAGCCCGGAGGCAGAGGTTGCAGTGAGCTGAGATGGCACCACCATTGTACTCCAGCCTGGGGGACAGCTCTGACCCATGCCCAATTATTGAGGCATGTCCCAAGAAGATGCTAGGGACACATGGCATCTCTGGATGTCTCCCATCTGTACGTTTTCACATATGAATGGGAGACACCCAGAGATGAGAGACACCCAGAGCTGCATTTATTCAGAGGCGCCCCTGCACCCCATTTTTTCCTCTGTTGGCATGAGAATCCTATTCAATAGAGATTGCCATCATGAATATCTGCTCTGTTAGCAGCCATCTCATCCAGTCTGCACAGAGGTCCCAGATAAGGGTTGGAATTGTGGCAGGTAGGAAGCGGGTAGATTAGCCAAGACTACTTGATCGCAAATAACAGATGCCAACTCCAGCTTGCCTAGGCAAAGAGAAGAGTTTGTCATGACAGGGCAGAGTCTCCCAGAAGTCCAGGTCACCCCGCCCTGGGAAGGGACAGAAAATATCAGGAAGGCCTTCCAAATCCTCTCCTGTACGCCTGCACCTCCGAGCACTCTAGCTGCTCCTTCTGGAGAACATAGGCTGTCTCTGCTTCCAGTCCTGTGCTGGCACATGGCCCTGGAGTTACAGAGGACAGTTCTGCCTACCCAGTGAGAACATCCCAGCTTCTAGTGCTGCTGAGTTCCTGGAAGGAGGAGCATCTGATTGGCCCAACTTGGGTGTGCATTTCCCTCCCACTCCAGTCTGTCTCTGTGAACATGGAAGCAGAGTGCCTTAGAAAGTGGACCCGAAGAAGTATCCTCCAACTGGAGAGAAGAGCCATAGTTCTTTCATCTTTATTCCTATTATCTCAAATTTGGCTTGGGTAGAGAGCTAGATGAATTGAAAGGAATCCCTGGAGCTGTTGGTACTCCATGTACAAAGGCATGAAGTGGTGCCAGGAAGAACTGCCATGTGTTTTTTCCCCAGCCTCCGACAGTGGGCTGTGAAACTGGTTTTTAGACCCTAAAGTCAACACCCTAAACTAAAATGCTAGGGCATTTTGAGGTTGGCGTCACAGGACTTAGCTGGATTTTGAACCAGGTGGAGGCAGCCAGCGCAGCTGGTGGGGGCGGGGCCAGAGGCACTCCCTACGGGCAACCTACTCTCCTCCAGCTGGGCCTTCCAGACAGTGCTCTGTGAGGCACTTTCTTTGGCCCTCCTCAGAATCCAGAAGGAGTGTTGGCCAAGAGGGGCTGTCCTGATCCAGTAGTTTTAAATCCCTGAGCATGCAAATTAAATAAGTGCATCAGGGAAAGCCGGGCTGACAGTACTGTTCCTGGTGAGATGCATCAGTCATAATTAAGGAGGCTTTTTGGAAACTGACCTTTTAACTTCAAATGGGTCTGTTGGTTAGAGACAGAGTTTCTGTGGCTGCCTCAGGATTGGTTGTACCACATTGCTGGAGTGAGGGAGACAGTTAAATTCTGTGACAATGACAGACTTGGCAATGGAGTCATGGGCACAGGAGGCTCTGCCTCCTCCTTTGGGTATGTATGGTGAATGGGACAGCATGAGAAGGGCCATTTCTGGGAAGGCCTTTGAGTATTCTGTTTTTGATACAGTCCAAGACTTCCAAAGAACAGAATTTTTTTTTTTTTTTTTTTTTTTTTGAGACGGAGTCTTGCTCTGTCGCCCATGCTGGAGTGCAGTGGCGCCATCTCAGCTCACTGCAAGCTCTGCCTCCCGGATTCACACCATTCTCCTGCCTCAGCCTCCTGAGTAGCTGGGACTACAGGCACCCGCCACCACGCCCAGCTAATTTTTTTGTATTTTTAGTAGAGATGGGGTTTCACTGTGTTAGCCAGGATGGTCTTGATCTCCTGACCTCGTGATCCGTCCGCCTCGGCCTCTCAAAGTGCTGGGATTACAGGCATGAGCCACCGCACCCAGCCCAGAATTTTTTTTTTAATTTTTAAGTTTCATGAGTCAACAGAAATGATAATCTACTTGAATTTTTGCTCTTTCCTCTCTGTGATATGTTTTCACTGAAGGGAATCTGGTGATTGTGCTTTTCTTGGGATTTTTCGATTTGGGCACACATGTGCTGACATTTTTGGCAGCGGACATCATGAAAGAAGCTTGGGTCTGGGAAAAGGACCCCTGGGGGTGAACTCCCCAGTCTGGCCTGGGTCTAGCTCCCAATGGGCTCTTCTTCCCTTGAACCACAGTCATCTCACCTACTGGCAGCAGCGCTAGACAGAGCTAGGCTAGACAAGCTCAGCATTAGTTGTCTCTGATCTGAGGAAACCTGTAGTTAGCCTTTACTTCATGTCACACATCAATTTCTCCTTTCCTTTCTGCTCAATTTGTTGCCGGTTCCCAACTCCACCAGTAGAAGCTTTCAGGGCAGAGGTGCTCCCGCACAGAGGGCAGGCACCCTGCTGAGCTGACAAGGCTCCAGCTTCCACTCCCTGCAGCTGAACAGCCCCAGCAATTGATTTCCTTGCCATTAGGGAAATTCCTGCTTTTTAGGATGCACCACCGTGCATAGGTGTTATTTCTCTGTCTCTTCTCCAAGGAAATACATGCTAAATTAAGTTTTGTGTTTTTGTTCACGCTCAGCAGCACCATTGAAAGCCAGGGTTTCACCAGCTGTGTCGTGGCAGCAGTTGCGGAAGGAGAGGAACAGAATAGGTTTAGCCAGTGCAATTTGCATGTGCAAGTAGGAGAGCACTGGTCTCGGGGAGAGGACGTGGGCCACTTTGGATTTTCAGATACCATGGCAGCTCTGAGAAATGCTTCCTAACAGGCCTTCTATTATCCCAGGCATGGGCTGATGCCTTTCGAAGCAGTCCTGATCTCACCGGCGTTGTGCACATATATGAGGAGCTGAAGAGGAAAGGGGTTGAATTTCCCATGGCAGACTTGGACGCTCTGTCTCCCATACACACACCACAGCGGGTAAGCTTCCAGCTGGCACTTTCTAGAAAGACCTACTGCAGAACGGGTGAGCCAAGCTGCTGCAGCCACCCTTCTGCTGCTGCCTTTGAATTATTCAGCTTGTCATCATGCTTTCTTAAAGCTCGGGGGCATTCCTTTTTAATAACAAGGGGCATGCAGGAGTGAGACAGCTGGTTGACTGGTGATTAAGTGGCAGCAGTGTCTGTGGAAGAATATAATAAAGGGATCAGTTCAGGGTTTTCATGGAAATGGCTACTTGGGCGGAGCCATCCTGTGAGGGTCATTAGCACCTGCTTTTCAGAGGCCCCTAGAATCTGGTGTGGGAATCCTGTTGTCCCTCAGAGCACCATAGCACCTCAGGGCTTGATGTCACTCTTGGGTCAAAAAGTAGCTTTCTGTTTTTTCAATTGTACCAAGTCAAATGGATCTAAAATTTATTTTGAGCTGTGAGTATTCAGCATCAATCCAGAATTGATTCTGGATTCAATCCTTGATTCCATCAGCCTTGGGATCAAAGCCCTGGGAAGGTCCCTTTAGGGGCATCCCACCAAAGCTTTTGCAGTGCCAACAGTAACTTGAGCACCGTGGAGGGGGCAGCTTGGCACTTCAGGGTTAAAAGCATGTAGGTCATGCCTCATGGTTTCTCAAGGAAGCTAGTCCCTCTACTGGCTGGGAATCAACTCCACTCCTAGCCTGGGGGAGAGCCAGGAAAGCACCAGGGTCTGGGAGAGGCACCTCATCCCAGTACACTTCACCTTGCCTGCCCCCACTGCCCATCTCTGAGAAGGATAGCACACCTGTGCACATCTCTCGTAGGAACACGACTTAATTTTAATGTGCAAGAGGTCATCTGAGATACCCAAAGGGCAAGCATGAGGGATTGCCCTTTCTCTTTTTTTTGAGTCGGAGTCTTGCTGTGTCGCCCAGGCTGGAGTGCACTGGCACAATCTTGGCTCACTGCACGCTCCGCCTTCTGGGTTCACGCCATTCTCCTGCCTCAGCCTCCTGAGTAGCTGGGACTACAGGTGACCGCCACCATGCCTGGCTAATTTTTTGTATTTTTAGTAGAGACAGGGTTTCATTGTGTTAGCCAGGATGGTCTCTATCTCCTGACCTTGTGATCCACCCGCCTCGTCCTCCCAAAGTGCTGAGATTACAGGCGTAAGCCACCGCACCTGGCCCAGGGGATTGCCCTTTCTGGAGGCTGTTTTCATCATGATCCCTCCAGACCACGCGCTATGCTTTGTGAAATCAACATAACCTGTTTCATTCTTCTAATAATGACAGAGAGCAGTGTTGTTGTTCCTATAATTACAAAAAACATTTGGTAAATTGCATAATTACTATTTATATTAGTCTACTTGTAAAGACCAAAAAAGTAATTCTTATGGTACCAAGTAAAGATCTGTGATTAGCAAAACTTAATAACCGCCCTCCCTCCACTTGGATCCCGAGGTGGTCTTAATAATAGGAACCATGACCAGAGGGCTCACAGAGCACTCTCGGTGCTGCCTTTTGGAGTTGCTTTCATTGGTCTGCCACACATTCCTTGAGAGGTAAGTAGAGGGAGGAGCCATTGGCAGCCCCACTTCCCAGATGGAGAGCCTGGGCTCAGTGGGGTTCTGTGAACCTCACCCGGGCAGCAGTGGAGCAGGGCCTTGAGCCTTTCGTGGGCAGCCTTGGGGAAGTGCTGCATGGGGTGGGGTAGGTACCAGGTCCAGCTATGCAGGCAGCCCAGGTAAACAGAGGACTTTGTTGTTGCCATGCCAGAGTGTCCCTGAAGTGGATCCAGCTGCGACCATGCCCAGGTCCCAATCACAGCAGAGGACAAGTGCTGGTTCCTATTCCTCGCCGCCTCCTGCTCCCTACTCCGCACCGCAGGCCCCAGCTCTGAGTGTGACTGGCCCCATCACAGCCAATTCAGAACAGGTACTTGCATACTTCGGGGCCATAGGCAAGCCAGCTGACTATCCTTTTTCATCTTTCTGGGAGACACTTACAAAGGCCTCCCAAGCCAGGTATTGTGCTGGGTGTTAGGGACACAGAGATGGAAGGGCTCAATCCCCAGGGGAGAGAGATGCTGAGGAAGTCATGATGGATTGTGGTCAGGCTGTGGTGGGGAGCAGAACCAAGGGCTCAGAGTTGTGAGCCCAGGGTTGAGTGGTGCCTGGGAGGCACCGGGGACCTGACATGCAGAGGGTCCTGACACAGGAGTTGGGCTTTGTCAGGTGAGACCGCATGCTCAGCAATGACATTTAAATGCAGAGATGCAGACGCTGCTCTCTCGGAGCAGCAGGTGGCTTGATTGGAGAGCAGGCGCATATGTAGGGCCCAGATCTGGGAGGAAACCATGGCAGAATGTGAGGCCAAAAGCATAGACGTGCAGCTGAGTTGTGACGGGCTTGTCTATCATGCAGAGGCTTAGATCTATCCCATAAAAAAAGTCAGCCATCAGAGGCCTGTGACCTGATCAGGGAGGCCCTCCTGAAGCACAAGAAGCCTGCTTTTATCCCAAACACTCCCCACCCTCCCGGGTTACTTCCTGATAAACTAATGCAGTTTTAACCCCACACTGGATTTTTTAGATGAATTGGGGAGTGCTCTTTAGAAGAATCCATAGAACTTCAATTAGTTACAATTTGAGAATTGGTCAGACTTGGGGGAAAAAAAAACTCTCCAATGTTTATATTTACCAAATCCTTATTTACTATTTGCGACAATGTCATGACTGTGGAACCTCACTGAAGCAGAGGGGTCAAGCAATGTGTGTGTAGGGATAGCAATGTGTGTGTAGGGATGGCAGTGTTGTGTCGTGTTCCTCACACTTCCCTGCTAGCTCTGAGCAGGGAGTACGGTGAGAGCAGGAGGAGTGAACTTGAAGCCCCCAGGGCCTGGGTGTGAGCCCCCAGCTCTGCTGCTCACTCTAGGCTTCAGTCAGGACATTTAACCCCGGTCTCCCATCAGTAGAACAAGTGATTTGTTACCCCACCAGGCAGCTGTGGGCTTGACAGGCAGATGGAAGAGGTCCTCATTGTGGCTACCCAAGTGCTGTGGGAAAGAAGGTCTCTGGCTTTTGGCCCTGCTTCTATGGGCAGAACTGTGCCCTTCCTGCTCTGAGGGAAGGCAGAAAATGTTTGAAGTTGGACAGTTACTGAGCCCCTTCACCGACTCAAAGTGTGGGAGGTGCTTGGGAAGGCCCTCCTAGTAGCCAGAAGATGCTGGGTCTGCAGGGTCTGGGCATAGGTAGCACAGGAGCCCTGAGGCATGTTGCCCCTTGGAGAGCAGAATGCAAGCAGAGGTAGGCAGGTCAGCACCCAGCCTGGCCAAGAGGACCCAGGGCTTCAGAGTCTACTGGGTGGCTGCCCATAGCCTTCCTGGGCCTTCCTAGCCAGAAACCTCTTCTCTCTACCAAGACTTTGAAGAAAACCCCTGGATCATCCACCAGGCAGAGCCAGAGGCTAACAAGAGCCTCTCAGGACCCAGACCATCTCCCTGGTAGACCATTGATTGAGGTCTCCTGTCCCTGTCTCTGTGCTGAGGGTATAAAGCTCAACCCAGCTGAGTTCCTGCCCTAAGAAGCTAAAGGTCTGCTGAGAGAGCCCACCCACACAGGAGAGGCTGCTACAGCTGCAATAGTGGAAGATGGCACAGCGAGTGGGAACCTGAGGAGGCGGGAGTGGTTGCTTCTACCTCAGGATGGGGTGGGGAGAGTCAGAAAAGGCTTCACTGGGGAGAGAAGTTGTCACTTAAGCTGGGTCACAGTGCAGGAAGAATGACATTACAGTTCCTCTCTCTGGACCTTTGAGCAGGAACAAGGGCCGTATGTGTGTAGTAGAGAGCATACCTGCATGCCAGGCGCCGCATGGGAAACTCACAGCAGCCTGGTGAGGTTAGTGCCACCTTTCTGTAGGTGAGGAAACGAAGGCTCAGAGAGGCTCAGGTCCGGCTCTGGATGTTGCTGCTGAGTCTTCCAGGGCTCCCTCCAGTGTCCTGTGCAGTTCTTGACCTCTGTCCAGCGTTATTTGGTCTCTTGTCACTGAGTGATGGGACCAGTAGCCACCTCTATGCAGATTCTTCTATGATATTTCACTGTGGGCAAGGAAGGTCCCTGTGGTTTCTGCAGATCCTTCGAGGGGGTTGAGGGAGTGAAGGGGCAGATCTGAGGCACAGGACTGAGGGCAAGGGGAGAAAGTGTATGATGTCTCTGTTGCTGGAGAGGAGCCTTGGGCCTTGGCCCAGGTCCAGGCTTTGGGATCGCTGATGGGCAACTTGGGTATTTTTCAAGGGGCTGTGTTACCATGTAGGGAGCTGGGTGGGGAAGGTGTCTCCCCTGTCGTCTTCCCCTGTTCTCTCATTCTTGCCGCAGCAGAAAAGTGCTATTGACACTGCCCAGCCTCTCAGAGGGATCCTAGTGTTTAGATGTAAAACTCCTAGGAGCAGAGTCTATAACTCAGAGCTTTGTAGAATAGGATCTCAGCTCTGAAGGGATCTCAGAGCTCCTGCCCTCCTGCACTTGGATTTTAAAGAGCAGGAACGGAAGCCCTGAGAGGTTCAGCTTCTACTCAAGTTCCCGTGGTGGGAGAGCCGAGACGGAGAGCCAGCTTGGTGCACTCCTGACACGGAGCCCTTCACTACGTGGTACTGCTTTCGTGTCACAGTCAGAGAGGCACAACAGACTGTTGGTGGCAGGGCCCATTCAGCTCTCTCAGAGCTGACAGGCAGGCCAGAGGGAGATGAGAAGGTGGCCTCTGCAGTGTGCACTCAGAAAGGCAACCCAGATCTCCCAGTGAGAAGGATTGTCACTAGACTAGGAGCAAGCTGATTCTGATATTGCAAGTGCAGGCTGACTGACCTTTCCTTCCTGCTTTCCTTCCTCGTGGCCCCCACCAGATTGCCAGGCTGCGGAGTGAACTGGACGTCGTTCGAGGAAACACAAAAGTCATGTCTGAGATGTTAACAGAAATGGTCCCTGGACAGGAGGATTCATCTGATCTGGAGTTGCTGCAGGTGAGTCATCTTTCAGAAGCACTTGGCCTGTGGTGGCAGCTCTTCCACCGTACACTGTTGGAGGATCCCACCCGGGGACACAGCGGCAAGGCGGGACAGGTCCAGTGGCCCTGTTGTTGATAGTCCATGTGAGCACACATGCAGCCTCACGTTGCCTACGGACAGGCAGAGGCCAGTACCACTGTCTGTCTTTTTTATTTTCCTTAATAACATTTTTTTCCTGATTATAAAATGCCAGTTGTAGAATACATGCTCACAGAAAGAAAAAGAAAGCACAGAAAAGAAAATAACTTTCTTTGACCCAAGCATCTGTAAATAACCACTGTAGGTGCTTTGATGTATTTTCTTTCTGACTTTTTTGTAGGTTTATTTTAAATGTAGTTGAGCTTGTACTATTTCTGTATTTTGGTCCCTCAACATCACATTTTGCAGGAGGGCCTGTTCAACCTTGACTGTGCACAGGAGCCCTTGTAGTGGCACCTCACCCCCAAGGTGTCCTGAGACTGAGATGAAGTGTGATGCTCCCATGCTTTTCCCTAACACTGAGGATTCCCAGGCATATTGTGGTTTGCCATTGCAAACTGGCCTCCCCGCCTCTGGACAGCCCATGGATCTGGGGGCATGGCAGAATGGGGTCCAGGAGTGGGCGGCCTGCAGTCTACCCCTGAAACCAGGGTCAAGGCCCCCACCTCAGGCCTGTTTCCCAGGGCAGCCAGGTCCAGAGCCAGTGCCCAGATCTCCACCACACCCAGCCTCAGATGACCCTGGCATTTGCAGAAAATGTCAGTGGTACTGCCCTTAGAAGCAGTGACCTTCTGGAGGGTGGAAGAAGGATGCTGTGAACTGCAAGGCCCCACACACTTTTCAATGGGAGGCAAGATGCTTGAGGGAACAGGTCAGGAGCCAGACTGATTTAGCAACCTGGCATGAGTTTCTCATGATACACCTGCTGCTGCTGCTGATACTGCCATTTGTGTCTGGCCCTCCGTTGTCAGTCTTGGTCCCCAAGTGCTACACCTTCTACCCTGCTGCTGGCACATGCTTGCCGCCTGTGAAGGCCCTGTCCTGGTCCCAAGTTGCTGCTTATTGTGCCCCCTTCCTACTCCAAAGCCATCGGCTCTTATGGGGGTGAGGGTGGGTGGAGACCTGTTCCAGGCCTGACACAAAACACAGTCCTAGGGGCACAGAGGTGCATGAGCTGTGGTCCCTGGAGCTTGCAGCTTTTTGCAGGAAATAGACCGGGAAACAACTTGTCTCCATGTAACTACACCAGCCTGCTCTTGAAGCTGAGAAAAGTACCCTTGGCCCAGCCCCAGTGAGGAGTCCTGAGTGGCCTCTCCCTAGTTCCCAGACCTCACTCCTGACACACCTGCATCAGCCCAGGCTTGCCTCAGCTCAGCAGATCCAGCTGAATATGTGCCACACTCCAGGGGACCTGGCTTCCCTTGAATGCATTGTCATTGGCCTCCATTCCTAGCCTGCAGGAAGGTTCGGCCAGGCGTTACCCAGATGCACAGGATTCTGAGGTCAGTCCAGAAACTGAGAAGGCCTCTTGAGGCAGCTTTGTGCTGTGTCAGCGTCGGAATTCCTGCTGACAGGGGGGATTTGCTCTGGATAGAGCCGTGCTCCTGGCAGCAGGGGGTGTGTTGAACAAAGCCAAGATGCTTCCAGACAGCCAGAGCAGACCCAGACAGCAGGAATACTTCGTGTTTTGGGGGGAGAGGGGGTTTGGGATTTTTTTTTTTTTTTAAACAAGCCCATCAGCCAAGACAAACAGAACCTAATCTCCTGGCGTCAGCTCACAGCTTTCAAAAATAGGTTGCTTCCCATGACGTTTTCCTTCCCTCTGTTTTGTTCCAACTCCAAGCCTCCCAGCCCTCACTGCTATCTTATAAATCAAATAGAAAAGGAATGACTCTCGGTGCCAGTGGGAGGCTGTCCTTCCAGCAACAGCAGATTCAGGAGCTGGGCAGCACTGTGGACAGCCGTGAACAGACACAGCCGTCCTGGCTGGTTGGCTGCACGCCTCCGCCATTGCCGACATCTTCCCACCCCTTCTTCCCCTGGCAGTCAAAAGCCAGCAGGCAGGGTCTCCCAAGGGTCAGAGCCACACTGAACAGCCAACCTTCCATGTGGAGAAATACCACTGTCTGCTTAGAAAGTGCTGGAATCAGAATGTGTCCCCAGGACCCTCCATCAAGCTGGAGGGCAGCCAGAGTGCTCGGGGCAGAGAATACAGAGCTGAGAGTGCTGGCTAGGCCATGGAAACAACCCAGATGTTCCCACCAACAGAAGCTGCTCCCAGTTCAAGTATAAATTCCTGGGGTAGGAGGTGGGGGGAATAGGAAGAGAGATAATTGGTGGTGTCAGCCCTAGGATGATCATAACTGTGGGCAGGTTATGTCCCGGTTGCCTCCTGCACATCGCAAAGCACTTTTGGGTGTAGCTTCCCATAGTGAAGCAAGAGCAGCAGGGAAGCTTGGCAGTGTGAGCTGTTTGCCTGCAGACTCATGGGTATGTGGCTGTATTTGAGGAGAGGCTGAGGCCACTCTAGCACCCTGTGCTGTCAGCGTAGCTGGAGCGCCTGAGGAGAAGGAAGGAAGGGTGCCCAGAGTGAACACAGCAACTCCTCCTCTTGAGCTATGCGTCAAATCCTCCACTCTCTGAGTTGGGAGAGACCTTCCAGGAAGTTGGTTCAGTTCTACACCTGTGTTCAGATTTCTTCCACAGCATCTTATCTGTTGGGTCTTTCTGCGTGTCCCCAGTGACAGGCTGTTCACAGCAGCCCTCTTGCTTTCAAATGGACATCTTGGTTAGACTTCGGGCAGCAGCACAGCAGGCATACAAATTACACAGGCCTATGAATTAATGCCTCCCCATCCTTGCCCTCCCACTGATGAGCTGGGCGATGCCAGGTAAGTCACCAGCCGTCTCCAGGCCCCCTTCTCCTCTCTAGACTGGAGTGATCACTTGCACCTTGGCAGTGCCTGGCGCAGGGCTGGGCTTAGGCAAGGCCTCACAAATCCTAGCTTTCGTGACTATTGTTAGAAAGCCCTTTCACACATTGATCTAAGGTGTGGCTCCCTATAACTTTGATCCTGGTCTGTCTTCTTAGACACTAGAACAAGACTAATTCCTCTTTCACATGGGTAGATCCTTAAATATTTGAAGATTGCCATAAGCCCCACCCACTGCACAGTCTCCACATGGAACAAATGTGGCATTTGGCAGCATTTGGCAGCCCACCACAGGGAGGGATAGGCAGTTCTTCACAAGAAGCAGACATAAAATGGAGAGCTTCCATCAGCTGAAAACCCTGCTGCGTCACTTCTCATCTGGTGGTTAAGCCTATCTTTGTCATCCTGTTCAAGGAACCTTAGGTCTGGGCCCGAAATTCAAGACACTGCATCTGTCCCTGCTAAAGTGCATGCCCTTACCTGCAGAAAGCCTGAGTTTGGCTTTCTGGGATCTTTAAAGATTGCGATTATGTCATCCAGTGTCCTCTGTCTCTCCCAATTTAGCCTTTTGAGCTTTGTCTTCAATGAATAACTTTTAATTAATACAATGATGCCAAAAATATATGTTCTTCTGTGGCCGTTCATCAGCATAAGATAATAACAGAGGCCTCCTCGTTTCTCCAAGTAGCAGATGGTGTATCTCCTCTTGCTTCTTGCGTCTCATTTCAACAAAGACAGAACGGCCAAGGCCATTTTCTCTAGAGAAATCTAGTTTATTCTACATGTTTAGCTTCATTATTCCCCTTTCTCATCAACAAAGACTTTTTTCTCCCTCCCATCTTTGCAGCAACAGAAAACAGATCTTCAGGACCTTATTCCGTGTTCCTTCAAACTTGTGGAGGGCTCAGAGGAAATCCATAAAGATGATTAAAAGACTGTTGCGTGAGGTAGAGATGAGAATGTCCCTTGAAGAAAAGATAAAGGCATTGGGATTAATTAGATAGAAAAAAGAGGATATTTACCAAGGTGTTCTAATAGTTGGAGGGCTTTTGTACAAGTGACCAGCTGTTCTTCCCTCTGTTGAGGACCAGAAATGGGAGAAGGCCAAAGCTGAAGTCGTCAGCGTTTAGGAAATTCCTGTCCTGGCTGTTGCACAGTGGAAAGGGTGACCTGAGCAAGCAGTAGGCTCTTGGGTGTCTTAGGCCCAAAGAGAATCACACTTTGAGTGATTTGGAGGTGGAGGAAGCAGAGGAAAGTCTCCCAAGTGAGCCTGCTGAGGGTCTGGCTGTGATGACACCACAGAGGACATGCAGGTGGCCGGCTGGCACTGTGGTAGCAAAAGTCTTTAACATCTGGCCCTCCTTTCACCTTCTCACCTTCTGTCCTTTTTTTTTTTTTTTCTTTTTTTCTTTTTGAGAAGGAGTCTCGCTTTGTCACCCAGGCTGGAGTGCAATGCCATGATCTTGGCTTACTGAACCTCTGCCTCCTGGGTTCAAGTGATTCTCCTGCTTCAGCCTCCCGAGTAGCTGGGATTACAGGCACCTGCCATCATGCCTGGCTAATTTTTGTATTTTTAGTAGAGATGGGGTTTCACCATGTTGGCCAGTCTGGTCTTGAACTCGTGACCTCAAGTGATCCACCAACCTCGGCCTCTCAAAGTGCTGAGATTACAGGTGTGAGCCACCACGCATGGCCTTTTCTTCCTTTTTGAGACAGGTGTAAAAGACTGAAGCCAAGAGATGGTAAAGCTTTCTCTGTGCAGAGACCCCTGGAAATCCCTGATGTGGAAGCCCCAGGTCATAGTCTCTGGGCCTGTCTTTAGCATAGCTCTTTGGAAAGCCATCAGGATGCTTCTCCAGGATTGGAGCATAGAGGCCCTGCCTGTGGGGTTGGGAGCTGTCTAACCCACCACCCCAGTGGGAAGGCTGTGGGGAAGAGGCAGCAAACACAAGGCCAGAGCAGATGTTCCTGGTGCTGACTGTTGATGAGATCACTGCATTCTGTGCCCTTGGGGCTCATTCTTCCTCCAAGCTGAGGTCACAATGTTAGAGCCTCAGAAATCATCTAACACTTTCCAAACGTTTTTTTAAAGTAATGGAGGCCAGGCATAGTGACTCACACCTGTAATCCCAGCACTTTGGGAAGCTGAGGCAAGTGGATCACTTGAGGTCAGGAGTTTGAGACCAGCCTGGCCAACATGGTGAAACCCCATCTCTACTAAAAATACAAAAATTAGCCGGGTGTGGTGGCGGGTGCCTGTAATCCTAGCTACTTGGGAGGCTAAGGCAGGAGAATTGCTTGAACCTGGGAGGCGGAGGTTGCAGTGAGCTGAGATCGTACCACCGTACTCCAGCCTGGGTGACAGAGCAAGACTCCATCTCAACATATTAAATAAATAAATAAATAAATAAGTAATGGCTGGGCGTGGTGGCTCACGCCTGTAATCCCAGCACTTTGGGAGGCTAAGGCGGGCAGATCATGAGGTCAGGATATTGAAACCATCCTGACTAACATGGTAAAACCCCGTCTCTATTAAAATACAAAAAATTAGCCGGGCTTGGTGGCAGGCACCTGTAATCCCAGCTACTCGGAAGGCTGAGGCAGGAGAATGTCATGAACCCGGGAGGCGGAGCTTGCAGTGAGCCGAGATTGTGCCACTGCACTCCAGGCTGGGCGACAGAGCGAGACTCCCATCTAAAAAAAAAAAAAAATAAGTAAGTAAATAAGTAAATAAAGTATGGAACCTTTTCCTCCACAAATAAAATTTTACAGTGAATGGCAGTGTTTAAAATCGAGAAAAGCAGAGCAGCCTCAGCTGCCCTGGCCCCGTGCCATGGAGGCCGCTGCAGCATGACAGTGGCCTTCTGCAGAAAAACTTCCTCATGAATGCAGCCCCCTTATTTTACCCAGGGAGAAGCAGGCCTGGAGAGGACTGGAGACTTGGAGAGTGTATCCAGTCACAGGCTACTTGCTGCCTGCAGCTTCGTCCCCAGCACCCAGCTGGGGCTAGGGCTCTGTTGAGGAGACTGACATCAACCCCTGCTCCCTTCCATCAGGCCGCCGGTGCTGGGAGTATTTGTAGCCATGTTTCTGAGACACTTCCTGCAGTCTACTGAGGAATCTGGTTTGGTTCTCCTCTAAATCCAGTGAACCACCCTTGAGGCCTACTCTTTGTTTCGGGGCTTCTGCTGTGTGGAGTGCAGATGGGGGCTGGTCACCCCTTGCTGGAGGTTTTTGTAGAGGGGCTCTGATGACAGACTGGAGTGTGTTGAATGCTTTGGGAGTCTTGAGGAGGGTGGGGTGGTGGGAGATCCCCAGAAAACATTGTATGTGGACAGGAAGATGAATAAATGGGAAGTACGTGTTAAAGCTGTCACTGTAAAATGTTAATGGTACAATCTAGGTGATAGGCATATGGTGTCTGTTCACTGTAAAATTCTTCCTGTTTTGCTGTATGTTTGAAAATTTTTATGACAAAATACTGGAGTGGGGAAACATCCTGAGGCCTTGAAGGATGAGTAAGAGTTTGTTTGATGGAAAAGGAAATAAGGGACATTGCAGGCAGATGGCCAACTTCTCAGGAGCCCTTAAGCAGTGTGGCAAGTGCCTGAGGCCACCTATATTCTGGAAAGTCTGAGGTGTATTTGAAGATGGCCTGTGGGCCTTAGGTGCTGATACCCCAGTCTTCTGGAGGGTAACTTGGATCTGTTTCCCACAACCTACTGCCACACTCCCCTGACTTGCACGTCCTGTGCCTTGTGATTGGCCTGCAGTTTGCATGAGAAGTGATTGACTTTTTTCCTTCTCCCTCCCCAGCCAAGGACAGCCAGGGCTTGCTGCTAGGCCACAAGCCCCAGAGGCCACACTTTCTTGTAATGGGCCTGTTTGCTGGAGGGGGTGGGTCCTGAGCTGGGACTTGAGATCCTTTTGCTCATCAGAGATTTTCCGCAGACACCTGGAGCGCTGGAGCAAAGAGGAGCTCAGCAGTGCCTGGCTCGGTCCTCATGTGTGTTGGCACGTCCACATCCCTGGGGAGGAGACCCGCACGGTGGCCCGGAACAGTCCATGGCAGAGCAGAGAGGCAGAAGTTTGTTTGACCTCTTTTCTCTGTCCTACTGCCCAGCCTCCCTTTTCCATCCTGCACACTTTGGCCAGGTCTCCCTCTGGTGCTTCTTCCAAAGTATGGGGTAAATCTACTGCCCAAGTGTTGGCCAAGTATCCTTTTTTTCTTTTAGGAAGCAGGGGAGGATGGTCTGTCAAAGTTAACCTAAATCTGTGCTCCTCTGTCAGCCCTGAACAGATGCTCACTGTGTTTTAACAATCTATTAGAAATACTATAATTATTTTAATTGTTCACTTCAGTCCTGGCTGTTGGAATCCTTCACGTGATCTATGTGATTGTTTCTTTCATAAGTTTGGACATTTTTATTTTGTTTTTGTTTGTTTTAATGTTAAGGGCCTGCCTTGGTTTTCTGCATCACTCCTGAGTATGCTTCATTCTGTAATGAGTGTTTCCCCTGTGTTGTTGGTTTTCCTGTGTACAGTAATTGTGACTGGGTTTTGACCTGTGAGTGTCCATTGGCGCCTGTGGCCATTATTGCCTGGCAATCCAGACCACGTCTGGCAGGCCCCAAGGCCCAGGCAGCTTTTTGAGAGCCCCTCTCCTGCCTGGCCTGGGGACATGAGCCATTCACAACAGAGGAGAGTGGGTATTTTGTGGAGTTTTCTCTTTACTGGATAGTAGTGTCCCCTGCAATTAAGATCCCGTATTCACCTCTTATTAATTCTAGCACTTGTCTGTATGTTTATAAGTGCTTACTGCTGGTTCAGTGGGGCCTGGGATGAGTCCTAGAGAGGGAAAATTAGATCCTGGATGAACAAGAATTCCCCATTCTCTGAGTGAAGAGTGCTGAGAAGACTGAGAGTATGTGGATAACTGAGCTGGTAATTTGCGGGGACCAAGAGTTCAGAATACTTTATATTTTATTTTTATTTTTTGGAGACAGGGTCTCACTCTGTTCCCCAGGCTGGAGTGCAGTAGTGCAATCTCTGCTCACTGTAGCCTCTGCCTCCCGGATTCAAGCAATTCTCCCACCTCAGCCTCCTGAATAGCTGGGATTACAGGTGCATGCCACTGTGCCCAATTTATTTTTGTATTTTTTCGTAGAGATGGGGTTTTACCATGTTGGCCAAGCTGGTCTCAAACTCCTGACCTCAAGTGATCCGCCTGCCTCGGCCTCCCAAAGTGCTGGGATTACAGGCATGAGGCACCGCACTTGGCCTCTGAATACTTTTTTTTGAGATGGAGTCTCGCTCTCTCTCCCAGTCTGGAGTGCAGTGGCGTGATCTCGGCTCACTGCAAGCTCCGCCTCCTGGGTTCACGCCATTCTCCTGCCTCAGTCTCCCAAGTAGCTGGGACTACAGGTGCCCGCCACCAACGCCCGGCTAATTTTTTGTGTTTTTAGTAGAGACGGGGTTTCACCGTATTAGCCAGGATGGTCTCGATCTCCTGACCTCGTGATCCATCCGCCTCGGCCTCCAATAGTTTTGGGATTACAGGCGTGAGCCACCACACCTGGCCCCGGCCTCTGAATACTTTAGAGTCATTAATTAATTCTCTCAGAAGTACTTGGGGAGAGCCTCCCATGTGTCATGGGTACCAGGGAAATACCTTCTCTGCCCTCAAGGAGCTTCAGTCTAGACGGGAGGGCAGATAAGAAGCCCAGCCCCTGTGTGAGTGCTGTGTTGCAGGATACCAGGGACATGCAGGGGGGATGCCTTTGATTCCCCACTGGCTGATTGACCACCTTGGTGATGTGTTCAGCAGATGATTACTGGGCTTTTTCACTGTGTGTGGCTCAGTGCGGGGCTTGAGGGCATCCTTGAGTGGATAAATGGTAACACCCCCTCAAGAGTTTATGATGTGGTAGGAAGGAAGACCCTGTAGCCAAGCTAGCAAGATTATGAGACAATATGAGGAACTAAAGAGAGATTGCCGTGTCTCCTGTGAATAAATCAGTTACTTCTACCAGAAACGGTTTCAAAATGAAGTCGTTTTGAGGCTGAGCTGTGAGAAGGAGAGACTTATCCTTCATGTCTTATCCCCTTAACTCACTGGCACCCTCCAGTGCCCAGGTAGGTGGGAACAGCATTTCCCTCTGCTTTAACCCTGTATGGCACACTGGGACTTGTAGCTTTGGTCACATGCTTGGGGGCCAGCCTGGCAGTGTTGCCAGCTCCCTCCTCTGTAGCATCCTCAGTCTGGCATCGAGATGGCAAGGGGCCTGGCAGGAATTGACGGAGCTCTGTAAGCAAGTTTGAACAAGGGCATCAGTAAGTCTGCTGTTCTGGAACAGGGAAGGCTCATGGAAGCCAGGCCATAAAGTGCTAAGGCTCTGTCGTCACGGGGATGTTGCTTCTAAGGGTAGAGAGGGCTCCAGGGGCAACCGGGGGTGTGCGAATTTCCTCTTTCGGCCAGCCAGGGAGCTGCCTGGGCTTCTGAGGTCTCGGCAAAGTGGCAGACGTGCCACCAAAATATACCTAATGCAGTCATAAAATACACTCCTGCTGTTGCTGGAAGTGTAAGTAAACTGATGTCATATTTTTGGAGGGCCTTTTACTATTACTAATTAATGTTATAAATGACCATACCCTTTCACCTAGAAATTTCCCTGCTAAGGAACCTGTCCTATGGAAGTGCTTGCCCAAGTGCATATGCATGTGTGTGTACAGGTGTTCATTGCTGCATTATTTAGGTTGGCCACAAAAAGAGAGACCACAATCTAAATGTCCAGCAATAGAAGAATGGCGAGATACATTATGAAACACACAGAAAGGAATGAGGCAGTCTGTACCAAGTGATGGAGAACGGTGTCTGGAATATTTTGTTGAGAAAAAGCAATCTGGAAAGAATCACATTTTAATATTTTTTAATGATTTGTACAAGCATGTACTTGTATACATACAACAGTATGTCTGGACATTTGTCTGCTGAAAAAGTACTTGTTTCCTCTGCGGAAGGAGGGGCAGGCAGTGAAGAGGGAACTTCTACTTTGAATTCGGCACATGTCTGGTTTTATGAACAAGCATGTACTCCTTTTGTGACTTTTAAGAATCAGTACAAATTTTTTCAAAGGAGATAGAATGTGACGAAAAGCACACCCAGCAGGCTACCCAGAGGTGCATGTGTTCCCTAGGAGCTCAACAGGACCTGTCGGGCCATGCAGCAGCGCATCGTGGAGCTCATCTCCCGCGTGTCCAATGAGGAGGTCACCGAGGAGCTGCTGCATGTGAACGATGACCTCAACAACGTCTTCCTTCGATACGAGAGGTGGGAGCCGGATTTCTTTTTTTTTTTTTTTCCCTTGAAAAGATTGTTGCCATAACAGAGGGATTTCTTTCATAAACAAAGGAAAGAGAGGGAGAGGGAGAGAGATTAGAGTTGGAAAATACTCATCAGAGATGCTAATTTGTTCCCGGCTGACAGGAAAAATGCTTCTTGTCCTCCTGGGAACTGAGCAGCAGAAGCAGCAGGAAGTTGACGTGCAGAATTAGGCTCTGCCCTTTGTAAGCCTCAGGCTGCTCTGCCTTTCCCCACTGCCCCGCCACCCCCAGCCCCAGGGAGGGGTAGCACTTGGGGGCCTCTGGGCCCCAGAGCTTCTGCACCTGCTCCTTTGATGATCCTTTGAATTTGAAAAGGATTAAAGGGAAAAAAAATCTCTAGTAAGAAAAAGGATTTCCTCTTTCCCATCTTAAAAAAAAAGAAAAAAGAAAAAAAGCTTTTCCCTTTGCAAATGTCAATGTTATCTAGAGCATTCAGGGGAAGCAGGCGGGTGTAAGTGCCGGAATGCTGCTGCTTAGGGAAGCGTGCACACATTCATTCCAGTTCTTTCTGCAGCCAAATCATTTTTGAGTTTGAGGTAACAAACCTGCAAATTCTTTTTCATTTCCAAAGCCTTCCCTCAGGACAAAGTCCAAAATGTCTTATTTAGACCTAGTTTTAAATAGGAGGAATAATGGCAAGCACAGTTCCCATCTCATCACCTGATGGGAGCACACTGGGCTTTCATGAAGGACTCAGCATAAGGACCAGAAAGGACCATGATCAGGCCAACCTTTTCCCCTTAAAGATGAGGCTTGAGAGGACAGGACAGTGGCTTGAGTCCCCTGCAGATTTAAGGTCCTGGTCCCCTCTGCCGCACCAGCTGACTCACAACCTACTGCTGGATTCATCAGGAGGACAAGGACCTGGCATCAGTTAGGGTGAGTGGGACAGATGCTTGCATTTGCGTTACCCTTTGGGGACCTAAAGGGTGATTTTGTTATGGCTGTCACAGCCTTGGGCCTTGTCTCATCTTTTGACTACGGAAGTACACACCAGTGGCTCTGTGCCCACCTGACAGGTGAATAAACCTCTGCAGTAAGTGTGGGGGCATCCCCAGGACCCCCCAGTGCATCAGTTGGAGAACAGGAGCAGATATAAGGGGACCTGACTCCCAGCCCGAGGCCCCTTTGTCTTGCCATGTGATTCCAGTTTCTCCATGGTAAATGGGCTTGGGTTTAACCTATTAAACCTATTTAAGCCCTGCTAGAAAGCATAACAGGAGCTAACTAATATGAGTATTTTCACCCAAGAGTCTCCCAGTCCAAGCATTACACATAATTCAGAGGCAAAGCCTGGGGCTGGTGGCTGGAAGTGCTATCCTGGTTAGAGTGTCTTTGATGATACTCATTGTTCATTGAAGATGAGTGTGGGAAAGGTACCCCAGGATTAAAATTGTTTCAGATGTATTAATATTCCTGTTCTCCTTGTAGACCACTGTTGAAAAAACACACAAGTCGTTTTTAAAACCACAGTGGACACTCACTGCCTTACCCAGATCATTCCTCCTGGGGATCTCTTTCTTGTCACCAGCTGCTGACCCCAGCAAGTTGGGAGACAAATCTGGAGCAGCATAACTCACTAAAGCTGGGTGTCTAAGGCTCCAGCTGGAAAAAGTCTCTTAGCTACCGCTGCCCATGGCATTTGGAGTTTTTAAATACGATACAGAACATAATCTATTCTGCCCCACCCCAACACACACCTCATAACTACTCTTCCGTTCCCCACCTGACAGGAGGATGACCTGGCCTTCGACAGTTGCTCAAAGCCAACTCCCCCTGCACTGCCTGACTGGGTGCAGAGGACACTCACTCCACCCTCCTAGCAGTCCTTCGATGACTGGCCCAGGCCTCTCTGTAGCAGCTACTGGCGAGCATTTCCCCAGGCCGTAGCCAGGGCCATGCGTCCGCCTTCCTCCTGCTGGTGCCCACCCTATGTGTGCCCCACCCCCTTTCCCCAGAGGCTGAGTTGGGAGCATGTTAGGAACACTAGCTAGTTGCTCCTGAACACAGCCCTATGAAATAGGGAGTCTGCAGCTCCAAGGTAAGGTGGTTAAGCCACCCTCCCTCCAGGGCCCAGGTGTGTGAGGAGAGGCTGGGGACACTCACAATGACCTCCATGATGGGCCAGCCACCACCCCTTTCTGATGCCCACTCTGGGTGCTGGGTGAGAAGCTGATCCTCTCAGGGGGAGCCCCACACAGAGGAAGCCGTGGCAGAGTTGATATATGGTTTCACTCCCTAGCCCCCAGGTGGGACTGGCTGGTCTTGGTCCCAGGGATTCTTCATAGGACTAGTGAGCACCCCACAGGGCCATATCACAGGCATCCTCTCTCCTTACTTCTGCTTTCCCTTCCCCTGTTAGGTTCGAACGATACAGGTCTGGCCGATCCGTTCAAAATGCCAGTAATGGAGTAAGTATTCCTTCAGAATCCTGTCATCTCCTGAGGCCAGACCTACCCCTCCACGTTTTGGAGGCTGGAGAGACCTCCAGTTTTTCTAACTGGTTTTGAAATATTTGGGAAATTGAAGAGGCAAGCTCTGGTTGATGGGATACTAGGGCAGAGCTAGCAGGCACCCCTGATGGGAAGGTGGCAAGCAAGCCCTAAGTTTGCATCTCCCAGGACAGTCACTGTTGACTCAGCAACCCCTCCTTCTAGTGGGGACGGGGAGGAGGCAGTGAGCAGGGCTCACTGACATCCAGGCCCACCATGGACCTGGAAGGCAGGTGGGGGAAGTGGCCTTGCTTCTGTACTAGAGCAGCGCTGATACTTTTCTTCTTGGAACCCTGCATAGTTGCCTTGCCAGCTTCTACCTCAGAGCCTGACTCCAGGGTTCTGGGGCTTATGGCCAATCTCATGTTCTGACAGGTACTGAATGAAGTAACCGAAGACAACTTAATAGACCTGGGGCCAGGGTCTCCAGCCGTGGTGAGCCCAATGGTGGGGAACACAGCGCCCCCATCTTCCCTCTCCTCCCAGCTTGCAGGCTTAGGTGAGTGTCTCACAGGGACAAAAGGGCCTACCTACTTCCTACCACTGGCCTCCCTTGCAGGCCACCTCTCTTTCTTTCTTGGAAGACCCAAAGAGAGTCTTTTGGGAAATACATGTGAAAGTGTATTCCTGAGTCCTAGCCAGTTGTACCACCTTACTTTCAATTCATACCTTTTTTCCCCCTAAATTTGAAGTTTAAAATCTATGTTGGAAAGCAGGGATGGGGGAAATTCCAATGAATTAAAGAAAGGTCACGGCCGTGCGCAGTGGCTCACGCCCGTAATCCCAGCACTATGGGAGGCCGAGGTGGGTGGATCACCTGAGGTCAGGAGTTTGAGACCAGCCTGACCAACATGGCGAAACCCAGTCTCTACTAAAAATACAAAAATTAGCTGCGCATGGTGGGCACCTGCAATCCCAACTACTCGGGAGGCTGCGGCAGGAGAATCACTTGAGCCTGGGAGGTGGAGGTTGCAGTGAGCCGATATCGCATCATTGCACTCCAGCCTGGGCGACAGAGCAAGACACTGTCTCAAAAAAAAAAAAAAAAAAAAGAAAGGTCACCTGCCATGTTTTATATGGAACATTCCCTATGATTGAAGTAATTTCCTTTTCAATATTAACTAGGTCAAGGCCGGGCGCGTAATCCCAGCATTTTGGGAGGCTGAGGTGGGTGGATCACTTGAGGTCAGGAGTTTGAGACCAGCCTGGCCAAAATGGTGAAACCCCGTCTGTACTAAAAATACAAAAAAATTAGCCAGACTTGGTGGCGGGCACCTGTAGTCCCAGCTACTCAGGAGGCTGAAGCAGGAGAATTGCTTGAACCCGGGAAGCAGAGGTTGCAGTGAGCCGAGATCGCGCCATTGCACTCCAGCCTGGGGGACGACTCCATCTCAAAAAAATAAATAAATATTAACTAGGTCAAGGAGGGCAGATAGGTTTCAGCTCTTTGGCTTCTTGGAACACAGGTTTGAGGAGGATGCTGAAGCCACATCAGGGCTTAGAAAAGTCTGTGATTGATTGATTGTCAATATCTACAGAGGGCTTGGAAACAGGAGGTAGCAGCACTGAAATATTTGCTCTCCTTGAACTTTACCATCAGCCTAAAGCAGTCCATTGTCTGGAACTTAAAAGAAACTCACCACTTTCCACAGTTCATTTAGTTTGTACATTCAAAGTGTGTATATGACTCTAGCACATTGGTTATACTGGATGATACCAATTTATAACAAATGAAATTATAACATTGAAATAATAAGCATGGCCCTCAAAATTCTTTCCTCTGTCTTGCTTTTCTGTTTTCCTTTTTAAAAAATATTTCTCGTCTACTTTCCTTTCATTTGACTTGAGTTAAACTTCTAGTGGCTATCAGTTGCTGTAATTGTAGCTTCTCAATATTTCGTATATTTGTAGCCACTATTTCTGTATCAGAACAGATGTCTCTGCCTTCAGTCAGTCCAGCATATATGACTGCCAGATTTAATACTTAAAATTCAAAGTGTAACACCGGTAATCCCAAGACTTTGGGAGGCTGCGGCAGGTGGATCACCTGAAGTCAGGAGTTCAAGACCAGCCTAACCAACATGGCAAAACCCCATCTCTACTAAAAATACAAAAATCAGCTGGGCATGGTGGTGTGTGCCTGTAATCCCAACTACTAGGGGGGTTGAGGCAGGAGGATCGCTTGAACCCGGGAGGCGGAGGTTGCAGTGAGCCGAGATTGTGCCACTGCACTGCAGCCTGAGCAACAGAGCAAGATGCCATCTCAAAAAAGAAAAAAAAAAAAAAGCCGGGTGCGGTGGCTAACGCCTGTAATCCCAGCACTTTGGGAGGCCGAGGCGGGTGGATCACAAGGTCAGGAGATCGAGACCATCCTGGCTAGCACGGTGAAACCCTGTCTCTACTAAAAATACAAAAAATTAGCCAGGCGTGGTGGTGGGCGGCTGTAGTCCCAGCTACTTGGGAGACTGAGGCAGGAGAATGGCGTGAACCCGGGAGGCGGAGCTTGCAGTGAGCCGACATCGCTCTACTACACTCCAGCCTGGGTGACAGAGCGAGACTCTGTCTCAAAAAAAAAAAAAAAATCAAATTGGATTCTGCTACCTCTCTTCTTAAAAAAGGTATAGTAGGCCAGGCATAGTGGCTCACGCCTGTAATCCCAGCACTCTGGGAAGCCAAGGCAGGCGGATTGCTTGAGTCCAGGAGTTCAAGACCAGCCTGGGCAACATAGCAAAACCTCATCTCTACTAAAAATACAAAAAAATTAGCTGCGAGTGGTGGCACACACCTGTAGTCCCAGGTACTCAGGAGGCTGCAGTAGGAGAATCTCCTGAGCCCAGGAGGTTGAGGCTGCAGTGAGCTGAGATCATGCCACTGCACTCCAGCTTGGGCATCCAGAGTGAGACCCTGTCTCAAACAAAACAACAACAACAACAAAAGTGTAGTGTCCACCAGGGGTGGTGGCTCACACTTGCAATCTCATCACTTTGGGAGGCCGAGGTGGGAAGATCACTTGAGGCCAGGTGTTTGAGACCAGCCTGGGCAACATAACGAGACCTTGTCTCTACAAAATAATTTTAAAACAGCTGGGCATGGTGGCACATACCTGTAGTCCTAGCTACTTGGGAGGCCAAGGTGGGAGGATCACTTAGCCCGGGAGGTCAAGGCTAAAGTGAGCCATGATCATGCCAAGAGAGTAAGACTCTGTCTCTTTAAAAAAAAAAAAAAAAAAAAGTCTAGTGTCTTCCCACCCACTCCTTTACCTGGCATTTGAGGTATTACCAGCCACTTCCTCCACAAATTTTTTCCTGTGAGCGTTGTTCACTTCACACACCCTGGCCTCCAAACCCCGTGCCTTTTTATCTGCCTTTCCCCTTCTCCCCACAGCATCCTCCTCATTATCCTTACAGACCCACTGTTGTGTTGGTTTTGAGTCTTTCCTGATGTCTCAAGCCAAGCACTGCTGTGGCTTGTCTCTTGCCCACTCTGACCTTCTTGAAGCTGAGGACCATATCAGATTCAATTTGGTCTACTCAAGATCTAGCTCTGAACATGGTGGGTACCTAAGAAATATTTGCTGAATAAATAGATGTTCCAGGTCCTTGGACATTGTGATTGAGTTAATGAGGAGCCCAAGCGAGAAGGGCATTATGGAAAATCTGCAGGTGCACTGGCGCCAGTCCCTGCCTTGTCACCCCAGCAATCTCTTTTTTGTTATGACTCTTTCGCCTCCTTGAGCAGTTTGAGGGGCAGTGGCTGTTCTGTCCCCCATCTGGCCCGCCCTGGCTCCTCCGGCATGTGGTGCACTGGGAGTACCAAGGAAAGTCCCGCCCCACCCTCCCCATGGAACCTAAACCCACCTGGCTGGCGTCCTAGCTTGGGGGCCCTTCATCAGATCTACAGTCTACATTTTGTTCTCATCTGCCACCCATTTGTTTTGTTGCCACAGACTTGGGGACAGAGAGCGTCAGTGGCACCCTCAGTTCACTCCAGCAATGTAATCCCCGTGACGGCTTTGACATGTTTGCCCAGACGAGAGGAAACTCCTTGGCTGAGCAGCGCAAGACGTATGTGGGGCCCCTTTTAGTGGCTCTCTAAAGATATTGGGGGGATTGACCCATGCCTGGTCACAGGCCAGCACAAAAAGGCATTTATTTACCATGTCCAGGACTGCCAGGAACTTTAAAGCATGGCTGTAAGGACTTGGCATTAGATGCAGATACTGAATAAATACCAACTGCCCACCTCCTCCCCCACCCCCCCAAACACACACACACTCTCCTGCCCTTGGGGTTGATTGGAGTGTGATTTCTCCTGTCAGTTGTAAGAGACAGCTTTTCTCTTTTCTCCCCATGCTGCTGCTGCTGCAGACACCACCCTGCCTGGCCCCTCATCCACAGGAGAAGCTTGGAAGCAGGAGGGTGCAGCCATGCAGGGTGAACCCATTCCTTACAGCGAGATTTTCCTGACTAAAATAAGTGGTCAGAGCAGAGGCTCCTCTGATAGCAGCTCTGGCTAGGATGAGCCATCTGGAATTCAGGGAGTTGATTCCAAAAGAGAGAATCTCCTACATCTCAGGGAGGCACTGTACATGTTTTGAGCTTTCTGTTCAGCCTAAAGGCGGGTGAAACACACTTTTTCCCACCTTTCCCAGGGACCCAGCATCTTGGTGCACTCAGCACCCTGAGTCCTGCTTGGGGCTCAGTAGGGTAAGCAGAAACCCAAGGTCCCATGTACCCTTCACCACCAAAGGTTGATTGTAAAACAGATATAGCTAAAGGAGTCGGAGAGTGGAGGAAGACCTCCCATAATCAGTGACAGGCCCGGGTCCCAGAGACCACCTTCCCTGTCAAATGCCACTGAGGCTGCTGCTAATAAAATAAGAATTAATGTTACTTTGTGTTTATCTAGTCTTCCCTCTGAGGAGTATTAGGGCACTTTGGACATTCAGCTTCAGAGATGCTCAGTATTGTTACTCAAGAGAGGGATGTTGAGGTGCACAAAATCTGAGATCGCAGAGATTAGTGGCTCAGCCTGAGCTAGGACCCAGGCCTCCTAGCATCCACTGCAGGGAGACAGACAACATGAGCCCTTAGCCTCTGCTCAATGTCAAGGTTTCAGGAAATGTTTTTCCAAGGACATCTGAGGAAGGACCATAGGATAGAAGTGATTACAGGCCACTACCCCATCCCTCCATGACCACTGGAGGAAAATGAACTCTGCTTGTGCTGCTTCTTCATCTCCAGGGTAACCTATGAGGATCCTCAGGCTGTCGGAGGACTTGCTTCTGCACTAGACAATCGAAAACAGAGTTCAGAAGGGGTAGGTCTTTAACCCTGTTTTTCTGCCTGGAGTCTTCTGGAGGGAAAGTCAGGTGGTTTGGCAAAGCTGGCTGGGTAATTCAGCAGAAACTGGCTTGCACAGGGGGCAGGGACACCCTGGGGGAGAGACCCACGGGGGACACCCCGTGGAACCCAGGTAGTGCCTCATTGAGTCTTCACCTCACCCCGTGAGATGAGGCCACACATGAGCTTCCCAATCCACCCAAGAGAAAACAGTCCCAGGCAGGTGGGAGACAGGCTGAGACACCCAGAGAGCAGACAGCAAGCTGGGGTTCCAATCCTAGGATTAGTGTCCATTTCCAGAACCCCTGCTGTTCCTACCACAGTGGCCCCAAGTTCTCCAGGCACAAGTCTCCTATGGTCACCTGTTACAGTGCCACAGGGTGGTCAGTGCTCTGATAAAACCATGGCCTGCACCAGGAAGGACAATGCTGACCCGAGCCACATCTCTGATGGCCATTTGTCACTGGCCTAGCAGAGCAGTACCAACCCCATTAGAAGGCACTCGAGAGCCAGGGTTTGTTTACAGAGCTGGTGCAGTTGGGTGGTGGCTGGGAGGGTGTCCTGTGGCGGTGAGGGGGTGCGGCACAGTGAAGTGGAGGGAATGGTATGTGTTTGGGCCTCCCCAAACATAACCATGCTTTCTGTACAATTTCGGATTACTGAAGGGGAAAGAATGTGTGTCTTAATGCTTCTCATGAGATTTTTGTTTTTGCCTAACAAAGAAATGTGTATGAATGCACGTCTGTTTGCAGGGGCAGGGAGGAGGAGGGTCCTTGGAATAGCTGCCGACAACAGCTGGAACTCCTGTCTGGGTCCCCCAGCTGGGCTAGAGAGGGCAGTGATCATCTGTCCACTGGACAGGAAGGTTTGCAAAGGGCTGTTTGCTTACTGGGTCCCAATTTTTAGCCTTCTGAAGCCCCTGTCCAATGGGCCCAGGCAGGCAGCAGTGCTGGTTTCCACGGGATGCTCCTTCTTGGGGGAAGGGACTCACTCCCTCATCCATGCTGGTCTTCACCTGGTGGATCTGAGGGCATGCATCCCTCTGCACTGGTCACCAGAGGGCGCAGAAGAGCCAGCTGGCTGCCTTGGGTCCTCAGTGCCGTGCCTTTCCACAGGAGTGGGCAGTGCCACCTGAACCCCTGAGACTGGGACACTCAAAATCAATGCAGTGCTCATGGCTCTGATTCTCCCATTACTTAGAATGTCCTCCCACCTGCCCCAGCGTGGGCATTAGAGAGCCCAGCCAGGGGCCTACCAGGATACTGCCTGGTGAGGACATCCCCTCCTCGTGGCCAACCCTGGCCTGCACTGGGAGCAGCCCTGTTGTGCCCCTATGAGGCTGACCTCATTTGTCCCTCACTCTGGGTCCAGGACCTGCCTTGTCCATGCCAGGGTGTGTCCTGCTGCACCCCTGCCATTATCAGCGCCCAGGCCTGGGTCTGAGCCCAGGAGATGTGAGTGACTTCCCGCCCTTCACCCTTTGTGTGTGTGGCTTGGACTAGCTCCCTGTTTTCAAAGGTCCTGATGACTCCAGCAGGTTTTCCACCCAGCAGTAGGCAGATTGCTTTTTTTGAGATGGAGTCTCGCTCTGGCGCCCAGGTTGGGGTGCAGTGGCGCGATCTTGGCTCACTGCAGCTTTCCTCTCCCAGGTTCAAGCGATTGTCCTGCCTCAGCCTCCTGAGTAGCTGGTATTACAGGTGCCCACCACCACAGCCGGCTAATTTTTGTGTTTTTACTAGAGACAGGGTTTCACTATATTGGCCAGGTCGGTCTCGAACTCCTGACCTCAGGCACTCTGCCCGTCTTGGCCTCCCAAAGTGCCGGGATTACAGATGTGAGCCACCATGCCCGGCCATCAGATTGCTTTTCATGTTTGCTGCTCCATGGGGCAATGCCATGGCCACAGCCTTAGCGATACAGGGCAGCAGAGCATGTGGGCTGTGTGTGTCTGTGTGTGTCTACACATATTCTTGCCCACCTGCAGCATTTCAGGTTACCTTGTCCCATCCCAAGCCATGCTGACCTCGAAATGAAAACGAGGCCAAGGGAGAAATTAAGAACACAATAAAAAAGGGGAAGGCTGGGCACAGTGGCTCATGCCTGTAATCTCAGCACTTTGGGAGGCCGAGGCGGGCGGATCACGTGAGGTCGGAAGTTCGAGACCAGCCTGACCAACATGGAGAAACCCCATCTCTACTAAAAATACAAAATTAGCTGGGCATGGTGGCACATGCCTGTAATCCCAGCTACTCAGGAGGCTGGGGTAGGAGAATCGCTTGAACCCAAAGGCGGACGTTGCAGTGAGCCGACATCATGCCATTGCACTCGGGCCTGGGCAAGAAGAGTGAAACTCCGTCTCAAAAATAAATAAAATAAAATGAATGGGAGAAAATCGTGTAGCCGCACCTCTACAAATCAAATCCAACCAAGTCAGTCAAGAAAAGGTCATCCCAGGGCTGGGCGCAGTGGCTCACGCCTGTAATCCCAGCACTTTGGGAGGCCGAGGTGGGAGTTCAAGAACAGCCTGGCCAAGATGGTGAAACCCTGTCTCTAATAAAAATGCAAAAATTAGGGCCGGGCACAATGGCTCACGCCTGTAATCCCAGCACTTTGAGAGGCTGAGGTGGGTGGATCACGAGGTCAGGAGATTGAGACCGTCCTGGCCAACATGGTGAAACCCCATCTCTACTAAAAATACAAAAATTAGCTGGGCGTGGCAGCGCATGCTTGTAATCCCAGCTACTTGGGAGGCTGAGGCAGGCGAATTGCTTGAACCCAGGAGGTAGAGGTTGCAGTGAGCCAAGATCGTGCCACTGCATTCCAGCCTGGCGACAGAGCTAGACTCCATCTCAAAAAAACAGAAACAAAAATTAGCCAGGTGTGGTGGCAGGTACCTGTAATCCCAGCCACTTGGGAGGCTGAGACAGAGAATTGCTTGAATCCAGGAGGCGGAGGTTGCAGTGAGCCGAGATCGCACCACTGCACTCCAGGCTGGGTGACAGAGCAAGACTCCATCTCAAAAAGAGAAAAAGAAAAAGTCATTCTAGCTACTCAGGAGGCTGAGGCGGAAGGATCACTTGCGCCCAGGAGTTTTTGAGACCAGTCCGGGCAACACAGTGAGACCTCATCTCAAATAAATATTTTAAAAGGCAATAATACACCTAAATTTAGTATTCAAGAGTTTAGAAAAAGAATACACATGCCACTAGAAAAGAGAAAAAAAAAATGTAGGAAAAAGAAAAAAGTAGAATTGCTTTTGTAAAAGCTGGTTCTTTGAAAAGTTGACCCCCTCCCAACCCTGATAGCCGTAATTGAGAGAAGCGGCTCTGGTCAACCTTCTGTGATCTCCTGGAGATTTTCCAAGGGCACGGGAGTAGTTGGCATGAGTATGTGTTATCCTGTTGGGATTCTTGGTTACTAAACTTTTCTTCTTTTTTCCAGGCAGGTAAGGGGGACGTGCTGGGGTGGAGGTTGGGAGCAGGGCATCACATTTCCTTACGTGGCAAAGGATCACGTCTGAAGAGTGACTTTTCTGTTTCCACAATATGTGCTATTGACTTCTTTCTCATGGGTCTTGCTGTGACTTTTCTTTCTGAGACTTTTCTGTCCTCGGCCCAGAAGAGAGGTAGAGGTGGGGAGTCTGACCTGGAGCCCATAGACAGCTGGCTTATAACCCAAGGAATGGTGAGGAGTCACCAGCCGAGCCAAGCCTGCTGTCCACCCCAGCCCCTACCTGTGTAACAGCTCATGTCTTCCTCTTGTGACCTGCCGAGCCTTTGTGAATCAGACAGTACAAGGCCACACGCTTTCTTTCTGGCAGGGGTGCCAAATTTCCCCTCCTATTTTTGCATAATCTCTGTAAGCCACAGATTCCCAGTCCCAAAAATACCTCCCTGTCCCCAGGCCTTAAGAGTCTGGGACATTAGCAGGGATGAGGAGAGGGTCCTTTCCTTCCTTTTACTGTCTCCGGAGCTCCGAGCAGTATTCACTTTTCCAGGATGAGCACAAGTTACTGTGGCTTTTGCTTGGGAGGGAACAATTCTAAGGGAACAGACTCAAAGCATCTGACCAGTCAGGGAAGCCCTCTGTAGCCCAGTGCCTGTGAATTTGGCAGTCCTAGGCTTGACAGATTTTTATAATATAGTTGCTTATATCCACTAAGTCCGTCAAAATGATTTGAAACCTCTTGAAGAATACACAGGCCGGGTGCAGTGGCTCACGCCTGTAATCCCAGCACTTTGGGAGGCTGAGGCAGGCAGATCACGAGGTCAGGAGATCGAGACCCTTCTGGCCAACATGGTGAAACCCTGTCTCTACTAAAAATACAAAAATTAGCTGGGTGTGGTGGCATGTGCCTGTAATCCCAACTACTTGGGAGGCTGAAGCAGGAGAATCGCTTGAACCTGGGAGGCAGAGATTGTAGTGAGCTGAGATTGCACCACTGCACTCCAGCCTGGTGATAGAGTGAGACTCCCTCTCAAAAAAATAAAAAAATAAACACAGTAGAAACAGAGTAAAAAGAAAACAAAGCCCAGGGGAGTTCAATGTTGTAAACACAGTTGGTTCTCATGTAGCAGAGCTTTCCTGGCCCACAGACCTGCAAGGGTCTCTCCTGCCTTGTCTGTTCAGGTGGCCTGAGCCTGGTGCATGGAGAGAGGGTCAGCTCATCTCAGGCTGTATGTCTTGGGATGACCATTTCACCTCTAGCAGAGCCCAAAGCTGTGGTACATGTGATGGAGCCTGAGCTGGAGAGAATGCAGAGAAGGAAAGATGATGAAAGCAGTGCAAACATGTGCCTCTCCCTCCAGGTGGGGTGGGGTGAGAGGAATACATAACTGCCCATAGTGTGCTATGCTAGGCTGTGGCCAGAGGAAAGGCCAGCAGGTCCTAGACTGCAAGCAGCACAGGGTCCACCTGCTTGAGCAAAGCGTGACCAGTGAGTAGGAACTTGGGCCATGCAGGATCACCCAGAGCCGTGGGAGCAAGGGGCATCTGCCTGCCACCCAGCTTGGGCTGGTGCCCTCTGCACAGCTCTGCTGTCAGCCTGGGCAGGTCTCCTGCCACCTCTCATAGTAGCAGCATACTGCTGCTCTGCGTGAGAAGGCAGTTCCTCCACTAGACCCCAAGCCCATTCTTAGAGAGATGTGCTGGCCCAGGCCTCTCATTTGCTTCTTCAGGGACAGGCTGGCCTCTGGCCCACATGTCAGGGGCCTTTGCAGCAGGGCTTCTGGAAACCATGTCCATTCATTGGGAAGATCCAGCCCACATGCCCTTGTGCCTATTAATCCTGCAAAAAAGGATACTGCCCACACAAACTCCCCTGAGGGTGGCCTTGGCAGCTGGTGGTGGTGCCTGTCTCTGCCCACACAGACTGCCTCGCCACTGCCAGGTCCCACGTAGAGCTCCAGTCTCTAACTTCCCAGAAACAAACCTAACTAACAGCTAACCTGGTGTCTTGCCTGACTGACTGCAGTTTGTTTTTTTTTTTTTCTTTACAACAAATATTAATTGCTTTGCCTTATTTCCCATAGTGTAGAAACCTTGAGTCTTTTCAAGCCTCCTGAGTACAAATTCTTTACTTGGAAACTTTTTGTACTATTGAGTGAGATCAAAGGCTTTTAGACTTGGTCCCAGTGGGGTGGTGCTTGAAGTGACATAGGAAGGGATTCACAGCTTCTCTGGAAATAGTACACCTGAGCTACAGAAATTGTTCTTGTTACATTGAAAACTGGACAGGTGGGTTTCCTTGTGGGCATGGGGCTGTGGGAAGCTGCAGAGGAGCATCTGTTGGAACCCTTATGCTCCTGGGACTCAGGTGTGTGGATAGCCAACACAGAAGTTAACTGACACCACCAGGCTTATTACTGGTTGAAGAGAAATGAGACTTGTCAATGGGCTAGGGCCGGGCGGCTCTCAGGGAGACTGCTAGGCTTGTGCTCTCCCTCCCTGGCCTCTCTAGTGTGAGGTCTTTTTGCCTCTCTTGGCTGGTGATCAGCTAGGGGTGTCTCCCTTTTGCAGGGTGCAGCCAGGAAAATATCCTCATGTGAGAGAATCTAAGTCAAAACAAGAACAGAGGTAGGTTAGTAAAGAATGCTGCTGCCAAAACCCAGGCTTGGGTTTGGAGGGCGGGACTCCCTCCTCAGACCTGGAGGCCCCCAAGGCTCTTACTCTGGAAGGATAATCCTAACCCCTGGAGTACCAGACAGACATGCCTCTCCCCCTTGGGCAGGCAACCCTCCCTCCTGATCCCTGAGGCAGAGCTGCCCCTGCCTGCAGTTCCAAGTGAGAATCAGCTGACAGCAGGATGGCTCACCTGCCACTCAGATCAAAACCTGTGGCTTCTGACATCCAAGATGTCTGTGGACTTTGAAAATGGGCAGGGCTGGTCTAACCACTGCCTCAGCCAAGCCAGCCTGGCCTACCTATCTTCAGAGGGGCTGAGCTTCAGGCAGCAGTCTCTATTGGAGGGCATTCCTCTGCTAGCTTCCTTCCTTTTCTCTCTTCACATGTCTTCTTCCTTTCTGTCCCTCTCTTCCAACTCATACGCTTCTTCAGATCCCTCAGACCAGCCTTCAGCTTGGATCATTGCCCAAGAAAATGCTGAAACTATGGCATGTCAGGCTGGGTGCAGTGGCTCACATCTGTAATCCCAGCACTTTGGGAGGCCAAGCTGGGCAGATCATTTGAGGCCAGGAGTTTGAGATCAGCCTGGCCAACATGGCAAAACCCTGTCTCTACTAAAAATACAAAAAAAAAAAAAATTAGGCAGGTGTGGTGGCTCACGCCTGTAATCCCAGCTACTCAGGAGGCTGAGGCACAAGGATTATCTGAACCTGGGAAGCAGAGGTCGCAGTGAGCTGAGATCGCACCACTGCACACCAGCCTGGGCAACAGAGCAAGACTCTGTCTCTAAATAAATTAATTAATTAAATAAATAACTAAATAAATAAATAAAAATAAAAATAAAACTATGACACATCAGAGCCAACAGCCTTCTTAGGAATCTGCTGGGCCAGCCCCTAGTCTGACAGATGAGGATACCGAGGCCTCCTAAGGGCCTGGTGTCTTGCCCAAAGCTGCAGGGAAGAAACAGAGTCCCCTAAGACTCAGCGCAGTGCCCCCTGCTCCAACCAGGGCCCCACTTCCCTCCCATCAGCCTGACAAGGAGCGCGTCCTCGGCCTCCCACAGTTTCTTTGGTTCATATTTTCCAAGCAGTGTACATGTTTAGTCTGAGTCTGATAGCACCTACATTATTAGAAGGAACTTTGCCCTGTTATAATACTCAAGGCATTTATTTACCAGGACAAGAGGTTTAGATAGCTAAGGTTTTGTGTCTGGCCACAAGAAAGTCAATTTAAGCTTACGTTATATAAGCTTAACTGTTAACCATCACCCTGCTCCACCATGGTTCACGCCCTGAGGCCAAGTGGCTTCTATATTGTAATGAGTCAGTTTCCATAATTTCTGACATCCCTGGGTTTCTGAATTAGAAAACAGAAGCACCAACCTGAAAGTTAAGGTTTCTGAGTCATAAGAATTGAAAGCCAAATACAATCTAGCAATCGCCTTATTTCACAGATGAGGAAATTGAGGCCAAGCATTGCTCAGGCCTCTGTCCCCTGCTCCTGCCTCTCCACCCAAATCTCTAAGGCTTCTTAGGATAGAAGAAACTCAGGAGCTCTCCGGTGAAGAAAGTGGGGTCCAGAGAGGAGCGACTCACCCCAGGTCCTGCCACCAGTGAGTGTGAGGGCCCAGATGGACCCCACCCAGTGCACTCTCCTCAGCGTGCCCTCTAGGGCTTGGTCTGGAGGATGCCATTCCATAAACATACTACTTATTTGGAAAAATCTAGGACATGGAAGAAAAGGGTTCCCATGAGCCAGCTTTTGGGAAGTTATTTTTGAGGAGGTGAGGAATTTCTTAAGTGTCATTGTTTATTTTCTGAGCATGTTGGCTCTCAAGATTTATCCCCAAAGAAGAAAATTAAAGTATGACCCCAGGCCTCAAGGGATTTGTTCTTTAGCAGCAACAAAACAATTACAAGAAAAATCTGAAGGTTTAAGGCCCCTGACCCCTTAATGTCTTTGTTGTAGCTTTTGCAACACATTGGAAAGCTCAGGACATCTAGTCTGTTTCTGCTAAGTGGACAAAAGCTGGTCAGGTGTAAAGAAAGGGCTGGTGCACACTCTAACCGCTAGTGTGGGACTATTTTCTCTCTGGAGATGCTGCTGACTTTCTAAGCTTCAGTTTTGGGGACTCAGCATGGCATGCGTCCTCCCAGAGGCCACACATTCTGACTTACAGTCATTGAGAGCATGATAACTGGTGTGTCCTGTTCCAGGAATGTCTCAAGGCAGAAGGCCTGCCAGCAAGCACAGAGTAGCAGTGTACCCTACTGCCTTTTGATGGGCAAGGGCAAGGAAGTGCCAGCCTTAGGCATTGTTAACACATCTGTCAGTCATTTGTGCGTCCATCCCCCCAGTGAGGACCCACATGCCTCCTGTCCCTAGGTTTCATGTCTGGGTGATAAGACTCCCTGATACCTTTTCAATTCAATGTTCTTTTTTTTTTTTTTTTTTTTTTTTTTAGACAGAGTTTCAGTCTTGTTGCCCAGGGTGGAGTGCAATGGCGTGATCTCGGCTCACTGCAACCTCTGCCTCCCAGGTTCAAGTGATTCTCCTGCCTCAGCCTCCCCAGTAGCTGGGACTACAGGCGCATACCACCACACCCAACTAATTTTGTATTTTTAGTAGAGACTGGGTTTCTCCCTGTTGGTCAGGCTGGTCTCAAACTCTTGACCTCAGGTGATCTGCCCGCCTCGGCCTCCCAAAGTGCTGGGATTACAGGCATGAGCCACCGTGCCCTGCTCAATTCAACATTCTTAACTCCCCAGTAAGTCAAAGAAATAATGAGCAACACAGACTCTTCCTAATCTGATCAGTGACTGGCTTGGGCCTTTCTGAAAGTGCTCTTGTGGGCTTCCCACATTGGGTCCGAAGTTAGGACACAGAGCACATTCCTCAGAGCAAGGGGCCAGCTGAGCTCACTGAGGGAGTGAAGAGCTCTGGTGGCATCGTAGATACCTGCTCAGAGTGCTGGACTCTACCTGGGACCCCAAACCACCCTCCCCCACCATCAGCAGCAGGTGTCAACCCCCAGGACTGGAGTTGTCACATCACTGCTGGTGATATGTGTTCTTTGTTCTTTTTCTTTGTGAAGGTCGTGTTATTTTTTACATTTGATAGACACTGGGGTATGCATTCCTTTTACTGCTTATTTTTACTTTAGTCTTACCCTAGATCATGGCATTGGGTGAAGCCAGCTATAGACAGAGCTGGCATTTTTGTAATAGAAATAGGGGTCTTGCAAGTGAGCCCCGGAAGGGTACCTCCCAGAGCCAGGGTAGGTGAGGAGGTGATTAAGGGTCATCACCTCATTTCTCTAGGCTGGGAGCCAACATTCCATTAACATGGCTTCTAGGGAGCTTCTTATCATGTCATATTTGATGGCAACTTAAACCTTTTTAGCCATGTGCATTTTTCAGAGTCTCTGTCCCTGAGGTGCTTGGCACAGGGGCCCAAGCAAGGTGACTGCTCAGGCAACCCCGTGGTACACCTTAGTATGCCTGGAAGCTGTCACCTCCCTGGCTCTGGCTGCTGCGCCCCAGTGCTCAGCTGAACTTGGTTTCTTTGACTCCTGAAGCACAGCCAGCCATTGAACACAGGGAAGAAAGGACGAGACTAAAGGGAGCTGTTGCTTTCAGGGCTGCTTCATGAATTTCCCCTAAAGAGACACAAAGAAGACTAAAGCCCCATAGTCCCCTTTGTCATCAGAGCCCTCGTTTTTGCTGTGTTTCTGTTGATGGTAAAATGTGCCTGCCTCTGTCTACCAGGCCACACCCAGCCCAGCGGAGCACGCACCTCCTCCAGTTCCCCTCTCCACTCAGAAATGCACCAGGACGCATTTCAAAATCTCTTCAGCGGAGCAAACAGACCCCCTGCATCCCCCCGGGGCTGGTGCTGCCCTGCCCTCTGAGCACCTGTACCCCGCTCTGGGCAGGCTGTCACTTGGCCTTCCCTGGGTTGGGCTTGACAGCGGACTGTCATAGTGGCTGAGTTCAAAATCAGCCTGCGTGGCAGCGCCTTCCTGAAGTTAGAAGGTGTTTTGCAGCCCCGGGCTGAGAGGCCCCGCAATGTGAGAGTGGACACTCATAGTCAAAAAGTTCTCCATTTCAAGAACGCGTACAGCCACCTTCCTTACCGCCGGCCCTGCCGGGAGCCTGCTTCTTATCATTTGCACCTCATTGCTTTCCTCACCTGCCATCTCACACGTGGCTGCCCTGTGTTGCCCCTGTGTGCTGTGCCAATTGTGTTTTTTTGCTCTGTGTACATTTTGGTTTTATTTGGGGTTGCTGTTGATGATTTCCTTTGTTCCGGTGTTCTGTCTCCCCTCGCTGGCTGTGTGGGGGCTGCCTGGCCCGCTGCTTGCCGCCTCCATAGATCCCCGTTGCGCAGCCATCTGTCATGGACGACATTGAGGTGTGGCTCAGGACCGACCTGGTGAGACTCGACTTTTCTATTTCATCTGTGGGGTGTGGAGCGGCAGAGGCTCTTCTGAGGACAGGCCTTGGGGGAGCATCAGCAGGGGCTCCACCCCTGTCTGGGTCAGTGGAGAAGGGAGGTCTGGGCAAGCTCCATAGCTGCCCCTCCTCCCCGACATCAGCCCATAGCTGTGGGTGCTGCAGTGGCCTCCCGGCCTGCGGAGGCCAACTGTGCTGGGGGCAAGGCCTTGGGCACAGCCTCCTTCACCCACACAGTCCTAGCCGTAGCTGGCTCCAAAACACACACTTGCCTTCCCCCCAGTATCTTTTCCATTTCAGATGTATGTGCCGTGCTTTGGTTTTTTGGGGGAGGGAGTGTTGGGGGAGCATGTTTTTTGTTTTGTTTTGTTTTGTTTTCATTTCTTTTTTTTTTAATTGTGAAGTATACACACAGTGCTTTTGTTTTTAATTGGCTGTCATCCCCCTCCTCCCTTCCTGATTTTTGATGTAAAAGAACCCCTGCCCCAAAGACCCATTGTCTCCATCCTCAGAGATAGGGCTAGAAGATGAGGATACTATGCATCTGAAAATGGCAACAGGTCCCAAGAAAGGAGAGCTGCAGTGGCTGCATGTGATAACTGCTGGCCCCTCCCTCTGTTCTTTACAAAGCACTTTCACTCTCAGCAGCCCAGTAGGGGGCCAGGGTGGCGGATGAAGAAGTGCACTCTGGGAAGTGGCTTGCCCAGAGTCATGGGGTAGTTGGATTCTCCCCCAGAGCTGGAGACACCTCATCTCCCTCCTAGGTGCCTCCTCTGTAGGGGGCCTTGTCCCCAGGCAGAAGAGCCTGTTGAGTTCTTTAACCACAGGGTCAGCCTGGCTGTCTGTGGGCTGGTGACCTGGCTACCTCCCACACCAGGACAGCAGGCCTCAGGTTGGGGCCTCTGGCTGCTCTGGGCCTCCTCCCCAGAAGGTCAGCTTTCCAAACACATGCCTTGCCAAAGAAGGCAGCTGCCTGGGTGTCAGGGAGGAAGAACACACCCCGGGACATCTTTCCCAAGGGGCTGTCTCGAAAAGAAATTGCTTCTCTCACAGAAGCAAGGCAGGAAGGACCAAGGTCCTTAACTTCTAAGGGGGACCCCAGGGTCCAGACAGGGAGGGGATGTGTCCAGTAAGGCTACATAGCAGGTCAGTGGTAGAGTCAGGAAGGAACCCAGGTCTCCTAGCCCAGCCCAGGGCTTTGTCACTTCCCCATCCTGCCCCTTCCCAATGAGGCCCTGCACATGCTGCTCTTCCCCAGTCCCCAGGGAACCCCATGAGCTCAAGACACTACCATGTTCTCCAAACAAAATCAAGTCTGATGCACTTTAATTTTTGAGTGCACAGAGCCTCCATGGCTCCTTGAGGAGCCAGCAGCAGATAATATAATCTGGGCCACGGGAGGAGGCTGGTGCAGCTCCCAGGAGGCTGCAGGACATGGCTTCTGGAGGCACAGCCTCCACTCCCAAAGTACCTACTGAGTGACAGGCCCTGTGCTGTGGGCTTTGTGGCCCTGAGCCATCAAGGCCTCATGCGGTTTCCAGCTATTGGTGTCAACAGCGTCTTCCCAGAAACCCTGTGGCTGGCAGTGAGTGGGTGTTGTGTTGGGCACACGTGACCCTGTGTGTGCTCAGGCTCAGCCCCCTGTGGCTACTGCTCTGTGCCTCTCCCTAGAGCCTCAAGAGTGCCAAAGGTGGGGTCCCGCCCTCTGCAGCCCAGGCTGGAGAACCAGCCTGCACCGTTTTTGGAGTTTTCTTTCCAGCCTTTCTGGAGGATCAAAACCTAAAACATGTTTGAATTTTTTGCTTTTGTTTTTTAAAAACAAAGCTTCTGTTTCTCCAATAAGAAGAGCAGTATTTTACTATTACAGAAATCTGGAAACAGGGAAAATTAGGAAGTTTTGTTCAGGCTACCCTGGGCAGTGCTGTCCTAGGGTGGCCATGGGCAGACAGAGGTGGCTGGGCGGGCAGTGCTTGGACCAGTGCCCTAATTTCATTTTCTCTGCTCCTCCCACAGAAGGGTGATGATCTGGAGGAGGGTGTCACAAGTGAAGGTATGGCCTGGCCAGTGGCCTTACAGCCCCCTTTTGTTGCCTCTGTGCAGGCTGCACAGGAGCCAGCCCCCATCATCTTGGAGCCCCCGCTGCCAGAGCACCTACTGGTGCCAGGCCCTGAGCCATGGGCTTCACGGGTGGCTTTGTCCCACCCAGGTCTTACGCTGATTTGGGAAGTGTGATTTATCTCGCTTATTGGGAAACAGGTCAGAAAGAACATGTCAATTCCACAAAGTTGCAGAGCTGGTGAATAGCGGGTGCAGATTGCCACCTGGTCCTGACCCACAGGTGCTCAGCCCAGCTCAGACACGCAGTTTGTGGAGGTGCGCAGCAGCACCCTTGGGCCACTGAGCCAGAAGGGAGGAGCCTCTCCTGGGCCTCAGCTGATGGGCTGGATGGGAGCAGCGGGGTCTTAGTTCTCCCACATGGCCACCCCCACATCCCCTGCCCTTCACATCCTGCCTCCCCAAGCTCATCTTGCCCCACTCCATCTGCCTCTCCGTGCTCCTGTCCTCCTCTCCCCAGGTCTGCCAGACCCTGTGGCCAGACCGCTCCGCAGGGAGGGAAACTTCAGAGGACCCTGCTCCCTAGCTCTCAGTGCCCATAGAAATGGGGCACTCCCCCCTCCCCACTGCATTCCTCAGCATCTCCTCAGTCCTCCATTGGTGGGCAAGGGTGGGGTAGGTGGGATGGTTCCTGCCTGTTTAATCAGAAGCTGGCCCCTCCAGCTTACCCTGCCCCACCCCCAGTGCTGATCTGGAAAATGGACAAAACCCAGTGCTGATCTGGAAAATGGTCAGCGGTAGGGTGAGCACTCTGGGCTGTGTTTTCCAGAGCCTTTCCCTCCAGGGCAGGAGGACTGGGCACAGCCAGGAGCCTCCCCCCACACTGCAGCTCACGAACCCCTCCCTACCCACCTGCTCCTAGGTGGGCTTCATGCCTGCCCTAGAGGAGGAAACGGGCTGGGGAGTGGAAGGGTGCGCTTCCTCTGGTGGCCTGCCCTCACCAACCCTGACCCTTGCCTTGGTTTGTATTGCAGAGTTTGATAAATTCCTTGAAGAAAGAGCCAAAGCTGCTGAAATGGTTCCCGACCTCCCCTCGCCCCCCATGGAGGCTCCTGCCCCAGCCTCAAACCCTTCTGGCCGGAAGAAGCCAGAGCGGTCAGAGGATGCCCTCTTCGCCCTGTGAGCAGCTCTGTGGTTTGCCTCCCCAGATGGCGGGTCCCCGCTCGCACCCCGTGGACACCGGGCACTGGCCACTCCTACATCCCCAGCTCCACACGGCCTGCACACCTGTGTTTCCATGGAAATGCCACCGTGTCTGCTCCCAGGCCTCCCACTAGTCAGGACCAGCTTCAGCCACTTCTTTTCTCTGAGTGGTGGGACAACTGCAGCCAGAGACTCTCTCCCCTCCCACCATGGGCCCCTCTGCCCATGTTTCCTCCCAGGAAGAGCGGGCAGAGTGGCCCAGCCCCAGGCAGTGCTTCCTGAGCAGACCACCCGGACTGTCTTTCCTCCACCCGCCCATGGAGAAAGAGCACGCCCGGCCCCGCCCTGTGCTCACCTCTGCCTGGCTCAGCGACCTTCTCAGGCATTCTGCCCTCCTGGGCCCCTCTCTCCCTGAAGGGGCTTTGTGGCATCTCTGGAAGAGCAGGGTGTGCTGCACTCATGGGCCTGGTCTCACTCCTTGGACTTGTCACCTTGTGACATTTGGCTTATCAGCATTTGAGAAGGCTCTGCTGGGTCTCCATGGTGGGGGTCTCTCACCTTCTTGACCCTCTCTCCATCATTCAGCTGCCAGCCCAGGCTTCACACCCAAGCTGGCTCAGCAGCCGAGCCTGGCACCGAGGGTCCCTGCAGGCTCCCTGGGCAGGGAGAGGGCCAAGGACAATTGGGAGGGCAGCAGGCAGCCCGCAGATGGTGGCCATGTGGCACGCTGCTGAGACGACACTACCAATAAACCAAACTGCCACGCACACACTGCAGGCTCACACCCGCACACCTGGTCCTGGCTTGTGGAGGGACTTGCACTGGAGGTATTGCTCTGGCTTGCCTGGGGAAGTGTCACAGATGTGCACATGGGCCACACTCAGTGCTGTGGCCTGGCCTGCCGTAGCCTCACACATCTGCCTCAAGAGCCAGCAGCAAACAGCTTTGTGGCATCCTTGGAGGTTCCCAGTGACTGAGAGGCCTGGGCAGCACTAAGGCCCCTGCTCTGCTCCCTGGCATAGGCCTTGGCCTCCTTGCACAGACTCTCCTGACAGTCTGGCCTCCTCCCACCTCAGAGGTCCTCTGGCCACCAATTTATACTCTCTCCCCAAGCTGATCCTGAAGGCAGGCAGAGCAGCTAGGGGCTGGTAACATGTATTCCCATCCCGTGTCCTCACTGGTGTGTCTCCTGGCCATGGGCAAGGGACTCGGGTCATCCCAGGCCCTGGTCCAGCCAGACACCTGGCCCCACACCTCCCACCAGGCTGCTGTTGCTCAGAAGGAGAATACTGCAGCTGTATGCATCCCCGTGTGTCTTGGGCCCAGCTCGCTGGGTCAGTCTGCTCCTGTCCCCTCCAGCATGCACTGCCTAGGTCAGCACAGGTTCCTGATCCATGGTGTAGTTAGCCCTTCCCACCTGGCAGGACGGCCCAGACCACCAGCCAAGCAGGGAAAGGGGGCTGGGCTTGACGGGAGAAGAGACCAGCGACATGGTCGTTGGGGAGCATTCAGGATGGCGACTTCAGCTGGGGGTCATGCTGAGCACCAACAGGAACTATTCCAGTGAAGAGCAAGTGCTGCCCGACCCAGGACCCTGTGCCAGGCTAGCAGCCCTCCAGCTCCCTCCAGAGAGGAAACCTCTGTCTGGCTGAGGGTGGGACTAGCTGGGATGTCTCACTCCAGTTGCTCAGGTTCACCCAGGAAGCTCCTCCGTGGAGTGGCCAGCCTGATTCTAGCCCTGTCCTCTCTGGCAGCACATGCCACACCTGCCTGGGCCTTCTGCTCCCTGATGCTTGATGAGCCCCTGCCTCCTCAATGTTTCTCAAAGACAGACCCCCCTGAGGCCAGCTTGAATGTGAAGACTGCTGAAGTTAGCTGGCTTCACTTGAGCTGCAGAAAAGGTGGCTGGGATGGCCCAGGTGCACCCAGAGGCCCCAGCCCTTTGGCTGCCTTTGGGTTGTGACTTGGGTTGTCTCTGAGGCCCTGCCAGAGCTGGGCCTGCGGGTGGTGGGCGGTCCGACCTCGGGCAGTCAGTGCTCCGCAGCCTCAGCACTGCATCCCAGACCCAGTGTCCTCAGAGGGAAGAGCCAGCCTCCCTGCCTCATGGAACCAGGAGTCCCAAAAAGTCAGGAGCCTGGAGGCTCTGAAAGGAGCAGGGATTCCATAGTGCGTGAAGCTGAAATAGGCGCCCTCCTGGGGAGCCCCCAGCAAAACTGTTTTTCATACCCACTCCCAGAACTGCCCCGCTCCAGCTCCAGCGCCAGCGCCAGCTGGTTGCCAGGCATCATTGGAGAGGCCTGGCTGCCCCAGGGGCAGCAGGGAGTGGTGGACCTGTATGGGCTGGCAGGAGGCCATTGGCCATGCTGACAAGTGTCACCTGCCTTCCTAGCCTGGAGCCACCCCTCAGGTGGCCTGCTTGCACCTCCTATCCGGAGGTAGCCTGCCCCACCTGTAGGCAGAGGGGGCTCTTGCTTGAGGCCTGCACAGGAAGCAAGTATAGCCCCGGTGCCCCAGAGTGGGTTCCACTTAGCCCTGGCGAGATGGCCTGTCCTGAGATCTCTGCTCCCAGACCCCACCATCTGGGGAGCACAGTCCTTAGGCTGCCTGGTCCAGGAAGGGGGTGCGGCTCTGTCAGGAAACCTGGACTCTCAAGGCCCACCAGCCTCTCCGTGAGTGTTAGAAATCACAGATACAGTATATACTTAATTACACTAAATTATTGCTGGGATTCCTTATAAGCACTAATTATACCTGATTATAGGTTAAAATATTTATTTTGTCAAAATATTTTCTTGGGAATGTGTTTAACCCTTTCTGCGTTCATTGTTGCTGAGATGTGAAAACTAACCATTCCCTCCTGCCTACCTTTTTGGCCACTGGGCGGCAGAGAATGGCGCTATGTGCAGTTGGGCCCCTGGCACCATGGGCCTTTGGCCTGCCTGCTGCAGAGTAGCCCTGCCTGGGCAGTCTCCAGGCACTGAGCAGGCCATCTGTGGCCAGGCTGAGAGAATGACTGGCTCGCTTACCAGCGTGCATGGGACAAGGAGCTTTGGAGCCTCAAGGGGTTGTTGCTGGCCTGGGCTAGAGGGAAAGGTGACCATCCGTCTGTCCTCCTGTCTTTCTATTAGCGCCTCCATGTGAGTGATGGTGCCTTGGTTCACTAGCCTTCCCCCACCACCCCACCATGCCACCTGGTGGTCTTGGGGCCTGTGCTGTCACTCCAGCCCCTGGGGAGGAGAGGACCCAGCCCGGAGAGTTGGGGCAAGGGCTCCACATGGCCCAAGGGCAACAGATGCTCGCAGGGCAGCTGCTGCCGATGCTCACGCTCCTGCCCCCCTCCTTCCCGCTGCCACACCCCACCCTGGGCCCCCGCAGACACGCATCTCTAACTCAGTTGGGCCCAGCCTTCTGGATGGCTTGGGGTAGGCCATGGGCCCACCTGGGGCCAGGCCAGCCCCTGGGGCAGCTCTGGAAGAGCAGTGTGGAGGAGCACTTGCTTGCAGCCTGGCTTCAGCCTCTGGCACTGCTGGAGTGGTCCCTGGGAGCTTCTGCACTGTCGGCTTTGGGGACGTCTCACCCACTTGGGTTACAGTAGGCCTTCCCCACCCAGAGAGAAGTGTTTCCACCCCAGAGACATTGTCTGTCAGCCCCTGAAGTGCTCGCCTCCCCCAGTGCCCGTCACCAGCCCTTCCTATCTGTGGGGTCCAAGTCAGGCTTCCCCTGCGGCCACCAGCCATAGGGAGCAGCCATCAGCCCCCGAGTCAGAACTGCTTCTGTCTGTCCATACCTCCAGGCTCTCCCGGAGAGGGGGACGGATATTTATTTCCTAAAGTTTGCACTTAATTGTGAGGATTCTCAGGATTGTTGGGGGCTACTGAAAAGAGGAATGTGTTGAATGTCGCGTTTGCTGTCCACTCGTCCTAGAAGTTTAGTGTTTTTGTCACTGTCATGTGTTTCTGTGGGCAGAGCTGGTTCTGGAGGGTGGGTCAGTGCACCCGAGGCTCAGAGCATCCATCCACCCCACTGGCCCTCCTTCCAGATACCCTCTCTCTAATTGGGTTCTTGCATGTAAAATACTCCACAATAAATAAATAATTGAACAAATTATGCCTGTGTGGTCTGTTGAATTGGCTACGACTGTCCAAAGGGCTTGCCAGTTTTGACCACCTGCTTTATTTAAGCAGGGGTGGCCATGGGGACCCTCAGTCCACCCTTCCCCAGTGGCCAGGCTGCCTGAGCAGCCCCTTACCTGGCCAGGAAAATTCCTGTGCGTGGCCCAGGTTGTGACATCGGTGGGAGTGGCTGTAAGCCTGCTACAACCTGCCTGAGAGCTCTAGGACCAAGTGCTGTGGTTGTTCCTAGGTCTCACCCCAGGTCCCAGATGGGCAGGAGGAGGCCACTCACCCTTGCCCAGGGCACCCAGGCCTTGAGCAAGCAGGCCTGAGCCACCCCTGACCCCCTCTAAGCCCCAGCCCCCACCCTCGGCTGGACTCCCACAGCTTGGCTGGGCATCATCTGCAGAGCCTGTGCTGGGCACTGAATTTGAGAACTGCTGCTCCAAGCCAGGTAGACTTCACACTTTGTTAACAGTTTTACTGAGATATAATTCACATAGCATACAATTTACCCATTTAAAGTGTACAATTAAGTAGTCTTCAGAATATCCATAGAGTTGGGCAATCATCACCGCAACCAAATTTAGAACATTTTTATTCCCCCCAAAAGAAACCTGTCTCCTCCCATCCCCACAGCCTGCTCTCCCTTTCTAAAAAGGCTTCCTTCCCCCTCTCCCCTTGTCCTGGAGGTGGGCACCTGCAGCCCTTTGTTGTAAGGTAGCTGTCCTCCTGGAAGCAGGCCCCTCAGGCCCAGAGGCATAGGGGGTCATGAGGGGTGCATTGTGGGAGCCTGTGGGAACTGTGCCTTCTCCAAGTGGCTTGGGAGGCCGAGGGCCCTTTAATCCCTTCGCTGGGGCTTAAGGACAGACCTCAAGTCAGGGTGGACTCACCAAACCCCCGATGAACCTGGAGATCTTCCCAAACTCTTGCTGTGCCAGTGAAGACATGGAGGACTAGAAAGAGCTGTAGGCTTGCCCCAGGCTGCACAGGGAGTAGTGGCAGAACCAGTACCCAACCCAGAGCCAGACCTCCCAGACAGGTCCATGAAGTGGGCAGGAAAGACACCACTTCCATGGCCAGCAGATAAAGCTGCCCCACCTACCCTGAACAGCAGCCCTTCTGGGAGCGTGGCTCAGGAGGGGCTCTCCTGCCCACTGATAGGAGTCAGGTCACGGCAGGGGCCGTGTTGGGACCACCGCCATCACCAGTCGTAGCCAGAAGGGGCGGCACCCAGCTACCTCTGGCCAGTTGCCTCCCTGGGCTCCAGGGAGCTCTGCAGAGCCCTGTTTCTGACCAGTTGGAGTGAGATAAAGGTTCCCACACCCAGGGGAGAAGGGGAGTGGGCTCCTGAAGTGGGGGTGGGGGGCTGCAAACCCAGGTCCCTTTAAACAGATAGCATAGATCCTGGCTCATTATGTGCCCCCAGCACTGTACCAGGCAATGTGGGCACTGAAAGAGGCCTGAGCTCTGTCCCTACCCTGTGGAGAGTAGATTGGTGCTGAGACACTACTGTGGACTCACCAGGACACCTAGGCCACTTGTGCTTTCAGCAGTGTTCCTGAGAGCCTGCTGTGTGCCAGGCTGGTGCCAGAGGGGAGGGACAGGGCTGCTCCAGTCCTGCCCTTGGGGAATGTGCAGCCTGGTTCTATTCCCAGAGTCAAGGACACTCTGCAGCCAGTTAAGTGTTGTAGCTCTCTTCCAGGGCCTGCAGGAGAGGAGGCTCTGAGCACATAGCTGAGCCCCAGGGCACTCAAGCTGCACACTTGAGGGAAGCATTGTGGGAGCCTGTGGTTTTTCCAAGAAAAAGGTCTCCTTTGGGTCCTGGGGGCAGCGGGAGGGCAGAACCTGAGGCCTTGGACAGGTCTGCATGACCCACCCAGAAATGCCATCAGTTTATTTTACAGGAGTCCCTGTCAGAGCTTTTGGGGCAGACCTCAGAGGAGTCTGTCCAGGGCCTCCAAGCCCAGGCCCTCAACATTCCAGGACGCAAAATCTCTACTCTCAGCACTAGGGAGTAAGTAGGATGCTTCCGGAAATTGAGTGGACTCCATTGTCTGGTGCCATTTCCTGTCCACCCCATTCCTCCCTAGGGTTGCAGGCTTAACTGTAGGTGTTGGGTAAGTCACTGTCTCACTCTGTTCTTTACTCTCCTGATCGGTAAACTGGTGTAGTGGGTGGTAAACCCAATGCCCACAGGGGCCTTATTACATTGATTTCCTCACTCTCCCTGTTGCCGGCTAGACTCACCCCATTCAATATGCAATTGGCCTCTCCTCAAACAGCCAGTTACCCCCCAGGGAACAGGTATCAGTCTTCCTCAGCCTTTGTGAGCTACACCCCTCACTGTGCAGCAATCTTTGGGGTTCAAGTAGCTCTTTGGTAGAGGGTGTGTTCAGTGACTCATGATAAGCCTGCAGGTGCCCACATGGGTGTGAGCCTCCAGGGGCAAAGCTGGCCATGGAGGCTCAGAGAGGGCTGGAAAGAACTCGCCCAGCTCACCACAGAGCCCAAGCTGGAATGAGACCACGAGCGTCATCTAGGACCAGAATCACCCATGTCAACAGTCATCTGACCCCATTATATACAGATGGAGAAGTGGGGGAGGGGAGACTCAGGCTCTGAGCAGTCTCTTCCCACAGCCTGGCCCCTCTGCCATAACCTGGGCAGGTCCCAGCTTGGCTCCCACAGCAGTGAAGGATATGCAGGGCCAGGCAGGGGGGCAGGGGGGCAGGGGGGCTCTGGGAGTGGGGAGGGGTTTCAGTAGCCTAGGCAATGGCTAGAGTGGACAACCCAGTTTTCCTGCCCAGTGCCTGCCCTGCCATCCACGGCTGAGCTCCGGGCACCGAGGGCATGGCTGGACAGGACAAGCGTCCTGGAAGAGGCCCTGCCCGTGCTGGACGCCTGCCCGAAAAGGCTCGAAACCCACAGAAGCTGCCTCTCAGTCTCTAAGAGGCTTGGAGAGGAAGCGGGGAGATGCGAATTCCTATCTCCCAGTTGGCAACGCCGAGGTCGGGCAGGGGCCGGGCTGGGTGACCTGGAAGGAATCCTCCGCTCTGGGCGCGCCACGCAGTCCCGGGTGGGGCTGTCCCGTGTTAGCCCTTCCGGTGCCCGGGACGCGCACCTGGCGGCATTCCTGGCCAGGTGTCTGGACTGGGGGCTGAGCCCAGCCTGTCCCCGCCGCCCCTCCCTACCTCCCGGGTAGAGCGGGCGCGGCGCATGTGACCCAGGGCTGGGCTCCCGGGAGTTACGCGCTGACGCCGCGTCACCCCACTCCGGGCCGGGCGCCCATTGGCTGCGCCGGGCCCGCGGGGGCGGGGCTGGTCTGGCTCTGCGCCCCGGCTCCCCTGGGTCTCCAGCCGCTGCCCTGGCCCGCGCGCGTGCGGAGCCGCCCCGGCTCTCCGGCTACCTCCAGTCCAGACAAAACCAGGGGCAGCAGTGCTGTGAGGTCCTGAGCAAGTCGCTTCACCGTCCCGCTCCACGTGCCTCAATTTACTCATCTGTAAAATGGGATGGTAACAGCCTCAACCGCCTGAGGCTGTCGAGAGGAGTGAATGGGTTTAAACCGCACTGAACACTCTGTAAGCGCTCAGCAAGTAAACTGTGCCGAACCTGCCCGCCGGGGTCACCGTGGACCAGGCTGGATCCCTGACCCCTGATAGGCACACCATTACAGAGGGGCTTGTGTCCACGTTCCTTGGGCGTGCTCAACGCTCCCCAGCCAACCGGGGCCCGAGGGTCTTGTTTGGAGGTCTCAGGATCTTTGAGGAGAGAAACTGCCAAGACAAGCATGTTCCCCCTGAAAAATGGATCCCCTCTTCTGTTTTCCCCTACCCTCACGTTGAGGGTTGCCCTGGTAATCCCAGGCTGTGGGGCAAAGATTTGTTTCTTTGGTGGCAAAGATGTAAATTCTTCCCACCCCCACGTTGGACTGTGCCCCATGGGGGTTGGATTTTCTGGGGTGCAGGTCTTCTGTTGACCTTGTCTTACCTTCTTTCCCTTTCCCCTAACTCCTGCAGTTATGGAGTGAATATTTATTGAGCTATTCTATTTACATATGTGGTAACCCATTTAAAAACGGTGAGGCGGGTTGGGTGCAGTAGCTCACGTCTGTAATCCGAGCACTTTGGGAAGCCGAAGTGGGTAGATTACTGGAGGCTAGGAGTTCGAAACCAGTCTGACCAACATGACAAAACCCCATCTCTACTAAAAATACAAAAATTAGCCGGGCGTGGTAGTGCATGACTGTAATCCCATCTACTCGGGAGGCTGAGGGAAAAGAAATGCTTGAACCCGGGAGGCCGACGTTGCAGTGAGCCAAGATTGTGCCACTGCACTCCAGCCTGGGCAACAGAGCGAGACTCTGTCTTAAAAACAACAACAACAACAACAACAACAACAACAAAAACAGTGATAGCCAGGTGCAGTGACTCACACTTGCAATCCCAGCACTTTGGGGGGGCCGAGGTAGGTGGATCACCTAAGGTCAGGAGTTCAAGACCAGCCTGGCCAAAATGGTGAAACCTCATCTCTACTAAAAATACAAAAATTAGCCTGGCATGGTGGCGTGCGCCTGTAATCCCAGCTACTCAGGAGGCTGAGACAGAATTGCTTGAACCTGGGAGGTGGAGGTCGCAGTGAGCCGAGATCATGCCGCTGCACTCCAGCCTGGGTGACAGAGAGAGACTTTGTCTCAAAACAAAAAACAAAACAAAACAAAACAAAAAACAGTGAGGCAGATCTGTTGTGATGATGACTCCAAAACACCCTCCCTGCCTCTGCAGAGGGACTGCAGAAAGGGTTATTCCCATTTTATAGATACAGTAGCTGAGACTCAGAAGTGAGGTATTGGATCCAGGTCACACAGCAAGCAGGTGAAAACCCAGATCACCTGCCTAGCTCTGAAGAAAATGGTATTTAGGCTTCACCCAGCACTTCCTATCCCACCCCCTCCCTGGGAAGGGCTGTTTAAATTTTCAGGGAAGTCACCAGCTTCCTGCAGCCTCTAGAGTGTTGGTGGGGGTGGGGCACTGAGGAGAAGCCAGCTTTGTTCTCTGTGTTCTCCAGCAGTTGTTCATCTGGAGGGAGTGGGTCCTGGGTGGACCCTTGAGCAGGGCTACTTGGGGAGATGTGGTTTGGCGACCCCTATGACTTCTGGCGCCGCTATTCTGGGTAATTTTCCACCGCAGCCACTTCTGGGAGAGGAACAAAGGGAGCTGGATGTCCAGGCTGAGCCCCAGGGACTTGGGCTCTGTGGCTTCTCTCCCCCACACACCCCTTCTAAAATGCATCATGAATGTTACTCCTGCTTAGGGCGTGGCCAGATAGGCTATATCTGGAGTTTGAGCAAGGCAGTCTGCAGGATGGCTTGACTTATGAAGGTCTGGGGTCGGGAAGGCCTGAGGCCCAGGCCCCTGATGAGTTTCCTGGACTGCCCTCCACCAAGGGTGCTTCTCTCTGCTTGCATACCTCTGGGGACAGGGAGCTCACTGCCTTATCACATTCAGATTCCTGAATGTTAATTCTGGTTTATTTCAACCCACCTCATTGGGACCCCTTCCCTCCTTCCTGCCCCACCTGGCTCTGTCCCTAGGCCACAGAACCAGGTTCGGTTTCCAGCCCTCTTCTCAACAGGGCTGCCTGCTCTGATCTAGTCCCAGCTTGTGATGATCCAGGGCAGCCTGGCTCTGATCTAAAGCACAGCTACCTCTTCCTTGCGGCCCCTATCCTGGCTGCTCCTGGGAATAAGTGCCAAATCTGGGGTCAGACAGCCCTGGGGCCAGTCTTCCTTGGGTACTGGCTTCCTCCTTCAGGAGCTGCACTGGGCCCACTGGTATCCTATCCCTACAGCTGGATCTGGGAGGAAACCAGATGACGAAATTCCAGCCTCTTTCTTTGGCCACTCCTGTCCTCAAGAGGCCAATCTTCTGGTTTCTTTGCAGAGAGGGGGCAGGCTGATCTCACAGGTCATGCTCCCCTCCACATTGTCACTAGCCTCCCAGCCTGCCCGTGAGAAAGCATCATTAGGCCCATGTTACAAATGAGGAAAATTGAGGCAGAGTGATGTAACTGGCCCAGCAGTTACATCAGGCCTGCTCACAACACAGCAGGCCTGGGACCCCTATAACTTGGATCCTGGTCTGTCTTGTTCTAAAGAGTCAAATCTAGGAAATGAGGAAATGAAGTTTGGGATGGGCCCAGGCCTGGGGCTTCCACTCGGCTTCCTTGCTTGGTGCTGGAGAAACAGAGGCCCAGAGAGGGGGCTCGGCTTGCCCGCGTTCCCGCAGCAGCCGGCCAGAGGCCGCTGCCATTGTGCGCGAGGCTGGATAAAATGAATGACTGGAGGGCGCTCTGGAGGAGGGGCCGGCTGAGGGGAGATTTGTGGCGCAGACCGGGGATCAGGGGTCCCCCGCTCTCTCAAGGTGGGGCGGGGCCGTCTATCTGGGAGGGCGGGTCCTCCCCGAAAGGCCCCGCCTCCGCCTCGACCGCCCAGCAGAGCTGCGGCCGGGGGAACCCAGTTTCCGAGGAACTTTTCGCCGGCGCCGGGCCGCCTCTGAGGCCAGGGCAGGACACGAACGCGCGGAGCGGCGGCGGCGACTGAGAGCCGGGGCCGCGGCGGCGCTCCCTAGGAAGGGCCGTACGAGGCGGCGGGCCCGGCGGGCCTCCCGGAGGAGGCGGCTGCGCCATGGACGAGCCACCCTTCAGCGAGGCGGCTTTGGAGCAGGCGCTGGGCGAGCCGTGCGATCTGGACGCGGCGCTGCTGACCGACATCGAAGGTGCGTCAGGGCGGGCAGGGCTTGAAGCTGCGCCGGGTGGCGCGAGTAGGGGGCGCGCAGGTGTCTCCCTGGCCTTTGTCTCCCCCACGGGCGCCAGCTCCGTGCTGTGCTCGCGCGGGACTTCCCGGTGTCTCTGAGCTCGGTGTCCCGAGCCTCACCGAGCCTCCCTGGTTCCCGCGCTAGCGTCTCGGGCCGCGCGCTTGTGGGTGAGGGCTCCTGGGCCGGGCCGGGGTCCCTTGGCGGCTCCGGGCCGGGACACGTGCGCCTCTACGCGTCCCAGGCCGGGTGCCGCCCGACCGGTGACTCTCCAGCCCTGTGATGGCCACGGCTGAAGCTGGGGACCCAGGCGTCGCCGAAGCTCCGCCCCAGCCCCAGCCGTGACGTAATTGCGAGGTTACTCACGGTCATTCCCTCCGGCCCGAGAGTTCAGCTCGGCGTCGGAGCTCTTGCGCATGCGCATGGGCGCTGCCTCGCGCCCTTCCCCCGCCTCGTGTCGGGTTCTCCCGGTCTGCGACGGGCACAGCCTCCGCACTCATTCACTGACATCCACCGAATGCCAGGCCCCGTCTTAGGCACCGAGGGTTTACAGACAGACCTGGGTACCCCCTCTTTTAGGGAACACAAAAATCTCCCGGGAAACCAAACGGGTATTTAGTTGTACCTTGGGTGGAGCGAGGCTGGGGGAGGGCAGGGATGTGGCTACTTTGGGTAGAGCGGTCAGGGACTTCTAAGCTGAGACCTGAGGGTCACCCCCAGGACCAGCAAGGAAAGATGTTTTCCAGGCCACGGCAAGGGAAGGGCAAAGGCCTCGAGGCAGGGCCTAAGTGTGAGGAGTTAGAGGCTTGCAAAGGAGTGAGGTCAGGGAGGAGGAGGACGCAAACCGACTTGGTCGGCCAGGGAAAGGGCGGAGCAGAACAGTGGCACCGGCTTCCATCTTTGGAGCATCACCCTGGCTGTGATGAGAAGGGGTTTGGGGCCAATGGTGGCACCAAGTGCCAATTAGGAGGCCCGTTGCTTCCATTTTGTAGATAGAGCAAACGGAAGCCCCTAGCAAATTGCCTGCATGGTTTCTGTGCAGGAGTTTTAGCAGCACTAGCTAAGTTGCACTTGGTTGATGAGGAAACTGAGGCCAAGGTCGCAGGAACAAGATGCCTAGACTCACAGCCTGAATGGACATGTCCATGGAACCCGTGGCCACCCTGGGGTTGGCAAAACAGATATATCTATGCCACCACCACTCCTGCCCTACTGCAGCCTTGCAGATGAGCCCAGCTGGTTGCCAGCCCCAGAAGCTTCCCAGCCCTCCCTCCTTCCCCCTGGGGCTGGGCTAGGGGAGGACCCCAGAGGAGAGGCCCTGATTGTGAGGCTTTTCCAAAACAGCCTCCCCTATCCCTGGCACGAGGGGTTGTCCTTCACTGCCCTCTGGAGTGATGAACCCTGAAATCCCAAGCCCTAGGGAGATCTGGGCCTGACTCAACTACCAGTTCCACATCACTGGGCCCAGTGAGTGTAGTCCCAAGAGGCAACGTGACCAAGCCAGGAGGACATGCGCTTTGGGGTCAGAACTTGAACCTGGACACTCCTCACTTCCTTTGTCATCCTGCTCAAGCCCTCTCACCCTCTAAACCTTAGTTTCCACCTCCAGAAAAATGATGCAAACCCTCCCTTCATGGGCAAGTTGGACAACAGAACCCGTTCTGGGCCACAGGTCTGATACAGACCTTTGTTTGTTTGTTTGTTTGTTTTCTGCAGTGGCGCAATTTTGGCTCACTGCAAGCTCCTCCTCCTGGGTTCACGCCATTCTCCTGCCTTAGTCTCCCAAGTAGCTGGGACTACAGGCGCCAGCCACCACGCCTGGCTAATTTTTTGTATTTTTAGTAGAGACGGGGTTTCACTGTGCTAGCCAGGATGGTCTCGATCTCCTGACCTTGTGATCCGCCCGCCTCAGCCTCCCAAAGTGCTGGGATTACAGGTGTGAGCCACCGCTCCCAGCCCAGACCTTTCTTACTGACAGAATCTGGTCTGGGCCAGAGGTCTGATACAGACCTTTCTTACTGACTCATGGATAAAAACATTGTCTCTCCAGAACCAAAGGCCAGGCATGGGCAGCCATGTGGCCCAAGGTCTAGTCTATGAGAGAGTGGGGGCAGTCCCAGCCCCTTGAAGACTGGGGGCAGCCCCTTCTCACTAGGCAGGGCTCAGCTTTACCCACTTCAGTAGAGGATTTTTCAGTTTTTATTCAAACTTCCTGTTTTTCTTCCCAATTACACACATCTTTTTTCATTGTAGAAAACTTAGAAAATGCAAGTGAGCAAAAAGAAGAAAATAAAATCTTTAGACCTGGGGTGGTGGCTCACACCTATAATCCCAGCACTTGGGAGGTCGAAGCAAGAGGATGACTTGTGTCCAGGAGTTTGAGACCAGCCTGGGCAACATGACAAAATCCTGTCTCTACAAAAATAAAAAATTAGCTGGGTGTGGGTGACATGTGCCTGTAGTCTCAGCTACTCTGGAGGCTGAAGTGGGAGGATTGCTTGAGCCTGGACTTAGAGGCTGCAGTGAGCTATAACCATGCCGTTGCACTCAGCCTGGATGACAGAGTGAGATTCTGTTTCAAAAAAAACTTTAAACCTACCACCCAGAGATAAGCCCTGCTAATTATGTGAAAGAGCTTTTCTTCTCTCTCTCTCTCTCTCTCTGTGTGTTTATATGTGTTTGGGGATGGGTGCACACTCTTCATAAACTTTTTTTTTTTTGAGACAGGGTCTCGCTCTTTTGCCCATGCTGTAGTCCAGTGGCATGATCTCAGCTCACTGCAAACTCTGCCTCTCAGGTTCAAGAGATTCTCCAGCTCCCAAGTAGCTGGGATTACAGTCATGCACCGCCACGCCTGGTTAAATTTTGTATTTTTAGTAGAGATGGCCATGTTGGCCAGGCTGGTCTCGAACTCCTGAGCTCAGGTGATCTGCCCACCTCAGCCTCTCAAAAGTGCTGGGATTACAGGGCATGAACCACCATGCCCGGCCTTCATCAATTTTTTAAAAACGACTTTATTGAGGTATACTTTATGTATCACAAAATTTACCCATTTTTAGTATATCATTCAATGATTTTTAGTTAACTTTTTGAGTTGTGTGACAATTACTAGCTGTCGAACATTTTTATCACACAGTGAGATCCCTTATACTTCTTTAGTCAGTTCCTGTTCCTGCTCCCAGCCCCGGGCAGCTGTGGATCTGTATGTGTGTGTGTATATATATATATATATATATATATTTTTTTTTTTTTTTTTTTTTTTTTTTTTTTGAGACGGAGTCTTGCTCTGTCGCCCAGGCTGGAGTGCAGTGGTGCGATCTTGGCTCACTGCAAGCTCCGCCTCCCAGGTTCAAACAGTTCTGCCTCAGCCTCCCGAGTAGCTGGGATTACAGGCACCTGCCACCACGCCCGGCTAATTTTTTTGTATTTTTAGTAGAGATGGGGTTTCACCATGTTAGCCAGGATGGTCTCGATCTCCTGACCTTGTGATCTGCCCACCTCGGCCTCCCAACGTTCTGGAATTACAGGCGTGAGCCACCGCGCCCGGCTGGATCTGTATTTTTATAAATTAAAATAGGGTCCATTGGTTCACAGCTGATTGGAATCTGCTTGGTTCCATGTCAACAGCCAGACGACAGTAAGGTTTCCTCTTATTACCCACCTGATTCCCTGTCGATGGACACCTAGGTTGTTTTATCTTTATAAACTGCTGCAGTGGACACTGAGGCCGGTTTTTTTCTTTGTTTTTTTTTTTTTGTTTGTTTGTTTTTGAGACAGAGTCTTGCTCTGTCACCCAGGCTGGAGTGCAGTGGCGCGATCTCGGCTCACTGCAAACTCCGCCTCCCGGGTTCACACCATTCTCCTGCCTCAGCCTCCCGAGTAGCTTGGGACTATAGGTGCGTGCCACCATGCCTGGCTAATTTTTTGTATTTTTAGTAGAGACGGGGTTTCACCGTGTTAGCCAGGATGGTCTCGATCTCCTGACCTCATGATCTGCCCGCCTCGGCCTCCCAAAGTGCTGGGATTACAGGCGTGAGCCACTGTGCCTGGCCACTGAGGCCAGTCTTTGCCCGGATCCTCACTGTGTTCCTAGGATGAGGTTCTGGGAGGGGAATTGCTGGTCAGAGGTCGAGCCTGCTTTTGAAGCTTCTTCTACCAGGAGTGGAGCTGAGCAGGTTTGATAAGGTCTGAAGATTTGGGGGTGGAAATGCCAGGTCCCTTGAGAGACATGAGGGATAAGAGGGGGCCAGGCTGGCCTTGAGTGCCAGAGTGCAGAGCTGGGCTAGATGTGAGGACAGTCGGGGGTCAGAGCAGGGGCACACCGAGCTTCAGTTCCCTCTGGCTGCTTGGATGGAGGATCGTAATGTGAACAGAAAACACTAATTGAGTACTTACTGTGTTTCAGACAGTGTGTTGATAATCCCACTTAATCCCCTGACAACCCCAAGTAGGTAGACATATGATGAAGATGACGGCCTTGAGGACCAGAGAGGTTAAGTGATTTGCCTGAGATCACACAGCCAGATGATGGCAAAGCCAGAATTCAAACCCAGGCTGTGGGCTCCAGAGCCTAGCTCTTAAGCTCTTAAGCACTGGGCTCCTAAGAATGGGGATGAGGGGTTGAGGGAGGCTCCTCCACAGGGGCTACTCTGGGGGCCTGGAAGTGGGTCACAGAGGGGTCAGAGGCTATGTGGCTACCTCCCCATCCCAGTCCAGAGCAGTGTTTGAGTCATTAGACTGGGAACCAGCCCTGGTGAGCCAGCCAAGGGCCTTGGGCCCCATCCGGTCCTGCTGCCTGCCACAGCCAAACTCTTGTCATGTGAATGGATTTGGGGATGGAGCTGCCTCCATGAGTCCTTGCATCTGTGGGTGAAGGCACTGCCCTGGCTATAGTGTCCCTGGGTTTGAGTCCTGCATCTGCACCAAGACCTCAGGTGAGCCTGTCTCCTTCTGGGCCTCAGAGTACCTTGCAGCTGTCGGGGGAGGATGGATCAGGAGATGGCCCTGTACCTGTGTTGGGGATTATTGTTAAGCCCGTGGCAGTCTTCACCTCCCTGCTGAGGATTAATTTATCCAATTTTGCACAAGCTTATGAGTGCAGAAGAGGCAGACGGAAACAGAGTTCTGGCCAAGAGCCTGGAACAGGGCCTCGGGGTCTCTTTCCTATGCCTGGACCCCGTCATGTCTGCTCTTTGTCTGTCGGACCCCAGATGTCTGCCAAGCCCCGTCAGAGGCTGCTTCCCAGAAAGCCCTTCTGGGTGTCACCTTGCCCCGAGCAGTGCGTTCTCAGAGTTCTCCCGCCCTGATGTCCCTCCCAGCATGCCCAGCCCAGCCACAACAGGGCCTTGCTTCTAGTCATGTGTCTGGCTGTTTGCTGGGTCCAGGCCAGCCCTGGTAGGGCACAATGGGGGCCCGCTCTGCCACCCCATACCTCTCCCCAGGATATCTCATGCCCCAGTTCTCTCCCTAGTTCCACCAAGCACTGGCACTCCTTAGAAAACACAGCTCTAGACTAGTTACTGCCCTAGCTTACAGCACAGAACTCCCCTGGTCTCCAACCATTCATGGCTCCCTAGTGCTCCAAGATAAAGTTCCCTTGTCTCAGCCGGGTTGGGAGTTACCTTCTGCCCAACATTCACCTAGCTGGACACAAACATCCTGAGTGACCCGGTCAGCTCCAGGCAGGAGTCACTGCCAGCAGAGGCCTGGGATCTGGACTTTGCCTGCTGACAGGTGGAGCCCAGGCCGGCCAGAGGAAGTGCCTCTGACCTTGTCTCCTAGCAGCCACGGGCCATGTGGACATGCCTTTTGACCCTGGGCACTGACAGTGTGTGACAGCCTGCACCATGTGCTCCACAGGGGCGGCTGTGTGTGTCGGGGGTGAGGTGGGGAAAGCCTTAACTGGCTCAGGGGTGAGAGGTCAGGGAGCCATTGAGACTGGCTCCAGGTGTGGGTCCCCTGCTGGGTTGGGGCTTGTGGGAGGTGGGACGGGGCTGGGGGTCCATCCCCCTAGGGGGAATTTGTGGCCTACCCCGAACCCTGTTTGAGCTCCTTTCCTAACTGACTCCCCGTCCCTGCACCTGTCTCCCAGCAGGCCTTGCCTCTGCATGCTGCCCCTGCCAGGCTCTGGGGTCCCTGTGCTCCCTGCAGCTAGAAGGCTGGGATCAGGGGTCTTAACAAGCAGCCCTACTGTATGACCTTGGACAAGTCCAAGAACCTTCAGGTTCTTAACAATGTAAAGGGAGCAGTACTAAAAGCAGCTTCTTGGAATTGTGGGGATCCGATGAGTGAAGGCTTAAGCAGTGCATGGCACATAGTAGGCCCTGAACCAATGCCAGTTAGTGTTATTATTATCACCATTTAGCCAGATGCAGTGGCTCACGCCTATAATCTTATTGACTTTAGAGGCTGAGGTTGGAGGATTGCTTGAGACCAGGAGTTCAAGACCAGCCTGGGCAACATAGCAAGGCCCTGTTTGTTTTAGAGAAAACAAACAAATCACCATTTAGAGCACCTAACCAGTACCTGGCACGCGATAGGTTTAGCTCAACAAATGTTAGCAGCAATTACCCAAGGAGCCTGTGCTGGAAGTTTCTAGGATGTACCAGGCTATGGTTCCAAGTTCTGAGCATCTACCATGTGGTGGTCTGGAGTTGGTGAGAGACAGGATGGGGCTGACTAGGCCAGTGGGGAGCACCCCCCGCCATGGGGAACAAGCACCCTATCCTTGGCTTCCATGGAAGATAATTGATGCTGGGCACAGTGGCTCACGCCTGTAATCCCAGCACTTTGGGAGGCTGAGGCAGGGGGATCGCTTGAGTCTGGGAGTTCAAGACCAGCCTGGGCAACATTGTGAGACCCAAACTAAAAAAATTAGCTTGGCATGGTGGAGTGTGCCTGTCGTCCCAGCTACTCAGGAGGCTGAGGCTAAAGCTGGAGGATTGCTTGAGCCCAGGAGGTTGAGGCTGCAGTGAGCCATGATCATACCACTACACTCCAGCCTGGGCAACATAGTGAGGCCCTGTCTCAAAACAAACAAACAAAAAGAACCTGCTGAGGAAGCAGTGTTTCTGGCTGGGGGAGGACGGGCAGAGTGGCCATCTGGCCACAGATGGCGGTTTCTGTGCAAAACACATCAAGGCAGCCTTGGAAATGTGAGTGAAAGCACCTTCAAAGTTCTGGTCACAGCCTTGGGACTAAGCAAAGCCACCAAAAGTACATAAAAGACAATGACCATCACCCAGTGCCGGTGATGCTAGAAGGAAAGGGAATACGTTGTAGGGAAGGTTGTAAAGGGCTTTATCTTTTCCAGACTGGAGCCTGGCAGCTCGAAAACATCTTGCTGCCTTCATATGAGCTTTAAAACAAGCTGCAGAGAAACAACTCAAGAGGGAGAAATATATATATATATGTGTGTGTGTGTGTATGTGTGAGTGTGTGTGTGTGTGTGTATACATATATATATATATATATATATATATATATTTTTTTTTTTTTTTAAGATGGAGTCTCGTTCTGTCACCAGGCTGGAGTGCAGTGGTACAATCTCGGCTCACTGCAACCTCCGCCTCCTGGGTTCAAATGATTCTCCTGCGTCAGCCTCCCAAGCAGCTGGGACTATAGGCACATACCACCACGCCCAGCTAATTTTTGTATTTTTAGTAGAGGCTGGATTTCACCATGTTGGCCAGGATGGTTTTGATCTCCTGACCTCGTGATCTGCCTGCCTTAGCCTCCCAAAGTGTTGGGATTACAGGCGTGAGCCAGTTTGTTTTTAGAGACGGGGTCTTGCTCTGTCACCCAGGCTGGAATACCATGGCACAATCACAGCTCGCTGCAATGTTGAACTCCCGGGTTCAAGGGATCCTCCCACCTCAGCCTCCAGAGTAATGGAGACTACAGGCTCATGCCACCATGCCCAGCTATTTTTAAAACTTTGTAGAGATGGGGCCTTGCTACATTGCCCAGGCTGGTCTTGAACTCCTGGGCTCAAGTGATCTGCCTGCCTTTGCCTCCCAAAGTGCTGTTATTACAGGTGTGAGCCCCTGCGCCTAACCTTAGCACTGCCATTTTGACTGAAAACAGGTGCCCAGCAGCAGGGGCTACTCCCAGAATTGCCACTGCATCAGGCCCGTGGGTTGTTTTCAGCTGCCAGTGATAAGTATGTGCCCTGGGCCACCTCTCGGACAAGGTGTCTGAATTGGTGCCGACCAGCATCACATGTAATTGCCATCTCGCAGGTGCTGCTGAGGGTAATTCCGCACACCTGTAGCTCCGGGAAGAGCCTAGTGGGGAGGAGGAAACGTGGCTCTGAGGTTTATAGGGTCAGACGGTCAGTATGTTGGGAGCTGGCATGTGGAGGGGCACAGACAAGGGAAGAATGGGAGGTGGCATCAGAGCAAGTTTTGATGGAGGAATAGGAATTCACCAGGTGGAAAGGGCATTCCTGGTGGAGGGAACAGCCTGGCCTTCAATAGCTTGTGGTGTTCAGAAAGCAGGCAGGGAAAGGGAGGCCCAGGGAGACACCAGTTAGGGGATGGGGGTGGAGGCAGACGAGGGTGGAGGAAGCCATGGCTGGAGTCTGCACGGCCTCTGACTGGGGTCCCTGCTGTGGTCAGCCCTGTGCTGGGTGAGGCTGGGGTCACAGCTGGTTCAGGCCCTGACAGGAGGGGCCCCCAGCTGAGGCCCAGCCTCTAATTTGGCAGGGCAGGTGGATAGGTCTGGGGGGGTGGTGGTTAGGAAGCCTCCAGGAGGAGGCAGTGCCGGAGCTGAGCCTTAAAGAGCTTCGTGTTGTCCTCTCTGTCTTTGCACTCTGCACACACTCACTGAACTGCGACAAATGAGGATAGCTGGTCAGGGCAGAGGCAGGCCGGAGTTGGGGCTCACTGCTGTCCCCCACAGGCTGGGGCTGAAGGGCAGGCTCTGGGGCCGCAGAATGGGGTTTGTGTACCAGATTCTTCATATGGCAGCTGTGGGACTTTGGGCACGAGGCCTCCGTCTGAGCCTTAGTTTCCTCAAGAGGACCTGCGCCCAGGTGCACCTGGGGCTCCAGCCATGGGTGCGTCCCATTCCGGGAAGAGCTGGCACACACTTGTGCCCCCGGGGCAGCCATGAGTGCACAAAGGGCAGCCTGTGCCACTGCTGGATACACGACCAGCTGAGAACACGAGGACCGCCGACTCCAGTTAGGAGGATCAAGGAAGTGCCTGGTGGGAGCAGAACAGCAGGTGGGGTGCAGCCCAGCTCCCTGGAGGGATGGTGGGCACCCATCCTCACCCTGCTGCCTCCATTAGCAGGCCGAGAGGGTGTGCTCTGGAATCCCATGAGCACCTGTGCCACATCCTCCCCTGTGGCTGACCCTTCTTCACAGTTGGTGCAGCTTTGTGGTCTGTAGTGCAGGGATCAATTGGCAAATCCCTTTCCCACCCATTCCCTGGAGAATTGGGGTCCTTGGCTCAGATGACAGACCAACCTGAGTTGGAATCCCAGCTCCTTGGTGGCCGTCCTGGCCTCCACCCCCTCACTGCCTCCGCTCCTCCTATCCTGCCCACGCCCACTGCAGGGCCTTTGCACACACTGTTTCTTCTGCCCTCCCTTCCGGCCCACTCCCTCATATCATTCAGTCCTCCTTTCAGATGTCACCTCCTAAGATGGGCTGCCCTGACCACCTCATCTATAATGGCCCCAGTGCCTGGCACAGGATTGGCACACAGTAGATATTGTCAGAGATGGATCTGGGTTCTGTGGACAAGGCTGTGGGGGCAGGTGAAGAGCTCCCTCTTCCAGGAGGTTGTTTGGGGTTCAAGGCCTTGTTTGGGTTGTAGGCTTCTGTGCTGGTCAGCGTTGGGCCCTACAAGCGCATGCCATGAGGCCTGCCCAGGATTTCCCTCATGGCCTCACAGAATACATCGGCCAGAGTCATTAAAGGGCGCCTGCATCTGCCTTCAGAGAGAGGTTTGAAGGTAGAACTGGGGAGGGATGCCAGGTGGGGGTTCAGGTTTCCTGTTGGGTCCTGATAGAATCAGGGCAGGAGAGGAAGAAGAAGAGGGAAGAGGAGGAACCCAGGCTTGGGGAGGGGTGGCAGGGCTTCACAAGCCTGGGGAAGGTGAACTAGGGAGCAGTTGGGGCCACCATGGCCCAGAGTCTATGCCTCCTCTTCCTTCCTGTGTTCAGAGTGTGTGTGGGAACCACAAGGGCCTTCTCAGTGTTCATAGGGAAGCCCGGTTCACCCATGGGTGGGCCGCAATTTGGGTGCCACAGTGAGCCCCTAGAGACCAGCTCTCCCAGCTTCCAGGACAGGGACTAGGGGAGGCAAGAGAGGCTCTTCCTTAAATTGTGCACCCAAGGTGCCTCAGCTGCCTTACTCTAGACTGGCCCCGTTAACTCCCCTTAAAAAAAAAAAAAAAAAGACTCAGTCGAATGGTAATGGAGCTCCAACGTGAATACTGCAAGTATCAGGCAACTCACTACCTGACTTTCCAGTTCTAAACCATTCTAATTGCTGTAGAGAGAACTAACCTTTGTTGAGACTGTTGAGTGATGGATGTTTTACACACTTGCTTTCCCAGAATTCCCACCTCTGGAGATCGTAGGTGTGGGAGCTCAGAGGGTGGGGAGTGGACTGTCCCCATCACACAGCAAGGGAGGGGCTAAAGGAAGAGCAGGGCCTGGCATGCAGCCCCAGATAGCCCACTTGGGTGTGTCTCTGAGGGAGGCTGCAGGGCTGGCTCTAGAGTTTCCTTTTTCAGTCTTAACCTGGTGACCAGCTTCCACAGAAATTGGCACGGTGACTCATGCCTGTAATCGCAACACATTGGGAGGCCGAGGTGGGAGGATCACCTGAGGTCAGGAGTTCGAGACCAGCCTGGCCAACGTGGTGAAACCCTGTCTCTACTAAAAATACAAAAATTACATTTCATTACAGGTGTGGTGGCGCACACCTGTAATCCCAGCTACTCAGGAGGCTGAGGCAGGAGAGTCACTTGAACCCGGGAGGTAGAGGTTGCAGTGAGCTGAGATCGTGTCACTGCACTCCAGCCTGGGTGACAGAGCCAGACTCTGTCTCAAAAAAAAAAAAAAAAAAAAAAGAAATTGGCCAGTAGATCAGCCCCAGGGGAGAGTGAGCCAGGGTTTGGCCAGGCCTTGAGTTTCAGAGGCTGGCCATGGCCAGTGGCACCCAGGCCCTTCCCCCTTCCTCGGGGCATCTTAGCTTAGTCTGTGCCCTCTGCCCAAGGGCCAGCCCTCTGTTCCCAGGTCACACCCCCTCCTCTTGGAAGGCCCCCCCCGCCCCACCCCCATCAGAGTCTTTAATGACTCTGCTGCCCCTGGGGCTCAGAGAGCAACCGCCCTCTCCCATCGCGCTTCCTCAGTGGGATGGGAGGGGGTTAGAGCAGGAAGATGAGACAAATAAAGACACAATAAGAGGCAGGAATATGTGGTAAAGCCAAGATGGGTAAGGGGAGGGGACAGGCTTGACTGTTCACAGTGGCCCTGGCCCTGCTGTCTCAGGCTAGTATCTGCTTGTTGGTCTCACCACATTCTAGGCTCAGAAACTGGGGAGCAAAGTAATGAAAGAACCAGGCTGGGAGGCCATGGGGAACTCATGCCTGGAGTTCAGCTCTCAGTGTGCTTTTGGGTCAAGGACGCTTCCCTGTCTTAAGTCACTCATGTCAGAGCCTTTGCCAAGAGCAATGCTGTGTTTTGTTTTGGGGGTGAGGGAACACCCGCGGGCTGAGGGGAGGGTTGGGCCATGCTAGAGAGGCCGTCTGTTGTCCTTGAACCTCCCAAAGCTGGGAAATAAGGGCCTGGGCTGGACGGCGGTGGCGAGGACAGGTTGCGAGAGAGACATGGCTGGGTTTTCTTGCTTAGGGTCCTGAATAGAGAGCAAGGTTGAGGCCGCAGGGACCCCAGCCCCCAATGGACTGCTGAGTCGCTGGGTCTGCCCAGGGTTCAGGCACCCTCTCAGGTTGCAGCCAACTGGGGTGTGGACCAGGCAGAGGCGCTGGCCTGCAGTTTGGGGCAGAGGCAGGCTTTGCTGGTGGTCTACTTGGCTGCAAAATCAACTGGCCAGGCTCTGATCACTTTGTGTGTGTGTGTGTGTGTAACTTTTACCTTTGACAAAAGAGGGAAGACAGGCCCAGGCACCTCCTCAAAAGAACCCTAGAGCCTGTCACCCCTTCCTTACCCATCTTCTGTCCTAGGGACTGCAGCCCTTCCTGGCTTCCCAGGGCCCTACAATGAATAGTGGGTCGGGACTCACTTGGTGACTGCTGGGTTGTGAGGCCTTGAGGGGGAGGGGCAGACTTCACCCATCTGGCAGAGGGACATCGGTGCTGGCAGTCAGGAAACCCTTATTTCCAGGCCTCAGTTTCCCGGAAGTGACCTGTTTTCAGGAGTGGCCTCATCCCAGACCATCAGCCCCGCTGTGGTGAGGGGTGGCCCCTTCCTGGGGCTGCCCTAGAAGGGGGAGGTCCCTGCACCCACCGCAGCTGCCACTCGGCAGCCCTTGGCCTTAATTAAACGCTTCTTGCGTACTAAGTGCTGCACCCATATTATCTCCCTTCTACCATTCGACGCCAGGGAGATAATGACTGTCCTGTTTTCTGGAGGAGTAAACGGAGGGTTGGAGCGGTTAAGGCTCGCTCAGGGTGCCAGCGAACCAGTGATTTCGAACACAGAGTTCTGGTGTGTTGGGCCAGGACTTCTCTGCTTTGACCCTTTAACGAAGGGGGCGGGAGCTGAGGGCCAGTGACCGCCAGTAACCCCGGCAGACGCTGGCACCGAGCGGGTTAAAGGCGGACGTCCGCTAGTAACCCCAACCCCATTCAGCGCCGCGGGGTGAAACTCGAGCCCCCGCCGCCGTGGGGAGGTGGGGCGGGGGCCGGGGCCGGGCCCTAGCGAGGCGGCAGCGCGGCCGCTGATTGGCCGCGCGCGCTCACCCCATGCCCGGCCCGCAGCCCCGAAGGGCGGGGCGGGGCGGGACCTGCAGGCGGGGCGGGGCTGGGGCGGGGCTGGGGGCGGGGCGGGGCGGGGCGGGCGCGCCGCAGCGCTCAACGGCTTCAAAAATCCGCCGCGCCTTGACAGGTGAAGTCGGCGCGGGGAGGGGTAGGGCCAACGGCCTGGACGCCCCAAGGGCGGGCGCAGATCGCGGAGCCATGGATTGCACTTTCGAAGGTATTTTTGGAGGCCTCCCCACCAGCCCTTTATACAATGCCTCCGTCTCCTGCAGGTTCTCCTGGGGTGGGCGGGCATGCGGGCTACGCAACTTGAGCAGGAAAGAGCCCCTTCCCGAGGGAGAAGGTGTGACAGTTACCAGCTCGCTGGGGAAGTGGAGGGCTACCTCCAACCAAATTAGTGTCCCCTGCAACTCAAGGGGGAAGGGTTTGCTTAGAGACCCAAAAGCAGCATCCCGACCTAAGAGGGTTTGGAGGGAGAGGGTGGTCTTCTCTACATTCTCTGCACCCGCTTTGGGACAGGACCAGGAGGAAGCAGGGAGGAGGGCCCGTTGTCCCTCTGCCACAGCGTCTGCCCTATTCAGCACCCCTGCCTATTGTGGGCATCTTAGACTTTTCAGGAAGACAGTGGGAGCCCTAGATTGTCAAAATTGTCAGTTTTTCTTTCAGGCCTCAGTTTCCCCCATCTATCGAAGAGGCTCACACGGACTGGGGTAAAGGGATGGGAAACCCTGCAGTTGAAAGTCCATTATGACTTGATGACTTGTGACCTGGGGGGTCCACAAACCAGGAGAGTTTCTACTTGAGAAGCCAGGAAGACTGGGGCTGCCACCCCATCCTGTTCTGCCAACTGCTCTAGGAAATTCCCCTCCTGCAGTAGCTTCCCTGCCTGGGTACCTGTCAGTAGGCAATGTTGGGTCTCCACTCGGTGCCAGCTGCCTGCCAAGCAAAGCCTCGGGCAGCCGTACCAAAAGGGGTTTAGTCTTTTCTGTTGTACAGATGAGGAAACTGGGGCCAGTGAGAGGAGGCTGTTGGTCCAGGCTCCACTTCAAGCTGGTGGTGGGCAGGGCTGGGAGCTCAGGCTGGGGATCCTGAGAGCACTGGAGGCCCCCATGGGTCCTGTAGAGCATTCTGACCCAGTGGGTGCCACCACGAGTGGGTTAGAGGGCCCTGGGCTGAGCCAGATAGGCTGCTAGTCACCAGCTGGGGGAGAGGGCCCTTGGCCAGGTGGGGCTGAGGTGGGAGTGTGTCCCAGTCTGTATGAGGAGGAAGGAGTCAGGACAGACAGCACTTGCTTTTACAGAGATGAAATCAAAGCCCTGAGTGGCCAGGCCTGGGTCTTGAGGCTACTTGGCTGCAGGCAAAGCCTGGACTTGAGCCCAGAACTCTACACAGAGACACACTGGTTGGCCATGTGGCCAGCAGCTGGCTTGGCCCTAAGCCTTGGTCTGTTCCACTGAGTAATGGGTTGGTGATGGCAGCCTGGCTCTTGGCTTCTTAGTGGGGCAAGAAAAGGCAGAGAGACAATAGATTTGGGATTTTGTAGACCTGGGTTTGAACCCCACTGCATGCTCTTGGGCTGCTTGTGGTCCTCCCTGAGCCTCAGTGTCTTTTCTTGTCTCCAAGATGAGGTGAGCTAATCTTTTGAGGTAGTCTAGGGTAGTGGCCAGTGGTTGGGGCATTGGAGTCAAAATAGGGTCTGGACTCAGTTGAGTCTCTGACTCTATAAGAACTTAGGCCAGTAAGTCACCTCTCTACAGCTCAGTTTCTTCACGTGTAGAATGGGGCCAATGATCACATCACCCTCTCAGCTGTGGGTGAGGATTAGGGGTCTAGCCTGGCCCCATCAATGTGGGTAGCCCCACAGCGGGCCTGGCTTTTGGACCAGACCCACCCTTCTGACATGGGCCCCCACCCTTAGAGTCCTTCTAGTGTGGATGAGGACCCTGCTCTGATCTGGGGTCCTCTTGGGGGACTTCCCTGTCTGCCATTCTCTTTGGGGATCCTGCGCTGCCCTAGGAAGAGTGGGCCCAGGCTGCACAGTTGGTCCTTGGTCACAGAGGATCCCACCACTTCTTCAGGGCCTCAAGGCAATCCTGCCTCTCTCTGCACCCCTCTTCCCCCTGTAAACTGAGGGGAGGGGAAAATCACCCACTCCTCAGCAGTTTCTAAGTTGCTTTGTCAAATTCAGTGCCCAGAGGATCCTGCTGGGGGTGCGTTTTAGGATGAGACCAGGAGTGGCCAATGGTGGGGTGTGGGGCCCATCGCTCCTATATGAAGACCCCCTCTGCCCTAGACTGCTCCTCCCTCCCCATCCCCATCTCCATCCCAAAGACTGGAGCTGCTGGATCTGTGGATGGAGGCGTGCCCCCCGTTTCACACATTGAGAAACAGGCCCCAAGTGGAGCCAGGGAAGGCTGCACCTGGGCCTCTGGATTCCTTTTGTTCTGTGTGGGGTTGGGGGTGATGGACTGTGGAGAGGGCAGGAGAGCTGTCTGGAAGGGTTGGTCACCTCATGGGCAAATGCTTGGAAGCTGGTCTGAGTCCACGGTGCAGTGTGTATGTGTGTGTGTGTGTGTGTGTGTATGTGTGTGGACTCAGAGGTGGATGTCTTGTAGAATGCATGCCCCATGAAGACAGGAGTAAAAGTTTACCACCATCCACATCAAGCTACAGGACACTCCCAGCTCCCCAGAAAGTTGCTTAGTTCTAGGCAGGGATTTCCCTTATTCACAGCCGGGAGCAGTGCCTGGCATAGTGTGGGCACTCAGCACTCAGCACATGCTCACTGGATGAGTGAATGAATGTGAGCCTGCTGTTTGCTGTGGACTAAGGATGTTTCTAGATGTTTGGGCAAATACCGGATGGTGGGAAGAGCTCAGGCTCTGAAGTCTGCAGTCTTGGGCCCGACCCTGGGCTCAGCCCCAGCCTAGCTGTGGGGCAAGATTGTGAGCCTTGTGGTGCCCACCTTGTCCAGGTATTGTGATGCACTCGCAGCAGCAGGCATTGCTTTAGACAGCACAGGTGCTCGCAAAATGGCTGTATGTCCGGGAACACCAGCTCCTGTGGGTGGCTTTCTGTCCTGGTGGCATTGCCCACACATACAGCTGTGTGCCAACAAGGGTTGTGCAAATAAGGTTGTGTTTGGATGTGTGTGATGCCCTGTTTGGGGGTCAGTCTCTGCCTCACTCACGCACCCTCTTCTCCTTTTCACAGACATGCTTCAGCTTATCAACAACCAAGACAGTGACTTCCCTGGCCTATTTGACCCACCCTATGCTGGGAGTGGGGCAGGGGGCACAGACCCTGCCAGCCCCGATACCAGCTCCCCAGGCAGCTTGTCTCCACCTCCTGCCACATTGAGCTCCTCTCTTGAAGCCTTCCTGAGCGGGCCGCAGGCAGCGCCCTCACCCCTGTCCCCTCCCCAGCCTGCACCCACTCCATTGAAGATGTACCCGTCCATGCCCGCTTTCTCCCCTGGGCCTGGTATCAAGGAAGAGTCAGTGCCACTGAGCATCCTGCAGACCCCCACCCCACAGCCCCTGCCAGGGGCCCTCCTGCCACAGAGCTTCCCAGCCCCAGCCCCACCGCAGTTCAGCTCCACCCCTGTGTTAGGCTACCCCAGCCCTCCGGGAGGCTTCTCTACAGGTAAGGGGGATGTGTGGCGGGAGGGGACACCCGGGGTGGGGCTTCCAGGAGCACAGGAAGAAGCTTCTGCTGTGATGTGAGTAGAGGTCTGTGCAGGCTTTAGAAACTGGGGCTCCACTCGGCTGCTTGAGATGCCCTGTTACTAGCAGTCCTGGTGTGCTTGTTGCCGGGGTAGGCGCAACCTCGCACTGGAGGCCTGGCTTGAAGCCAGTGCATTTGCATCAGAGCCCAGGCAGGGACTGTCCATAGGAAGCCACATGGGGCAATGACTCATCCAAGGCCAGTCGGTGATAGAGACCTGAAGAGCAGGTTGAAAGTGGGAGAGGGAGGTCTGTGTCTGCAGCCCCATGCTTTATTTCTGCAGGAAGCCCTCCCGGGAACACCCAGCAGCCGCTGCCTGGCCTGCCACTGGCTTCCCCGCCAGGGGTCCCGCCCGTCTCCTTGCACACCCAGGTCCAGAGTGTGGTCCCCCAGCAGCTACTGACAGTCACAGCTGCCCCCACGGCAGCCCCTGTAACGACCACTGTGACCTCGCAGATCCAGCAGGTCCCGGTGAGGGGGTCTGGCCAGGGGTTGGGGAGGGGGCAGCCCCAGCCCAGACACACAGCTTACAGCCAAGCCTCTCCCACCCTCAGGTCCTGCTGCAGCCCCACTTCATCAAGGCAGACTCGCTGCTTCTGACAGCCATGAAGACAGACGGAGCCACTGTGAAGGCGGCAGGTCTCAGTCCCCTGGTCTCTGGCACCACTGTGCAGACAGGGCCTTTGCCGGTGGGTGACGTGGGCAGGGCATAAGGGAGTGGGGTCTACACACACACACACATGCCCACCTGGTAACATGTGCCTGGCCCTGCAGACCCTGGTGAGTGGCGGAACCATCTTGGCAACAGTCCCACTGGTCGTAGATGCGGAGAAGCTGCCTATCAACCGGCTCGCAGCTGGCAGCAAGGCCCCGGCCTCTGCCCAGAGCCGTGGAGAGAAGCGCACAGCCCACAACGCCATTGAGAAGCGCTACCGCTCCTCCATCAATGACAAAATCATTGAGCTCAAGGATCTGGTGGTGGGCACTGAGGCAAAGGTGTGGAGAGGCCTGCAGGGGCACAGACCGGGGTGTCCCTAGGAAGGAACAGATCAGGGGCAACTGGAAGGAAGAGAGGGAGTGAGACTGAGCCTGGACAAGCAGGGAATTGGAATTCAGCCTCCCCAGGCCTGGCCAGCCTCGTTTATTTAGTTAAACTGGTTTGCAGGCCTCTTCAATAAAGGTGGGGCTGTGCTAGGCATTGGGGATGCAGCAATGAACAAGACAGACAAAAATTGTCCCTCAAAGAAGAGCCGACCTTCTGGTGGGGGAGATGGACAGTAGGCAGGATGAATAAGTGCTCGAGACCACCACGTTTGGCTCGTTGCAGAGAAAGCAGGAAGAGGATGGTGAGGGTCCCCTGGTGGTAGCCAGGGAAGGCCTCCCTGAGATGGCGGCAGGCACAGCAGCAGCTAGCCAGACCCTGCTGTCTGCATCTTACATTCTAACCCTATGCCCGGCCTGGGAGGTGGGTGCTACTAGGCGAGGAACGGTTCAGGTAGAAGGAACAAGTGCAAAGGTCCTGAGGCAGTAATGTTGCAAAGCAGCTCCGCACCCCCTTGCTAGGGCTCTCCAACCCCACAACCCCCGACCTGACAGGCCACCTGTGCGCTCCCCCTCCCTCCCACACCGTGCAGCTGAATAAATCTGCTGTCTTGCGCAAGGCCATCGACTACATTCGCTTTCTGCAACACAGCAACCAGAAACTCAAGCAGGAGAACCTAAGTCTGCGCACTGCTGTCCACAAAAGCAGTGAGTCCTGGCTTTATTGAGCTCCAGTCTGGCCTCTTCTCTAGCCTTGCTCCACCTCCCGGCCCCACCCCATCCCTAGCCCCACCCCACCCTTGGTTCTGGCCCACCCTCTGCCCTGCCCACCTCACCCTTGGCTGTAGCCCTGCATTCAGCTCTAGTCCCTTGGTTACCTCTGGTCCTGAAAGAGACCTGGTGCCTCCCTTTGGCCCTAACCCAGCCCCATCAAAGCGTCCTGGGCTAGCTTTAGGAGCTACAGTAGTCCCTAGGCCTCCAAGGGCCTAGGCTCTGATTTGGGGTCACATATCCAGCCTTTACTCCTGGCTCTGTTCCTTTCGGCCCACAGAATCTCTGAAGGATCTGGTGTCGGCCTGTGGCAGTGGAGGGAACACAGACGTGCTCATGGAGGGCGTGAAGACTGAGGTGGAGGACACACTGACCCCACCCCCCTCGGATGCTGGCTCACCTTTCCAGAGCAGCCCCTTGTCCCTTGGCAGCAGGGGCAGTGGCAGCGGTGGCAGTGGCAGTGACTCGGAGCCTGACAGCCCAGTCTTTGAGGACAGCAAGGTTGGGCCCTGCCACGGTGCCCCCTTCCCCACTCCCAGCCATATCCTCTGAGCCTCATGACAGGGCCGGGAAGACCCTAACAGATCCTACCTCCCATTTCATAGACAGAATAACTGAGGCCTGGAGCCACGTGGGGTCCCACAGTAAGGTGGGCAGAATCCTGACCCCCCCCTTCCCAGCCCCATGCTCTCTGGGGTCCCTCCGATTCTGCCCTCACCACCCTGCCCAACCCCACCAGGCAAAGCCAGAGCAGCGGCCGTCTCTGCACAGCCGGGGCATGCTGGACCGCTCCCGCCTGGCCCTGTGCACGCTCGTCTTCCTCTGCCTGTCCTGCAACCCCTTGGCCTCCTTGCTGGGGGCCCGGGGGCTTCCCAGCCCCTCAGATACCACCAGCGTCTACCATAGCCCTGGGCGCAACGTGCTGGGCACCGAGAGCAGAGGTGGGACCGGCCAGCCTGGGCATCTTTGGGAGGGACACTCGGGGTGAGCCCCCAGGCTTGTGAACTTGGGGCTCTGGATTTCCTGGGAGCTGTGTCCCCAGCTTTCCCTCTGTCCATAGATGGCCCTGGCTGGGCCCAGTGGCTGCTGCCCCCAGTGGTCTGGCTGCTCAATGGGCTGTTGGTGCTCGTCTCCTTGGTGCTTCTCTTTGTCTACGGTGAGCCAGTCACACGGCCCCACTCAGGCCCCGCCGTGTACTTCTGGAGGCATCGCAAGCAGGCTGACCTGGACCTGGCCCGGGTAAGGGGCTGGCCCCGGCAGAGTGGGCAGGGCAGGGACCCCAGGCTGTGAAGGTGCTGGGTGTCAACCCTTGTTCCTGCTCCCTGTGCACACCATGAATCTGTCCCGTCCTCCCTGTGCCTAGCCACGCATCCGCAGACCCCCACCACCCCTCCAGAGCCTGCTGTGGACGGCTCTTCTGAGCTTTGGGGCAGCTGCTCTGACCTCACTTTTCTCACCTGGAAAACCCTCATCCACAGGGAGACTTTGCCCAGGCTGCCCAGCAGCTGTGGCTGGCCCTGCGGGCACTGGGCCGGCCCCTGCCCACCTCCCACCTGGACCTGGCTTGTAGCCTCCTCTGGAACCTCATCCGTCACCTGCTGCAGCGTCTCTGGGTGGGCCGCTGGCTGGCAGGCCGGGCAGGGGGCCTGCAGCAGGACTGTGCTCTGCGAGTGGATGCTAGCGCCAGCGCCCGAGACGCAGCCCTGGTCTACCATAAGCTGCACCAGCTGCACACCATGGGTAGGACTGAGCGTGGGGCGGGCTCCGAGGTGCTCCCTGCTGCCTGTGCTCCACCCACAGCCTCATGCCTGCTTGCCTTCCAGGGAAGCACACAGGCGGGCACCTCACTGCCACCAACCTGGCGCTGAGTGCCCTGAACCTGGCAGAGTGTGCAGGGGATGCCGTGTCTGTGGCGACGCTGGCCGAGATCTATGTGGCGGCTGCATTGAGAGTGAAGACCAGTCTCCCACGGGCCTTGCATTTTCTGACAGTGAGTGGGTTGGGGGGCTGGGGGCTTATCCCTGCAGCTCTCTCCAGAGGCTCCCTGGGTAAGAGCTACACGGGATGTGGCAGTGGTTACCAGGGGGACTCCAGGCCAAGCTGGGACTCGGCCCGGGGTCTGGCCCCAGGCTGTGTCCACTGTGACAGCCCAGTACCCTCCCCTACAGCGCTTCTTCCTGAGCAGTGCCCGCCAGGCCTGCCTGGCACAGAGTGGCTCAGTGCCTCCTGCCATGCAGTGGCTCTGCCACCCCGTGGGCCACCGTTTCTTCGTGGATGGGGACTGGTCCGTGCTCAGTACCCCATGGGAGAGCCTGTACAGCTTGGCCGGGAACCCAGGTGCTCTCTTACCCCTTCCCTGTCCCCTCTCCTGTCCCTCATCCTCATTCCTGTCCTGTCCCTTGTCGCCTGAATCTCTGGCTGTCTCTGGCCACCCCAGTCCTTCTCCCTGCCATGGGTTGTTGCTGTGGGGGTTGCAGGAAGGGAAAGGCCTGGGTGCCTCTCGTTCCCATTGGGGCTTTCAGAAGCACATGCAGGGATTGATGGGCAGATGGCTAATTGGAGAAGTGACCCCAGGCAGTGCCGCTGTGGAGTAAGGAAGCGGAGCCAACAATGGCATCTTCTCAAGTCGGTTTTCCTTTGGAAGCAGTGTAGGGCAGGCCTCAGTGTTGTCTCCTGGCCAAGGCTGGTGCTGGTGATAGTTATGTCCACCCGCTTTCCCCTGTCCTTGGCAGGGGCTGCACCCAGGGGCATGCCGGCACTTCCCAGTGGCCCTAGGTGTGGCCCCAGCCCACCCAGGAAAAAGCCCTTAGCTTGGAGAGGAGGGTGGGGCCCTGCTCCCCACCCCACTCACCTCCTCCTCTCCACAGTGGACCCCCTGGCCCAGGTGACTCAGCTATTCCGGGAACATCTCTTAGAGCGAGCACTGAACTGTGTGACCCAGCCCAACCCCAGCCCTGGGTCAGCTGATGGGGACAAGTAAGTGTCGTTGTGCCCTCCTCCAGGCAAGGCCCCTCCGGCGGGATTCTGAGAATAGCTCTGGCCTCAACCCTGTGGAGAGAGCCCAGAGCTGGGCTACCGTGCGTGCCATGCACGCTTCATTCCTCTCTGAGTTTCCTCTCCCCACCAGCCTGTGGGAGGAGACAGTGGCACTTTGCAGAGCCAGGGGCCAGGCTGTACTCTGGAGGGCAGGTGGGGAGCACCCTCCTAGGACCCCTGCCATCTGTTCCGACAGCCAGCTCTCTCCTTCCACAGGGAATTCTCGGATGCCCTCGGGTACCTGCAGCTGCTGAACAGCTGTTCTGATGCTGCGGGGGCTCCTGCCTACAGCTTCTCCATCAGTTCCAGCATGGCCACCACCACCGGTGAGTCCCCGGCCCCTGTCCTGGCTCCCTTCTCAGCTCCCCCGTGCAGCGTGACTGAGGGTTCAGGGGACCCTCCCTCTTCTGCAGGCGTAGACCCGGTGGCCAAGTGGTGGGCCTCTCTGACAGCTGTGGTGATCCACTGGCTGCGGCGGGATGAGGAGGCGGCTGAGCGGCTGTGCCCGCTGGTGGAGCACCTGCCCCGGGTGCTGCAGGAGTCTGAGTGAGTGCACGGCAGGTTCCTCCTGCCTGGTCCCGGGCTCAGCCTTCCTCATCCCCTGGGCACTGTGCCTCACTCAGCCTTTGTTCTGTGCAGGAGGAGTCACCACCTTTTTTCCTCAGGGAACTCGAGCCAGGGAAGTGGGGGGCACTCAGCCAGGGCTTGTGGACTGGTCTGACTGGCACTCTTCTGCCCTGGTCCCAACAGGAGACCCCTGCCCAGGGCAGCTCTGCACTCCTTCAAGGCTGCCCGGGCCCTGCTGGGCTGTGCCAAGGCAGAGTCTGGTCCAGCCAGCCTGACCATCTGTGAGAAGGCCAGTGGGTACCTGCAGGACAGCCTGGCTACCACACCAGCCAGCAGCTCCATTGACAAGGTGAGGGGTGGGGTCAGGGGCCTGGCAGGGCTGGGGGATTCAGCTTTCCATTCCCTGGTTCCTCTCCCCAGCCCCCAGGGGCTGCAGAAGACCATGGGGTTAGCCCAAGCAGCACAGGATAGGGGGTCCAGCAGACCCTGCTTTTTGGCTAAGGCTTCTGTCCAGAGGAGAGGGGTTGCCCCTATCTGGCCTCAGTTTCCCCATCCCTGGGAGGAGGGGGGTGGATGGTGTGGTAGGATCCCTTTGGAGGCCCTGCATCAGGAGGGCTGGACAGCTGCTCCCGGGCCGGTGGCGGGTGTGGGGGCCGAGAGAGGCGGGCGGCCCCGCGGTGCATTGCTGTTGCATTGCACGTGTGTGAGGCGGGTGCAGTGCCTCGGCAGTGCAGCCCGGAGCCGGCCCCTGGCACCACGGGCCCCCATCCTGCCCCTCCCAGAGCTGGAGCCCTGGTGACCCCTGCCCTGCCTGCCACCCCCAGGCCGTGCAGCTGTTCCTGTGTGACCTGCTTCTTGTGGTGCGCACCAGCCTGTGGCGGCAGCAGCAGCCCCCGGCCCCGGCCCCAGCAGCCCAGGGCACCAGCAGCAGGCCCCAGGCTTCCGCCCTTGAGCTGCGTGGCTTCCAACGGGACCTGAGCAGCCTGAGGCGGCTGGCACAGAGCTTCCGGCCCGCCATGCGGAGGGTGAGTGCCCGATGGCCCTGTCCTCAAGACGGGGAGTCAGGCAGTGGTGGAGATGGAGAGCCCTGAGCCTCCACTCTCCTGGCCCCCAGGTGTTCCTACATGAGGCCACGGCCCGGCTGATGGCGGGGGCCAGCCCCACACGGACACACCAGCTCCTCGACCGCAGTCTGAGGCGGCGGGCAGGCCCCGGTGGCAAAGGAGGTGAGGGGGCAGCTGCTGACCAGGGATGTGCTGTCTGCTCAGCAGGGAAGGGCGCACATGGGATGTGATACCAAGGGAGGCTGTGTGTGTGTCAGACGGGACAGACAGGCCTGGCGCAGTGGCTCACACCTAGCACTTTGGGAGGCTCAGTTGGGAGGACAGCTTGAGCCCAGGAGTTGGAGGCCGCAGTGAGCCTGAGTGACAGGGAGAGTCCCTGTCTCAAAAAAAAAAAAAGACCAAGCATCTTCTTGATGGTTACCTGATGACAATTCCTTTCACAAGGAATCAGTGGGGTGACTGTCATTTGTGGGATACATGACTGCACGTGCGTGACTCAGTCTGTGGACTTTGTGTGTGGGCTGAGACTAGGGTGGGGAGAGGGGAACCCGCCAGGCCCCCGCCAGGTACCTGTGTGCCAGGTACAGGCGGCTGGTGCCGTGGCTTGTGTGTGGGCAGGGCTCCCGCGGGGGCGTGGCCAGCTTGAGACCCATCCCTGACACATCCTCGTGTGCGCAGGCGCGGTGGCGGAGCTGGAGCCGCGGCCCACGCGGCGGGAGCACGCGGAGGCCTTGCTGCTGGCCTCCTGCTACCTGCCCCCCGGCTTCCTGTCGGCGCCCGGGCAGCGCGTGGGCATGCTGGCTGAGGCGGCGCGCACACTCGAGAAGCTTGGCGATCGCCGGCTGCTGCACGACTGTCAGCAGATGCTCATGCGCCTGGGCGGTGGGACCACTGTCACTTCCAGCTAGACCCCGTGTCCCCGGCCTCAGCACCCCTGTCTCTAGCCACTTTGGTCCCGTGCAGCTTCTGTCCTGCGTCGAAGCTTTGAAGGCCGAAGGCAGTGCAAGAGACTCTGGCCTCCACAGTTCGACCTGCGGCTGCTGTGTGCCTTCGCGGTGGAAGGCCCGAGGGGCGCGATCTTGACCCTAAGACCGGCGGCCATGATGGTGCTGACCTCTGGTGGCCGATCGGGGCACTGCAGGGGCCGAGCCATTTTGGGGGGCCCCCCTCCTTGCTCTGCAGGCACCTTAGTGGCTTTTTTCCTCCTGTGTACAGGGAAGAGAGGGGTACATTTCCCTGTGCTGACGGAAGCCAACTTGGCTTTCCCGGACTGCAAGCAGGGCTCTGCCCCAGAGGCCTCTCTCTCCGTCGTGGGAGAGAGACGTGTACATAGTGTAGGTCAGCGTGCTTAGCCTCCTGACCTGAGGCTCCTGTGCTACTTTGCCTTTTGCAAACTTTATTTTCATAGATTGAGAAGTTTTGTACAGAGAATTAAAAATGAAATTATTTATAATCTGGGTTTTGTGTCTTCAGCTGATGGATGTGCTGACTAGTGAGAGTGCTTGGGCCCTCCCCCAGCACCTAGGGAAAGGCTTCCCCTCCCCCTCCGGCCACAAGGTACACAACTTTTAACTTAGCTCTTCCCGATGTTTGTTTGTTAGTGGGAGGAGTGGGGAGGGCTGGCTGTATGGCCTCCAGCCTACCTGTTCCCCCTGCTCCCAGGGCACATGGTTGGGCTGTGTCAACCCTTAGGGCCTCCATGGGGTCAGTTGTCCCTTCTCACCTCCCAGCTCTGTCCCCATCAGGTCCCTGGGTGGCACGGGAGGATGGACTGACTTCCAGGACCTGTTGTGTGACAGGAGCTACAGCTTGGGTCTCCCTGCAAGAAGTCTGGCACGTCTCACCTCCCCCATCCCGGCCCCTGGTCATCTCACAGCAAAGAAGCCTCCTCCCTCCCGACCTGCCGCCACACTGGAGAGGGGGCACAGGGGCGGGGGAGGTTTCCTGTTCTGTGAAAGGCCGACTCCCTGACTCCATTCATGCCCCCCCCCCCAGCCCCTCCCTTCATTCCCATTCCCCAACCTAAAGCCTGGCCCGGCTCCCAGCTGAATCTGGTCGGAATCCACGGGCTGCAGATTTTCCAAAACAATCGTTGTATCTTTATTGACTTTTTTTTTTTTTTTTTTCTGAATGCAATGACTGTTTTTTACTCTTAAGGAAAATAAACATCTTTTAGAAACAGCTCGATACACACAATCTTCAGTGTGAAGCAATATACTAATAAGAACACTAGTCGTCTTAACATTTACAGTCTTCATATATATTATATATATGTATATGTATACATATATATACACTATATAACGAGGCCAGATATAATACACACGTTTACCATTTTACAGTCATATGTACAGGAAGTTGCTAGGGCGGCCCTGGGCTGGGGGCTGCGTCAGGCCTATCGAAGCGTGGACAGAGCTGAGGACACGGACGGACAGGCGGACGGACTGGCAGGGACTGGCCCGGGCCGGTGGTGGCTGCGTGGACAAGTGGCGTCGCGGTAGCCCCTTACCCGGCAAAGGCCCGGTTGGGGCTCTGTTGCGGGCGCACGACGCACGGCGGCGACACACGGGAGAAGCGAGCATGTTCCCAACATATATACATTCTATGTAACATATATATAGAGGGGTACACAGGTTTTGTACACGAAATCTAGCGCTGTCCCTGCTCCCGTGCAGAGTAGGCGCGGCGGTCCCTGGTGGTGCACAACGGTCGCGCGTCCGCCGGAGCCGGAGGTGCGTTCTGGCCGCTTCTTGGGTTTTGCGCTCCCAGGCTGGGCTCCAGGGGTGGGGTGGAGGACTGGAAAGGGGACAAACAGAGGCCAAAGGGTGTCCCAGTCCCGCCCACACTCGGGGATCCCGCAACCCCTAACTGAGCATAGCCCAGGTCTACCCCGGCTTTGCCCGAACCGCACGAGAGATCTGGCAAAGGCTGGGCGGGAAGGCCCCTGGACGCGTTCCGCACGGTTTGTTCCAAAGGCTCCGGCCTCTCCAGTGCCGGCCTAGCCCGCTCTCAGAAAGGCTTCCTTTCTCCCCCGCCTAGTCCACGGAGCTAGGAGCCGCCCTCCGCCTCTTCCAGTACTGTTTCGACCCCCACCCCCAAGCCCAGGGCTCCCAGCTGCACGCCACGACCGACTGGGGTGGCGGCAGCACCCACGTGGAATGTGTGCCACGTCGTCTTGAGATTCCAGAGGGAAAGTGTCCCCAGGACAAAGCCGTCTCCCACCCTCGCCGGAGGCTGAGCGCCCCGGGGAGTCTGGCCGCTCCGCGGGCTCCCCCTCCGCAAGCCTGGCCCCTGGGGTGGGCAAGAACGCCCTGTGCCGTCCGGTTCCGGGAGCAGGCGGCTCCGGAACGGGTTTTCCTCCCAACCCGGGGCCGCAAGTCTGAGCCCTAGGCGGCCGGATCCACGATCCGGGACCCGGATCAAGGATCGGCTCTGGACCAGCGCTGGGAGCAGCTCAAAGGCCCGGGGGCTGCGCAGGCGGCTCCTCTCCTTCGGCGGCGGGCGGGCAGGCGGGCTCCGGCGGCTCCTCCGGCCGTTGGGGTGGATTACTACGGCAGCCTCTGCAAAAGACGCCCGCCCGCCAGTTACCGACGACCTCGGACTTCACAGTCCATAGGCCCCGCCCCCAGTGTGGGCCCCCCGCCTAAGCCCCAGACCCAGGCGACCCCAGAGCGCGGCTGGGGTCTCCGCCCGAGGCCGTCGGCACCACCCCTTCTGGCCCCACCCCGTCCAGCTTCACCTTCACCTTCGCCTTCAGCTCCGTGCCACCGTCCCGCGCCCCCGCCTGCCCCACTCTGTCACCTATCTTGGGGAGCTGCAGGGAGGCCGTCCCAGGGACGCCCTCCAGCCCCTGGCTGCCCATGCCCCGACGCCTGCGGGTTTTCGGCGGCGGCGGCGCGCAAGTGGACAGGGACCTGAGCTGGACGGCGGCGGGGGCTCCTGGGGGTGGGCGGGGAGAGCTCCCTCCCCTAGGGCTGGGCCCTGCGGGGCTGCGCAGCCAAGGGGGCCCAGGGGACTGTGAAGGAGGTGCGAGGTGGGGCTCCTCTCCCGCTTGACACCCCTCGCCCTACAAAACACTGTGGTCCCCTACCTTATGTTTGGGACATTTCAAAGAAAAGTTCTCTTCGATGAATATGCAACCTGTGACCAAAGAGAAGTTTCGGTGGTTAGGACAGGGTGGGGGCCCCACAGCTGTGGGGTTTTGTCTGCAGCCAGGAGGGGAGCCGCACTGCCCGCGAGGCTCCAGACTGCAGGGGCTCTTTTCAAAGAGTTAATCAGATTCTGCACAAAACCCTCCACACTCCACTCCACTCCACGGCGCGGGTGCGGCCCCTGGCCTGGCAGTCTTGACTCACCTCACCTCCTCCGCGGAGAGCTTTTCCCCCTGAGTTCCACGTGCCGCCCCTCCTCACTTGAGGCAGTCCCTCAGTCCCTCCCTCCCTCCCGCCTTACTCTGCCAGCCACACTTGTCACTGCCTCCTAAGAGACTGGCCTGTGTGATCTTGTCTTGCTCCTTGTTTCTTCCCCACTGGCAGGCAAGCTCCCAGAGGGCACCAGCTCTGTCTTCTTCCCTGGATGTATGCCCAGCCCCTGGAAGAGCTCACTAACTTCCAGTGAGCATGTCATGAACCCCTGTGGACGGACTGGTAGTGGTGTTGCAAGCCTGGATTTGAGCATCTGCTACTTCTCTGAGCCTCAGTCTCCACATCTGTAAAATGGGCATTATGCCACCTACTGTATGCCTATCATGGAGATTGAGGATGGGAGTGTATAGAAACCATCTTGGCAGCAGCAGTGGCTCATGTCTGTAATCCCAGCACTTTGGGAGGATGAGGTGAATGAATCGCTTGAGCCCAGGAGTTCAAGACCAGCCTGGGCAACATGGCAAAACCTCATCTCTATCAAAAATACAAAAATTAGCCAGCATGGTGGCGCATGCCTGTAGTCCCAGCTACTCGAGAGGCTGGGGCGGGAGGATCACTTGAGCCTGGGAGGCGGAGGTTGCAGTGAGCTGTGATTGTACCACTGCACCCCTGCCTGGGCAACACAGCCAGGCCCTGTCTGAGATGAAATAAAATAAAATAAAATAAAATAAAATAAAATAAAATAAAATAATAAAATAAAATAAAATAAAATAAAATAATAAAATAAAATATAAAATAAAATAAAATTTAAAAATAAACCACCCTGCACATGTGTGGCATGCAGTGGGCGCAGGAGGCAGGGGCAGAGAGGACAACCAAGCATGGCCAGTGCTTATGCCCACCTAGGCCCAGGAGGTGTTGCTATCTCAGGGAGTCTCCACTCCCCTGCCTACTGCCACCTAGGGAGAAGCTGGCTTTTCCCCCAGGGACCCCCCAGTCTCTAGTCCCCTTCTCGGCTCCCCTCCCCCAAAGCCTCACCAGCCACTGTTCTGAACAAACCCCAGACCCAAAAGTAGCTGGAGGCTGGTGCTCTCTCCAACACAATCTTCCTGTTCACACTGGAGGTGGCTCTGTGCAATGGCATCATGACAGGGTGGTGGCCAGAAGGCAGGGCAGGGACAGCTCTGCAGCCCTGAGGGCAGGGCTGGGTGGTAGCAGGCCTCTCTGAGGCGATCTGCCCTTGTCTCCAGAAGCTGGAGTGCCACGGACCTGGAAACTGCCATTCAGGGCCAGCAGCTAGAGATGTGCCACGGCTGTTCCCCTTCCCTTGGCTCAGGCAAGCCAGATGTGGTTCTGGGGCTGAACTAGATATTCCAAAGACACTAGGCTAAAATCCCAGGCCTGCCCCTGGCACGCCTGGGTAGCTGCGGGCACTCCCACCAAGGGAAGTTGAGGGTAGGAGGTCGCCACTTCCAAACTGGCTCCCTCAGCACTGCCCCAGCACCACCCCACATGGGGCACGGGGCGGGAGTCACTGGGCAAGGCCAGTCCTCAGTGATCTGGCTCCTGACCTGGTGCCTGCACCTGGGGAACCTGGGCACTCACTGACAGGTTGGCCCCAGGGCCTGAGTGGGGAAAGGTTGAGACAGGACACTGTGGTGTAGCAGCCTCTGCCTGCTCTTCAGTCACTGCTTGTCTCCAAAGTGGGTTCCTTAACAAGAATTGGAAGGGGGCAGGATGAGTAGGCCAGGACAGCGCAGTGCAGGGCAGAGGCTGGCAGCCAGTGGGCAGCCCTGGTGCCCTGCAGTCCCAGTGCCTGACACAGAGGCCTGGGGCTCCTCCCTGGCCAGACATCAGATCAGCCTGACCAGCCCACTCCCTCAGTGCCCTCTCACTCCCACCCCCCCGCCCCCCCCACCGCCTGGCTGGCAGAGTCACGCTGGGGGCCCTCCCTGCACCCCAAGCGCCCGTCCTCCCCGCCTTCACTCTCGAGCTCACTTGTTCTCCCTCGCCTTCTCTGGCAGCTGTTCCTCAGTTTCCCAGGGGTCCACCCTCCTCCTCAGCCAGCTGTTCCATGGTGAACACAACCCTGCTATTTTGTCCCTTCCAGGGCTCTGATGAGCCCTCGCCTGCTGATGGTGGGCGAGACTCGATCCTGAGCCCAGCTATCTACACTTTGTATGTCCACAGCTGCCTCTACTGCCGTGTGGCCAAAGGGAACTGCCGTGTGTGTAGATGGCCTGGCAGAGCAGCCCAGTCCCCTCCCCGCACCCAGGTCCTTTGTGGTGTGGCTCTGCAGCTCACCCCAGGTGGCCTGCACTTCTCTGTGCTGGACTTGGGACCTGCTTTGGCTAACAGAACGTGGTAAAGTCCAGGACCTAGGCTGTGAGTGGCCCTGTGACCTCCACTCTCTCAAAGCCCTGGGGCTGCCATGAGGACGCACCCAGGCCAGCCTGCTGGAGGATGAGAGATTGATGGAGCAAAGACAAGCTGGCACAGCTGGGGCCACCCTAGATCATCCTGCTCCCAGCAGAGCCTGCAGCCAACTCACGCCCTTTTGAGAACTAATGAAGGGCTGGTGCTGGAGACATGAAGCTGGGCCTGGAAGGGCCAGTAGCTCTGCAGCAGCAGCTAATACTCCATTTGCACGTCCACACCCTACTTCTCCCCTTCATGGGGAAGCTGGGCATCAGGCTTGTCACCTCCCTCTCCCTCATCATCAAGTCCCATGGATTCTGTGCCAACTCAGTCTCTGAGGTGTATGTCTCCATTTGCAGCATTCCCAGTCCCTTTCCTGCCTCAATCTTCACGGTGCTACAGGGATCCCTGTTATATGAGGAATCCTTCTAGGATTTTATCTGAAATAAAAGTTCTCTTGCTCAAAGCCTAGTATACAAGTCCCACCACTAAACAGTTGCTACAAAGCTCCCCCGATCTTTTGAGGCCTGGCTTAAATGTCACCTCCTCCTGGAAGTCTTCCTAGATTTCTCCCTTGTTCAGACAGGATGAACCTCTTCCACAGTGCATACTCTCTCCTTCCCGTCTGGTCTCCCTAACTGTGGCCAAGAACCACAGTTTTGCTGTCCGTCCCACTCAAGGGTGAGCCCCTTGGGGGGCTGGGCAGTGCTGGGGTAGGAGAAAGAACATAGGACATGGAGCAAGAAAGCCAAGGCATTAAGTCCTGGGACTGTCCACGCCATGCTGTGTGCTGTGGGTGAGGCAGCCAATCTGTGAAGATGGCTGGAAACAACATGGTTCTGTAGCAGGGCTGGGAGTGGAGCGGGCGCTAAGTTAATCACTGTGGAAGGAGGAATGTGACTCGTGGCAGCTATTATGGGGAGTGCGGCCACATGCCTGGGCAAGTGGCAGGGTCCATGTTAAACTCTGGCTCACACTGCTCAGAGTGGGAGCGTGAAGCCAGTGAGAATCCTCCACGTCCCTGCTCCAGCAAGCCCCTTCCCCGCTGGGTCCCGGCAGCTCAGCCCCTGCCAAGCAACTGTCAGCACTCAGAGTCCTCTGTGTCCTCCCTGGGGCAGCTTGGCTGGGCTGACACTGGCTGGGGACCCACCAGGCAGGTGGGGTACAGGCTGTGGTCCCCTGTCCAGGCAAAGCCAGCAGGGCATCAGGTGAGGACGGGAGGCAGTAGCTGGGGCTGCTAGGAGAGCGACGGGAGCCTGGGGGGGCCTGGACTCTGTCCACTGGGAGGTGGGTTATGACTTCGCCTCTTTCCAGGCCAGAGTTGGGAGGGATTGAGGGTGACGGGGAGAGGTCACAGAGGCTGGACCCAAAATAGGACTGAGGCAGCACCGTGTGGGGAGAGGTCACAGAGGCTGGACCCAAAATAGGACTGAGGCAGCACCGTGTGGGTAGTGTTCATTATTTCACTCTCCTCCCAGCAGCTCTGCAGAGAAGGGGCTATTATCATCTCCATCATACAGGTAGGGAAACTGTGTGCAGAGGTATCAACCAACTTGCTCAAGACCACACATTAAAAACGCTACTAGGGGCCGGGCACAGTGGCTCACGCCTGTAATCCCAGCACTTTAGGCAGCTGAGGCGGGCGGATCACGAGGTCAAGAGATGGAGACCATCCTGTCCAAAGCAGTGAAACCCCATCTCTACAAAAAATACAAAAATTAGCTGAGCGTGGTGGTGCACGCCTGTAGTCCCAGCTACTTGAGAGGCTGAGGCAGGAGAATCGCTTGAACTCGGGAGGCGGAGGTTGCAGTGAGCCAAGATCGCACCACTGCACTCCAGCCTGGTGACAGAGTGAGACTCCGTCTCAAAAATAAATAAATAAATAAATAAATAAATAAATAAATAAAAATAAAAACACTACTAGGAGCCAGCATGGCTGCGCACATCTGTGGTCTCAGCTGCTCAGGAGGCTGAGGTGGGAGGATGATTGAGCCCAGGAGGTTAAGGCTGCAGTGAGCCACGACTGCACCCCTGCACTCTAGCTTGGGTGACAGAGCAAAACTCTGTCTCAAACAAGAACGAAAACCACCCCACCCCCCACCACTAGGGTTTGAATCCAGGCCAAAGTTGGCCCCATATCTCCCAAAATATTGTTGTCCCCAATGACTAATATTGTACCATAAGCAATTGCTTTCTCTGGATGAAATAAGGAATGTCTCTGAGCCTCAGTTTCCCCACCTGGTCGATAAAGGTAAGGGCTCTTGGGTGGCTCCAGCCCATGCACGGTCATTCTGTGTGCCCAGTGATGGTAGGGGCTCAACAAATGCTTGCGGAACAAATGAATACATGAGTGAGAGGAAGGACCGGGGAGAGGATGCGGGGAGCCTGGGCCTACCTCCATACCCCATTACCCTGCTTCAAAACTTCCACAATTGCTCCATGGGTCTCAGTCTGTTTTGAACCTCATCACCCCCAACTCAGTTGGTTTTTGCTGTTGTAGTAGTGCCTTTCCCCTTGTCTCTGCTGAGTGAACTCCTATTTATCCTTCAAAGGCCCAACCTCCAATACCCCTTTCTCTCTGAGGCCTGAGATCCTCCCTGCCCCTTGGCAATGATGGCTCCGCAGACAGCATTCCACATTGTAATTTATGCTTCTATCTTCCCTCACTGCTCTGGGCACTCCTCAAGCAGGTGCCTGGGGAATGCCTCATTTCCATGTCCCTGGCATTGCCCAGCAGAGGTCTAGGCAGACAGAAGGATAAAAGAATTGCTGGGGCAAGAGAGGAGGGAAACTGAAGAGTGAGATGGGGCCTGGGTTTGGGGAGCTGTGCCCAGGGAGGGTCCCCCTGGACTGCTTGGATGGGCTCCAATGCCCTCCTGTTCCTGGGCGGGCTCGTACCTGCATCGCTGGCACACGGGTAGTGGTAGGTGTGGAGGCATCCTTTGTGGCAGCACCCAATGGTGGCCCCGGCTTCTTGGCAGCTGGAACACATCTGATGAAGAGAAAGGAAAGGCAGGTGAGTCTCCAGTTGGAGCCCAGCCCTCAAGCTTTACAGGCTGGTAGGCCAGGTGCAGTGGCTCATGCCTGTAATCCCAGCACTCTGGGAGGCCAAGGTGGGAGGATCGCCTGAGTCCAGGAGTTTGATACCAGCCTGGGCAACATGGTGAAACTGTCTCTACAAAAAATAGTGAGGGTTGGTGGTGTGTGCCTGTAGTCCCAGCTACTCAGGAAGGTGAGGTGGGAGGATTGCTGCAGCCTGGGAGGTTGAGGCTGCAGTGAGCCGAGATGACGCCACTGCCTGTACTCCAGCCTGGGCAAGAGTGAGACCCTGCCTCAAAAAACAAACAAACAAACAAACAAAAAAAACACAAAAAACCTGTACAGGCTGGCTGGCCCCCTGTGGTCCCTGCCTCCCTTCTCCAAAATGGTGCTTGAAAATCTACCAGAAGGAGGTTCAGCACTGGGGTACACATGCCCACAAACATGGGTCATTTAGCACCCTCTGGGCTGGTACATTGGGTAGGGAGACCCCCTTGGGCCAGTGATGCCAGTTACTACCATGGCTGTGGCTACCAGCCAGCATCTGCTGCATGCTTCTGGTGTGCTGGGCGTGGTGTGTGTCCTTGCCCACTGGCTTGCTTTTTTTTTTTTTTTTTTTTTTTGAGACAGAATTTCACTCTGTCCCCCCGGGGCTGGAGTGCAATGGTGTGATCTCCGCTCACGGCAACCGCTGCCTCCTGTGTTCAAGTGATTCTCCTGCCTTAGCCTCCCGAGTAGCTGGGATTACAGGCATGTGCTGCCATGCCCAGCTAATTTTTGTATTTTTAGTAGAGACGGAGTTTCACTGTGTCGGCCAGGCTGGTCTCGAACTCCCGACCTCAGGTGATCTGCCTGCCTAGGCCTCCCAAAGTGCTGGGATTACAGGTGTAAGACATAGCGCCTGGCCTACTGGCTCTTTTTTCTTTTGCTTTTGAGATGGAGTCTTGCTCTGTTGCCCAGGCTAGAGAGCAGTGGCACAATCTTGGCTCACTGCAAGCTCCGCCTCCCGGGTTCACGCCATTCTCCTGCCTCAGCCTCCCCAGTAGCTGGGACTACAGGTGCCCGCCACCACGCCAGGCTAATTTTTTGTATTTTTAGTAGAGACGGGGTTTCTCCGTGTTAGCCAGGATGGTCTCGATCTCCTGACCTCGTGATCCGCCCACCTCAGCCTCCCAAAGTGCTGGGATTACAGGCGTGAGCCACCGCGCCTGGCCGCCTACTGGCTCTAACAGCCCTCTGTGGGTCCCTTTCATTAATCTCACTTTACAGATGGTGAAACTGAGGCTCCCATTCCAGGCAACAGTGAAGGCATTCAGCATGGTTTTCTACCCTTTCTGGCAGCAGGAGCACTTTGAAGCTAGGCTGGGACTGTTCTACCTAGGATGAGACCTGCACCCTCCAGGGGACCAGCTCTCAGACCTGTGAGAGGAGGCGGTGACGTGGTAATCCCTTGAGATGGCTGACTTCATGTAAATCTGATGCCGTCCTCCTCTAAGTCTCAAAACTGTCCTCTGCTGAGCTTGGGGGCTGCCCCACACCTGGACCAGCTGCTTGGAGTGGACGTGGCCAGGACAGGACAGTCACACCAAGAAGGCCCTTGGAAGAGTGAAGCAAACCTGAGGCCGGGGAGGGAGAAGTCACCAGGCGCCAGAGCCACAGTGCCACCGTGCTGGGGGCGGGGGGTGAGGTAGAGAAGGCAGCAGAGAGGGCGGCGGCCTCTGCCCAAGTGCGAAGCCAGTGAAACAAACGACAATAGCTTCCTATGTGCCAGGCATGGCTGGAAGCCTCATGCCCACAGCAACCTTATGATGGGATTACTGTTATTTTACCTGGGTTACCAATGAGAGCTGAGGCTGAGTAACCTGCCCGAGGGCTCCAGGCTGGTCTCTGACCCCTGCAGCTGCCTCCAGGCTGGAGTAGGGGCCCACAGGACCCCACATGCTCAGGGTGGGCGCACCATCCCAACCACAGCAGCTGAGAAATGTCAGAACACTCCCCTCCCCGCTGCCCATGCTGGGAGTGGGGCCTGGGGTTTATTCTAGAATTTCAGGTTTTCAGCTCAGGGCTGAGGCCTCCTTCCCGCCTAGTCTGGGATGGCCTCCTGGAGATCTGGAGTCCAGCGTCCCCAGTTCCTGACCCAAAAGGGATGACGAAACACAAGCCGGCTGCTGTCTGTGAGTGGCCCTTGGTGTCTGGATGTTTAAGCATATGGGGGTCCTCTGGCTGAAGGCTTCTCTCCACTTACTGCACGGAGGCCCCAACCACCCTCAGGCAGGCATATGAATAGCATTTTAGATGTGAAGAAACTAAGATGCAGAGAGAGTGAGGCCTCAGGCCCTTCTGACCCCAGCTACCCAAGAGGAGGGCAGGGGTGGCGGCATGTAAACCCTGCCACAGGTGGGGCCTCTGCAGACACCACCTAGCCCCCTAACAATGCCCGGAGCCCGCTATGGGTCCCTCTCACCCCAAGCATTCCATGGCCAGGCTCCATCTGGATAGGAGGTAGGGGTCTATGATGGCTTTGGGGGAAGGGCAGGCAGGGCTCAGAGATAGCAGGCGAGGGCAGTTCCCAGAAAAGGCCATCGAGGAAAAAAGGTATCCCTGAGAGCTGGCTCAGAGGTTCTGCCCTCCAGAGCGCAAAAGTGAGGTCAAGGTACCGAGGGGTGTGGCAGTGCTGGGGCCAGGGACACAGCTGCACCCCAAGCCCCTTCCACATGCCAGGCAGGTCCCACATGATCCACAGAACCCCACAATCCTGCTAACGGGGTTTGACATTGTGGAGTTCTCAGAGCATGCGTGACTCGCCTGGAGCTATGGAACCAGCCCTCGGCAGAGCTGGGATTTGAACCAGGGTCTCACTCCAAGGAGCATGGCGCCCCCAAGCCACTGAGGCAGGAAGGGGTGGTGAGCCAAAAGTGACCCTGGGAAGCCCCAGACTCTGCCCATTCTCCCAGGATGTCCCATCTGTCTGGCAGGGTGTTCCTGGTTCCGACCTTCCCGGGGCAGCCCTAGTTGCGCAGGCTGTCAGGCCATTTCTGGAGCATGGCACAGCAGACAGGCATGGGCTGGGCTGGCAAGTTCCAGCCCCCGCGTGGTGTAGGGAAGCTAGCGCCTCTCCAACACACACTGTCTCCTCAGTCCAGCAGGACCTTGTGTGTGCATGGGCGGTTAAGACACCCATGGGCCAGGGACAGGATGGGGTGGTCGGTGCTCGGGGCTGACCCCTCCTCCCTTCGGCCGGCCAGTGCTGGCTGCAGGGGATGTGGAGACGACCTGATCTCAGCCTGGTGGGACGTGAGTGTCGGGGAGCCCCTGGTGAGGCTGCGGGACCGAGGATGCCGTGGGGACAAGGCTTTCAGGAATGGGGCTGTGAAGCAGGGGAGGTGGCAGCCAGCTGGGGCTGGTGATCTGAGGGTTATTATTTTTTGATGACGGGAGAGACTTGAACCTGTTTCAAGGCGCTGGGAAGGAGCCAGTAATGAGAGAGAGAGAGAGAGAGAGAGAGAGAGAGAGAGAGAGAGAGAGAGACAGAGAGAGACAGAAAGCAGGAGAGAGGCAAAAAATCACTAACTGGGAAGGGGAGAGGGAAGAGGCCCAAGGCCACCATCTGCTGGGTAAGCAAGGCCCGCGGCACCAGGAACCTGCAGGAGTCCTGTCGGGGCCAGCCTTCCTCTGAGGTGGAGGGTGGAGTGAGGTGGGCAGGGCGTCTGGGCGTGGAGAAGGTCTCCAGCCATCCCCATGGGCAGTGGGAAGCAGGTGCCCAAGACACACACTAGGAGGCGTGGGTGGCAAACACAGTGGGCCCCCACCGGGACCTTGGTTTGGCCAGGCAATGCCACGGCAACTGTCAGGAGCAGGGGCTGCTCAGAGGGGCTGCAGGGGTGTACTGCGAGGAGCAGGTGGGCAGTGCAGCGACGGGGGAGGAGGCTGGGCAGGGGGAGGGGCGAAGCCACCGGCTGGGGCCACTGTGCTGGGTCACTGAATCACTCAGATGCAGGCAGTGTTTGTCCAGGGCCTCTGGAGACCCCTGCCAAGCCCCTCTGGCTCCCCTGTGACCTCAGCCGCACATAGTGGGTTGAAGGAAGGAGTGGAGGGGATGGGACTCAGGGCAGGGGCCAGAGAAGGCTGCAGGCGTCCCCACTGAGAGCCACCACACAGCGCTGAGAGCCGGGAGCGTCACTCCACGGAAGTCTGGATGAGGCAGTGGAGTCGGGGTTGAATGTGGGGGCAGAAGCATGGCCCCGGGGGAGAGGTGCACCCCACCGCCCCCACTGACCCCTCCCTCAGAAGGGCACAGAGGTACTCTATGGTACTGGGGAAGTGGTGACACCACGAAGAACGTCACCCTGCTGTCACCAGAGCCACCAGGCCCCTCTGCACTGACTATCACAGGGCTGCTGTGCTCGGTGGGCTCAGAGGTGCCCACCTTTTAACCCTCCCGACCCCTCCTCCATGGGCACCCTCATACCCACGTTAGGGGCGAGGGGACGGAGGCACAGAGAGGGCAGGTCACAGCCCCAAAGGTGCATGGCGGCACAGCCCCAGAGTTCCCTCTCTCATGTTGGTGCTCAGTGACTATGGCTTCCAAAGCTGGTCTCAGAGCCAATGGTGAGAGGGTCTGGATCTGCCCCGCCCTGCCTGTTGTGACTGTGTGACCCCATGGACTGTCCTGCAGAGGGAGGAACCCTGTGACTGGGTCCATGCACCAAGCCTGTGTCGCCAGAGAGGGTCTTCCTGAGCCCTTAGCTTCATCCCAGAGGCAATGGAGACAGGAACAGAGGGTGGGCAACTTGCTCTTGCACCGCCCGGGGCAGCCCTGATGTTCAATCTTGGGAGTCCTCGTGTTCTCTGGGCCTTGGCATCTCCGGTGACAGCATGGGGAGGGGCCCAGTGGATTCTGGGTGGGGCTGGAGCCTGAAGATGCCAGGTGAGTGGGAGAGTGGCGGTGGCTGGGCATACGGGCCCCGGCGGGAAGTCTCCTGGGACAGGGTAGGTGAGTGTGACCTGCCTTAGCCAGATGGGTGCCTCCACTTCCCCCACACACCCCAGAGAGGCTCAGGACTCTGCAGATTGTCCCGAGACTGCAGACACATTTGGCCCACACTGTAGCACTAGAAACAAGGGGCTCCCCGACTGCCTGCCTGCCTGTCCTTTGGAACCCCACACTCCCCACCCTGGCTGGGCTGGCCTCTTACCATGTCCACGGCCACCTTCATGGCCTCCTGCAGCCCAAAGAGCTTCCCGGCCACCAGGTAGACGCCGCCGGTCCACACGGCACAGGCCTCATGCACCCAGTGCTCCTGGGCCTCCCCGCCGGGCTCTGCCGGAGCCTCCTTGCTGCACTCATGTTTGCGACCCTTGTCGGCTGGGGCTGCCTCCTCGCCCCCATCCTCCCGGCCATCACAGCAGTAGCAGCTCTGCAGCCTCCGGGACAGGCCCCGGGCACTGGTGCGCAGTGGGCCCTGCTTGGCCGGGTCAGCTGGGCCGTCAGGCCTGGGGGGCTTCCCGGCAGTGGCGGCAGCTGCACACTCGGGACCTTTGAGTGTTCTCTCAAGCGGCAGCGAGGCCTCCTCACAGGTGCCTTCTGGCCGCACCTTCTCCTTGAGTTTTGGCTTCTTTTTGGGGAGGCAGTGTTCAGGGTAGTAGGGCCCACAGAGGTCCCCAAGGTCCTTGAAGTTGGCCGGGTTTTGGCAGAGGCAGCAAACAAGGCAAGAGGTACTCAGGGCCTTGGAAACCACAGGCCCCAAGTGCATCGTGGAGGAGAGGGGCAAGGAGGGCCGCGGCTGCAGGATGGAGCCTCCAGGGAGTGTGGCCAGGGAGGCCCCGGCTGCATCCAAGGAGAACGAGGACGAGGATGAGGAAGAGGAGGCAGAGGAGGAAGGCTTCCTGTGGGGCTTGGGCGCATCTCCAGGGGAGTTGACAACAGTGCATATGGTGGTGAACGCGTCTCGCTTCTCCACCCGCACGAAGGGTGAGAAGGCGGGGGTCCGGCTGTCTGACCTCAGCCGCTTGCAAGAGGAAATGTACTTGAGGCGGATTTCAGGCTCTGCGGGATCCAGGGGCAGCACCTGCTGCTGTCGTCGTCGCTTGGCACGCCCCTTACAGGGTGAAGAGGTGGTGTTCTTGGCCCGGCCCCGAGTGAGGCGCTTCCGCTTGGAATAGCTGCTGTAGTTGGTGTGGCCTGGCTGTTTCTGTGCCCTTGTCTGGGGCTGGCAGGGCCTGCCCTCCGGGGGCTGGGAGGCCAGGCCCAGCTCCTCCATCTTTGGCTTCTTGCCTCCTCCACCAGAGTTGTCCTCACTGGCCCCTTGTGTGCCACTGGCCCTGTCTCGGGGAGTCAGGAGCAGAGCCGGGCCAAGATAGGGCCGCTTCTCCAGCGGGCCTTTGGAGAGTCCATGGGCCCCTGCCCGGCCTTTCCGGCTCCTCTTCTTAGGCGCCAGGGCAGTCCCCCCAGGCTGCAGGGCCTCCGGGGATGTGAAGGCCTCGGTTTTGAAACAGTCAGTAGAAGACAGTTTCTTACTGTTCATGAGTTTGCCTTTTAAGGATCTGTTGGTTGGATTTCTGCATAACGGATCAGCCCCAGAAGTTGGGAGCTTCTGCCCGGTGCCCACATTTACCAGGCCTTCTTCCACCCCCACTGGGCTGCCCCCAGCACCCTTGAGCCCACGGTCTTTGTCGGAAAGGGATGGGCTCAGAGGATTACCAGGAGAGGCCCCTGGCGCTTTACATGCGAACTTCTTGAGGCTGGGCGAGGTGATCTTCTGCACGATGGCTTCCAGCTTCAGGCCCCGGCCCTTCCGGGGTGGCAGCACCTTGGTCTTCATGGCCCCCTGGAAGGCTGCCCGAGAGGCGAGCTTGAGGCAGGCATCGGGGGTCTCCGGGGGTGGGAGCTTTGTGGCAGGCTCGCCATTGCCCTTGGTGGGCTTGGCTTTCTTGGGAGAAGACATCCTCTTGAAGAGGGTGGGGGAACCCTCAGGCCTCTCCTCCTTCCCATCTCCCCCATTGCCACTGGCGTTGCTGCTGCTGCTGCTGCGGCTCCGCAAGACCAGGTTCCGCTTCTTGGTGGGGACCGGCGCCATGAAGGCCGACTTCCTTTTGAGCGCATGGAGGGGCCGGTCAGAGAGCTTGCTGCCTGCACCAGGTTTGGGGACCCTTGCCCGCTGGCTCACCCTGCCCTCCTTCTGGGGGCTGCTGGAGACCTTGAATGTGGCGGGCAAGTGGCTGTTGTCGAGGAGCTTCTTGGTGGCACGGCAGTTGGGGAGCCGGCCCTCAGAGGGCCTCCGCCGCTTGGAGTGGAAGATCTCCTGGGTTTTGGTGCGTGACCGAAGGATCATGGAGCGCTGGTCCTTGCCAGGCGTGCTGGGTGAGTCTGTCTCCTTGGTCTTGGAGCCCATCGGGCTGCTGTCGGAGGCCACAGGCAGGGCGGCCGGGTTGCTGGGGCTGGAGGCAGCCTTGGGTGAGGGCTTCCCCACCCGCTTGCCCGACTTGAAGGCGGCTCGCTGCTTGCCCCCCAGTTTGTCTGGGGGTGCAGGGGTGGTGGTCAGGCCTGGGGGTCCGGGCGTGCGGGGCTCACTCAGGGCCGTGAGAGAACGAGTACACATCCTGGGGAGCCCTTCCGAGGCCCCCCGGCCTGGGGCTCCAGCCCCTTCCATCTGTCCCTGGGGGGGCCCTGTGCAGGATTCAGGGAGCAAGAGGTCTTTGGGCAGCACTGGTGCCCTGCATGGGGAGTCCTCGGCCTCGGGCAGCCCCCGGTGCACCCGACGGCTCCGTAAGCTTTTGCCCCGTGGCACAGGCTCTTTCTTTGCGATGGGCGCCTCGGGCACAGCAGGCTTGTTGGGCTTCTGGGCCAGAGAGGCGTCCGAGGTGGTGGAATCCCCTGGAGCTCGCTCCCCATCAGGCCCCTCTTCACCTGGCTTCATGTGTGACAGAGAGGACTCAAACCAGCTCTGGACCTTTGACTCGGTGCCCACTGTAGGGCCCAGCAGGATGACGGACTCCCCTGAGAGGTGGCACGGAGAGCCCCAGCCGGCCTTGGAGTCCAGCACCTCCTCCACCTCCTCCTTGGTGCAGATGAGTGGGGCCTTGGGTGACAGCGGGTCCTGCATGCCAGGCCTCTGCTCGGGGCTGCCCAGGAGCTCACATAGGGAGGAGTACTCCTCCTCAGCTTCCAGGTCCTCCTTCCTGCTGGTGGGTGGCAGCAGTGGGAGGTCCCCGAAGTCGGCGGTGGAACAGCAGTGCCGGCTGTCCTCCAGCCACCGGTCAGCCTTGGCCACCTCGGGGCACTGCAGCAGCCCACCTGCCTCCTCCTTCACCCCACCCACCTCCTCCTGCTTGAAGTCCCCGGGCAACGAGGCCACCTTCTCCCCAGGGGGGTCCTCCTCCTGGAAGCCCAGGCAGGCCGAAGCCTCATGGGTGTCCCCTTTGCTGATGCCATCTGAGGCCTTCCCACCCTGCTCCAGGCCCTTGGTAAGCTCGCCAGGGTGCAATCCCCACCTGGGACAAGCATCCCCCAGGTTTTCCTCTGGCCAGGCAAAGGGGTTGGCGCTGTCCGCTGAGCTGGCAGCGGTTGTGTCCGGGAAACAGTCAAAAGCTGCTGTAGTGGGGTCTGGAGCAGGAACCCCAAGGGTGGGCTTGGTACCAAAGGAGAGAGGACCAGTTGTCTTTTTGGGGTCAGGCGTAGCGAAGGCCACGGAAGGGTCTTCAAACAGCCCTGGGCTGAAGTCCTTGGCATTGCCGCCCTTGTCCAGCTGCAAGGAGTCGGGCAGGGCCTCCGGCTCCCCAGGCCGGGGCCACGCACTCTTGGCCACAGAGTCCAGGCAGGCGCTGTGGTTCTCCAGCGAGAAGGGTGGCTTGCTGCTGTCCTTGACCAGGCTGGGTGCTTCAGCCCAAGCTTTGTCGGCCTTCTCACCGATGGCTTCCTGCAGCCCCAGGATCTCGGAGGCCAGGTCCTCCTGTGCCAGGGCGCTGAGCAGCAGCCGCGGACAGTCCCGCTCACCCGCCACGAACTTGGAGAAGCTGTCGAGCGGCAGACTGCCGTGTAGGCTCTGGAAGGAGTCGTCAGATTTGGTGGACATGTCGTCAGGAGAGGTCACAGAACAGGTGGACACGGACTCGGGCTTGGCCTTCGAGTTGCTGTTGACCCTGGCAGGGCTGCCACGGGCCTGGTTGCAGTAGAGGAAGCTGCGCTCCAGTGGGTCCTCGGAGCCGCTCAGGTAGTCGGCCTCCTGCGGCTCCGCATGCGTGGACTGTGGCGTGCTGCTCGGCGGCTCTGACAGCGGTGTGCCTGCGGGCTCGGCTGAGTAGCCGCTCCCTTCGGGGCTGCAGTGCTGGCTTTTATGCTGCTCTGGGGTCCTGGACACGAGGTTCTTGACACCTTTCTTCTGCGGCACAGCAGCCTTGGAGAGCAGCAGCTGCTGGACGGTGTTGGAGATGTTCTCCACCTGTGAGGTCAGCGCCGTGAGGCTCTGCAGGCTGAGATCCGACAGCAGGTTCTCAGGGAGCTTGTCCTTCTGAAGGGGCTTGCAGTTGCCAGCCTGGGTGTCCACAGAGCTGGTGGCATCCGTTGGGGAGGGATTGAGCAGGGGCATGAAGTGGCTGTGGTCAGTGATCCCTGCGGGGAAGGCCCCGGTGCTGAGCGGCTGCTGGCTGTAGGGAAAGTTCTCCAGGTTTGGCATCAGCGGCGACGGTGTGGAACTGTAGGAAGGTGAGCGGCCCACGGAGCGGGCGGGTGAGTGGCTGGAGCTGGGGCTGAAGGTCTGGTAGTACTGCTCTGGGGTCCGGACGGCTGCGTCCGGCTGGCAGTAGCCCTGGCCTTGCTGCCCGTAGTGCTGATACTTGGCGAGGTTTTGGTAATGGAGGGTTTCCTGGGCATGGTGCCGGCTCTGAAGGGCTTGCTGCTGCTGCTGCTGCTGCTGCTGCTGCTGCTGCTGCTGGTCATAGCTGAGGCGGCCCGACTGGTAGGCATGAAGATTCTGGACCCGCTGCCCCGGGGCCAGGCTGGAGCTGGCAGTCAGCGGCCTGTCATGGGGCTGGGCAGTCGGTGCTGTGCAACTCTTATAGGAGTGGGCCCCCTGCCCACCACCCTGGACAGAGGAGGAGTAGGTGGAGGAGGTGGGGAAGGACTGGGAATGCTGAGGAAAGTGGGTACCCTGGGGGAAGGGCAGAGGGGAGGCAATGTCGTTCTGCAGCTTCTGCCTTTGGAGCTTGGGGTATGCCAGGGGCTGCTGGGGCGGCGGTGGCTGCTGGACGTGCAGGGAGTGAGTCCGAAAGGGCACCTGGGCGCCCTGCTCTGCATACTGCCTGCTGGGGGGCACTGCTGTCTTTTTCATCAAGTTCTCATCATACTTGGCCACCCCTGCAGGTAGTGGCTGCGGCTGTGGGGGTGGTGGCTGTGGGGCCCCCCAAGCCTGAAGGCTCTCCTCACCAGCATAGCGGCCTGGGTAGGGGCTGCTGTCCTGGACGCCGTAGCCAGGGAAAGCCGGCCTCCCCTGCAGGCCTTGCTGTGTGGGCAGGGCCTTGCTGCCTCGGTGGTACTTGTCGGCGGCCACCGCGGCTGCAGTGCCAGAGGGCGTGCCAGCGCCACCCTCATAGCTCGGGTAAGGCTGCGGGTTATAATAGTCCTTGGCGAGCAGCCGCTGCCGGTCGCAGCTTAGCCCGGCCTGACTCGGCTGCCTGTAATTCTCTAGGCGTGATGTTTCCTGCGAGGTCTGCTGGTAGTTCTGTTGTTTGCCATGGAAACCACACCTTTCTCGAAAAGACTGCATGACTCGGGCTGGTTATCTGTGAAAAGAAAAAGGAAGGGAGGGAGGGAGGGAAGGAGGGAGGGGAGGATGGGCAGGGAGGGGGCAGAGGATGAGCGATTCAGACGGGCCACTTCCTTTTGCCTCAGAAAGCACCCTCCCACCCACCTCCCCACCCTGCCTGCTCCCCCGCGCAGCTCTTAATAGTCCCCCCTTCGCCTGAGCCTCCCCACCAGCTGTGCGCATATTGACAACTTCTGTGTCAGGGAGGTGTGCTCTGTAATTCCCGCTCCCACATCGCCTGCAGCTGAGTCTTGCCAAGGACGGCCACTGATGCGGGAGGCAAAACCGGCTGCCCAGCGCCAGGTCACTGGGGAGCTACCCGCCCCCCCCCCGCCCATTGCCAGCTCCTCCCCAATGTCCCCCACCCATCACTCCCAGCCCTTCCTGACAGCTCAAAAGCATTTAGCAGAGCAATTCCCGCTCCCTCATCCCCTGGGGCCTGCTGGATCCTGTAATTTAGTCCCTTCGCGACCGTGTTCAAGCATGACCCAGCCATGCTGGGGACTGAGGAGGGTCTGCCCCTGTCCCCACGCACATGCGTGCACACAAGCATATGTATGCTCACACACACACGCGCGCACACACACACACACGCATGCACACACACACCTCCTCTATCACTGCCACGCCATCTGGAATCTGTCTGTTCCTTCTAGCAGACATCGATTAGGGGCTGCCAAGCCACTGTAGACATAAAATGTCCCCTCCTCTGACTCCCAGGAACGCAAGACGGCAGCACCTGCCTCCTGTTTTTGATATCATACGTGCATAAACAGATTACGTGGCCCAGAGTGAGGGAGTGCATACTAATGGGAGTAGAGATGCAGTCCCAGGGCCACGGCCACGGAAGGGCACAGCCCAGCCCCACCCACATGGGGCGACACAGCCCTGTCCCCTCCTGGCCAGTTCCTCCCCACCTCAGCAGGTGAGGGCTGGGGCAGGCAACACTCAAGAGCCCATCTGGTTATGATTTTAGGGGATGGGGCTCAGGCAGGGGTCTAACCTGCCCCTGCCTGCAGAGCAGAATCCTGGGTCAGGAAAGGACCCAGGGTGGGTTGCGGGAGCCTCTCAGAGCAGAGCATCTGACAGCCCAGCATCCAGGGTAAAGGTTCCTCCAGCTGACTCGCTGGCCTGGCCAACCAGAAGACCCCTCAAAGAGGGATGGAAGAAAGAGGAATGCCCCAGGTTTTGGAGGAAGTGCATGGAGGGGCTGGCCATTGGCCGAGTCCCAGAGGGTTTGGGATTTACCCAGAACCATGCTGGCCCGGAGGCAGGAAGAAAGGGGCTCAGCTCGGCCTGTGTGGCCCAGGCCCCCAGGAGGGGATAGGGGACTTTCCAGTGCTGGTTCCCAAATGCTCCAAAAGGAAGGGGTGGCTTGCCTCAGGCTACAAAGATTCCAGGTTGTTGAAGGGGTCAGGAAGGGACAAAGAGAGGGGGAGAGGGGCACAGAGAGGGAGAGGCACGCAGAGTCGGGGAGGGGCACAGGGAAGAGGCAGAAAGGTGGGGAGTGGGGGAGAGCTGGGGGTGCTGCTCCATTTACCCTTCTTCCTTGGCCCGGACCCCACCACAAGTGCCTTCCTCATTTAGTGTCTGGGGATGGATGCAGGGAAGGCGACAGAGGGCCTCCATCTGCCTGAGAGCAGGGCAAGCCCAGGGCAGCCAGATGGCCCCCAGAAGCCCGTCAGCCCAGTCCTGGGACCACCTCTCCTGCTCTCTGGAGTCAGCTTGCCCTGGCCCACAAATGCAGGAGAGTCAGCCCAGTGTGGGGGCCGGCCACTTTCCCACGAGGCGAGCCCCTGCCCACCGGCTTATCAAAGCCGCTTTCCCTCTGCTCCAGCTCCTCTCCCTGGATTTGTCGCAGGCATCCCTAACAAGCAGCGTGCCCACCCTTCTGACCCACTTCAATCCTACCCCTGGCAGCTTGGATAAAACATTACAGGAGGTTCCTGCTGCGACGCGCCAACCCAGAGGAGCTGGGGACGGCACTTGGTTCTGGTCTGGCAGCTCCCTGCCAGGTGGGCAGCCTCACGCTCCTGCCCTGGCCAGACTGCCACAGGGCAGCCCAGGCGGGCCTGTGCCCAGGCCGAGGGCACAGCGCCCGCTCCCTGCCCTCCCCAGGCGCATGTTTATGAGCCCAGAATGTGCAAACCCAGGACCACTCTGAAGGCTGCGCCTCGTATATCTGCACAAATTACATTTCGGCTTTTATTAGTCCCAGATCACTCTCATTTCCTGCTGAGTGTCCTGTGGATATCATTAACATTTCTACGGCTTTATTTTTTATTTTTTTTCACATTCTCCAAAATGCATTACCAGAAACATTATTTAAAGAGAGACAGAGACAGTGAGGGGGTGCTATTACCAGTACCCCCTCCCTGCCTGTCCGTCTGCATTCCTCCCTCCCTGTTTAATTGGTCCAGCTGCTGTGTCTTTTAATTTAGCCGAGCTGTATTACAGGCAGGTTTCCCAATACACACGAGCAGCTGGATGCGGTGAAAGCATCTATTGCTAAGAAAAGACAGTTCAATTAAAACACGAGAAGCCCAGTGCTGATGGAGAATGCAGGCAAAAATGCTCGCCCCAACACCACCCTGGAACCCAAGGCAAAGGGAGGGATGGGAACAAAGGCACAGGCCGCCTCTCAGTGCCAGCCAGGTCCCACTGCCAGCTCTGCTGGGAGAAAAGGGGGCACTGCCTCTTTAAGGGCTGCCTCAGGCCTGCTATGGGCTCTGTTGTTATTAATTATTATGATTATGATTACTTTTCAAGAGCACTAGGACAGGACACAGAAGGCGAGGCAGGCAGCAGGGCTGGGCTGGGTTGGGTTGGGCTGGGCAGGCCTCAGGAGAGGAGGGGGCAGAAAGAGCACCCCCCTCCCTGGCCCCGGCAGAACGATGGTGACCTTTGAACCTGGGGGCAGGGAAGAAGTGGCCTAGCAGGCAGATTGTGGGTTTGGCCTGTGGCTTGGGCTGGAGGGAGAAGGGGTGGTGAGAGGGGACAAGGGAGGGCACCCCCCACCCACTGGGCTCACTCCTCATGGTCCAGCTCAACCACACTGCCCGGACGGTCCCCACTCATTCCCATCCATCCGTTTCTCCCCAACCTGCCTCTCCTCTCAGACACTTGGTCCAGGCCTTATCTCCAAAGTTCTTGCTGAAACTAGAAGGCAGGAGGAGCGGAGTCTAGTGCATCCTCTAAGCACCAGATACATGAACACTTCACCCTTAGAATCAGATCCTGGAACTTAGTCTTCTCAGCGCTGGACAGAGGAGGCAGGCCAGGCACAGCAGGGAGCATGAGCTGGAATCACATAGCACCCAGGGCATCAGGATTCCCCTTGACACAGCAATGGGTGTCCTCACTCCAAGCCATGAACATAGTGGGGGCACAACGAAACCCCAGCTACCCTACGGTGCAAGGCCAGCGGCTCTCACAGGCCTTCGGCAGTGTGGCACACACCTGGGGCACAGCCCTTCTTTTAGGCAAAGACCTCAGCCCTTTCCCTCCAGAAATCTATAGGACTGCTGAGGCGGGAGCAAGGCGGCTGCAGAACACCTACTCTGTGCGGCTTTCTTGAACAACGGTTTGATTAATCTCTCCTCCCCCTTTACAGAAAAAAGTGAGGTTCAGGACAAGTGCCCTGCTTAGGACCCCAGAGCAGAGCCCACCCGCAGGGAAGCTCCTATGCAGGACGCCCTCAGCAGCAGCGGCAGTGACTGGACCACGGGTGGACACCCCTGTCCTGAGCCCCCGTGAGGGGCTCCCACTTTGGAGGAACAGTCTCTTGGAGCAGGATGCAAGCCAAAGCTGCTGTGGGGCAAGGGGCTGAGCTGCAGCCTGTGACAGCCTGAGCCTCAGGCCAGGGTCCTCACTTTTTTATTCTGTCCTCATCTTTAAGCAGCCAGACCCACCTCGGGTGGGTCCACTAATGGGCAGTGATGGTCACCAGCCACCCACTGTCACCAAGGCAACTACTGTCCCCTGGGCAGCCTCAGGGAGAGGTCACTAGGCCTAAAGCCTCCTCAGACCCCAGGCTTGAGGCCCCAGTCAGCGAAATGGGCACAGTGTAGGCCAGAGCTGCTGTGGCTCCTGAGGGAGCCCAGCTGGGAGGTGGTGGCTGGAATTTTTTCCTAAGAGAAAGGGAGAGAGGGAGGCTGAGGGGAGGCAGGGAGAGAGGGAGAAAGAAACGGACTGGGGGCTTCCTGATCCCCAGCAGCAGCTCTGAGGCCACTGGTTCCATCCCACCTACTTACCCAAGGTGGTTTTATGACCTGTTTTCATGATTTGTAGCTGCAAGAAAAAAATTTAAAAACCCAACCCACTCAAGGCCTGGGAACCTGAGAATGAAGGAGCAGTGTACCAGGGCTCCAGAAGCTGAGGACAGGGCAGAGGAGGAGTCCAGGCAGGGGTGGAGAAGGTGGAACTCCTCAGGCCTCCCCATCTGTTGTGGGTGATGAATAATCAATACAGGAGACTTGGTGAAAATGAGAAATCGTTCGCCAGATTCACTGCTATCGTATGGGCTCAATTCCATATCCTAGGGGCCTGGCTTGAATGGGAGGAAGGGGGCGAGTTTCCAAGGAGCCCACAAGACAAGAGGTTGGGTGCCCATAGGCTTCTGGGACAGGTTAGGGTCCACGGGCTGAGAGGCCTGCTTCGGGCAGATGGAGGACCCTCCTAGGACATCAGGAACCCCAGAGGACCAGGCAGCCCCTCCAGACCACTCCCTGTGGGCAACGCTTGGATATGCATCCCTCCTCATTCATGGCCCCCCCATGCTCAAGGAAGAATCCCACGGGGTGACCAACATACCCTCTCTATAGGGTCTGGGGGTCCCAAATATCAGGATGCCAGTGATGGGGTGAGAAGCAGAAGGGCAGCCCTAGCCAGGCTCAGTTGAGGTTGGGGGAGCCCTGGTGTGGCTGGGGGCTCTGGGCCCTTCAGAGTGCAGAGGTATCTGGACTCTCCAGATGTTTGAGGAGCCTCCCCTCACAGCCCCCAACACCATCTCCTCCAGGGACCCAGCTGTGGGGACAGCTGAGACCTGCTAAGCCAGCTGAATGGGATCCCTGCAGGGCCTAACCACGCCCACCCGCTGGCCTGGCCCCACCTGCTGTTCATGGGCACAGCCAGGCCCCCTGCCTAGGTGCCCAGGTCCCCTAACTCTAAAGCTGTGCCCTGCTCTCCACTCCCACCCCACCGATCCTTGGTGCCGATTCCTGGGATACAGCTATCAAGAGGCCGGGAGACCTGGGCCGCAGGGCCCACAGTCCAGGGACGAGGGGCAGATGGCCAGCAGTCCCACCTCCACTGTGAGGTGTGGGGGAGCAACATGGGATTCCACAGCAGCTGCAGGCATTCCTAGGCCCCCCAGGGAAGGCTGCCGGGAGGAGCTCACCTATTATCAGTTCTGTACTGATCAGTCTCTTGTGGACAATAATTTTTTTTTTAGATCACTTTATTCACCACTGAACAAAAAGCGTCACCACCTCTCTGTGTCTCTGTCAAAATGAAGAAAAGGGAAAAAGGGTGGGGGGTGCTGATTGCTGGGTCGCAGACAGTTAACAGGGCAAGGGTCTGGTGGCCCAGGCAGTTGTCTGGGTCCTGCTGGGGGACACAGCCCCTGTCCTTCCCCCACGAGGCCAGGCTGATGCCATCAGACACAATCAGTCCTGGGCCTAGCAAGACCAAGGGGCTGGCCCAGACCCTGGCACAGGGGTCAGATGGGACCCACAGAGGTGCTCCCAGCCAGCTCCATTCTCCCCACCCCAAGCCCCAGGAGTGCCTGCCCTTGTAGGAGGCTGCATGATAAGGATGAGATAGGCTAGGTGTGACTGCTAGTTTTTTTGTTTGTTTGTTTGTTTTTTTGAGACAGAGTTTCCCTCCTGTTGCCTAGGCTAGAGTGTAATGGCGCGATCTGGGCTCACCACAACCTCCGCCTCCCGGGTAGCTGGGATTACAGGCATGTGCCACAACGCCCAGCTAATTTTGTATTTTTAGTAGAGACAGGGTTTCTCCATATTGGTCAGGCTGGTCTCGAGCTCCCGACCTCAGGTGATCCGCCCACCTCAGCCTCCCAAAGTGCTGGGATTACAGGCGTGAGCCACCACTCCTGGCCTGGCTGCTAAGGGAAGGCACAGGACTGTCTGGCCCCAGCCTTGTCCTCCCTACCCCACATGCCCAGAGGGTCCATGACTTACTTCCCTGGGGAAGTGGAAACACAGAGGTGTCAAGTGTCTGCAGGTTTGTCTGACTGCTGGCTGACTGTGTGACCTTGGGCAAGCCTTTTACCTCTGGAAATACCACTCCCAGATAACTACACAGCTTCTACCCTGGCTCCAAGTCTTGGCTCCTCTGTCACCTCTGTCACCTTCTCAATAAGCCTTCCCTGACCACTGTTTGAAACAGCACCCCTTGCACCCCCACGACTGACCTTGTTGTAATCAAACTTGACTTGCTTTATTATTGGTCTCCTCTTTAGAACAAAAGTTCCATGAGAGCAAGGATTTCTGCCTGTTTTGTTCACAGCTACTCCCCATTGTCCAGAACAATAAATATTTACTGAATCAATAATGCACAAAATGTCACAGTAACTCTGTGAAAATATCCAGAAAGAGCAGTGGAGTGGCGACACAGAGCACATGTGGGTGGGCCAGGCAGCGGGAGATCAGGGGTGGCCACTGCTTTGCTTCATTTGACAAAGAACATCTTCCCGAGGCCTGGCAGGGAAGTGGGCAGGTGGGTATGGAGACAAACTGGCGATCCTGCTCCCAAATAAAGTGGGGGGGGAGGGGCAGCAGCAGCCCCTCTCAGCACCAGCGGACTGCGGCCACTTGGGAGTGGGAGGCCAGGGTGCCAAAGCTTCTGAGCTTTTCCCTTGAAAAAGACAGAAATCAGGATTTTACAAAAAGGGACAGCTCTCATTTAAGAAAATATTATCAACCAAGTACAAAGTTTTTTCTTTCATACTTGAGAATTCAAGAGACACTGTCTGTGGCCTGAATTTGATCACAAGCTCCTGGGGTCAAATGCTGACAGAACCGATGCAAAGGGGATCTGCATGGGCTCGATGGCACCCAGAGCAGGAGGAACAGTGCTCACGGGCCCAGCAGAAGCTCTGGGACCAGCACAGATAAGCAGAGCAACGCAGGAGAGCAGAAAGGCGAGTGCCCTGGGCTCAGGGGGGAGGCAGGGCAGACCCGTGCAGGAGGTGCACTCAGCGGCCTTGGAAAGGAGGTGCAGAGAGGAGGGGGACTGGAAAGGCTGGAGGCTTCCAGAGGCGGTGAGAACCTCTGTGGCATTCCACACCAGACACCGGGCGAGGCGCCACCCCAACTCTCCTGGGTCCCCCGCCAGGCTCCTTGGTGGCTCTCATGGCAGCGGTAATTACATAATTGATGGTACAATGAGCTGTTTCACATGTGCCTCCCTCACTAGAACGTAGCCTGAGGAGGGCAGAGACTTCCTCTGTTTGACCCTAAGCTCCAAACCCAGAAACTGGCCCCAGAGTCGATGTCCCTTCAGTATTACTTGGATAAATAAACAGATGAGATGGATTGGGGTGCTGGGTTCTGTGTTGAGTGCATTTAACCCCCAACACAGACCAAAGGGATGATACCCAGAGACAGGTTTGAGGATGAGGGGCCTGGAGGCCAGGATGCATGCAACAGCCAATCAGGAAGGAGAGACAAAGTGTGTGCTGTCTCCTCCAGAGCCCCTAGTGCCTGCACTGGTTCACCTGTGGAGCACATTTCTGCTCAGCTTACAGTCTGGATGTGGGCCGAGCTGGGTGCCGGAGACACACAGGAAACAGCACATGGCCCTTGCTCTCCAGAGGCAGGCAGACACACATACAACTGCCCTGGTGGTGTTGAGATGTAGTGACACCCAGGGGCCCATGGGGGTGGGGAGAGGAGGTGATCAGGGAAGGCTGGAAGAAGGGCTTAACTATGTGGGGAAGGATGAAGGCACCCCATGTAAGCAGCAGCCTGGGTGGGACTGGGGGGCTGCAAAGAGCAAATGGGGACCCCTGCAGTTACCTCCCACCTCTGCCAAATTCTCTGGGCCTTCCCCGAGCTCAAGTGGCCCGGCTGCTGCAGCTAGTGTTCAGTATCCTCTGTCCTCATGGCACCAATCCCTGGCAATCCTGCAAAGTCACCCCATCTATTAGCTGCCTGCATCATGGCTCCCCGCCGAGCCACCCTCCTGTGTGCCTTGAGGCCCATGGGTCTGCCACCCAAACGGCATAGGGGTCTCCGGCTTGCTTCTACGTGGTGCTGCCTACACCCCCCCTCTCCTGGCCTACAAGACCAGCTGTTAAGGGCAACGAGCCACGGGAAGACACTTTTTGCAGAGCACATTCTAGGTCAAATCTCCCCCTCATTTTGCCGAGGGATTAATGGAAGAAGCCCAGAGTGGGCCAGTGGCTTGTGCAGGACGCCCAGCAGGGCTGAGATCCGTCTACAGCTCTATGCCCCAGAGTGCCTGTCTGTCAAACAGAAAGGGGAACAAGGTCTCCCTCCTGGATACGCCAGCTTCCCAGAGGAGTCGTGGAATGTGCCGCTGCCTTCCGCCTTCCCCAGCCTAGGCGGAACCGCCCCTCGCTTCCCTGCCTTTGACACCCCCTCGCTGCAGCCATTCTGACAGCCGGGGAGGCACAGCAGGCCAGCCCCTCCCAGTCCCCGTTCCACCTGGGGGAGCGGGGAATTGGCACCCCCTCCCTCCCCCCAGTCCCCAGGGGAGGAAGCCGCCTGTCAGGCCGCCACGGCGTGTCAAATCCTCTTGCTGCCTAATTGTGAGACGGCGGCGTTTAAAGAAACGCTTTTCTGGCCGCCTGCCACACCGCAAACTGCTTGGTATAATTTTATTATTAAGGAGAGAGAAAAAGAGGGAGGGGGATTGGAAGAGAGAAGGAGAGAAAAAAGGGGAGAGAGAGAGGAGGAAATTGCTTCGTCCAAGTCAGCTGGTGGAGTATTCTGCTCAACGTGAAAGCGGGGCCGGCTTTCCAGTTGGCAAGCTGACTTCGTTAATTGCGCATTCAGTCTCTACTTAGGGTAATTGAAACGAAGCGGGGCCGGCTCTGACAATTAGGGTCTGCGACTAGGCCATTAACCCTTTCCGCCCCCGCCCCCCGCCTACACCTCAGCACCCCATCGAGGTGGAGGGGGGTCACCGGGCGCCCCGGCCAGGACCAGATCCGGGGCGGGGGCGAGGAGCCCCACGCGAGGCGCTGGACTGCGGCAGCGAGTGCGGGCGCGCGCCCCAGCGCGAGCAGGGTTAACGCGGCGCCTGGAGTCCTGCAGCCCGGCTGGGGCAGAGGGGGACGGGGAGCAGCGCAGGGTGTGTGGGGGTTGTTGCGGCCTCTCCGCCCCTCTGCAACAGATGTTTCAGCCGTGTAAGACAAAGGCAGAGCGCCTGCTGCTGCCGGAGAAAATCCGCAGGACTCCCTCAGGGGCAGGTAAAATTTCACCTTCTATTTGTGTTCCCCCGCCCGCCCCCGCCTTGTTTCCCGGCCTCTGCGCCAATCCGGAAAGCGCACCAAAGACGCCGCGCCGCCGCCTCCGCAGCCCAGCCCGCTGACCCCAGCAAGGTCACGGCAACCTCGGGCTCTGCCGGCAGCGCGCCCGCCAGTTCTCCGCCGGCGAAGGGCGCCCCCCCGTCCCCGCGCCCAGTCCCCTCCCGGGGCGGGCCCGGTCCTCGGTGCCCCGGTCCCCCGGTCCCCGGTCGCTGCAGGCGCCAGGAGAGAGGAAGGGGGCGCTGCACTCGCCATGAGGCGGAGGCGGCCCTGGACGTCCCCGCCTCCCTCTCGCCTGCGCGGGGACCGCGGGGGGCTGCCACCAGCCCCCATCATTCATCTCCCTGATTCTCCCGTAGCCGCCCTCGAAGTCAGCCGAGTGAAGCAGCTGTTCCTTGCACACTCCACTTGACCAAAGATGATGATAAATGAGGCCGGGGCTGCCGCGGGGACGCGGCGGCGGCAAGGGGCGCGCAGGGCGGGGCGTACGGCCTCCGCAGCTCCCTCCCCACGCCTCGGTAAGGGCGAGGACGCGAAGGACAGAGGCCGAGAGCAAAATCTAAGGCCCGTGCTGCCCTCTTGGCGCCCTGAGCAGCCTCGACGGCCGGCGGTGTGGAGAAACCTGACGGAGAGGTGCGCCCGGCTCGCCGGGCCCCAGGCCGAGACCTCTTCCTCCAGGCCGCGGCACAGCCCCGCCCCCGCCCTTCCCCCTCCCTCCCTATCCCTTCTTCTAATGCTTCGGTCCCCACTGGGTCCTCGTCGCCCCCCCAACCCCCCGCCCCCGTGGCTCAAACCTATTAACGCTCGTAAATAATGAATAATGGAGCGCTTCCCTCCAGCCGCGCAAGGCTGCGGGCGGGGGGCCACTGCCAGATGCGCCCGGTCCTGGGGAGGGGGCACCCACCGACCGGGTGCAGAGGGGGCCCGGGCGCGCGGCCCCGCACACGTGCAACCGCGGCGCGCAGGCGGGCACCCCGCCCGGCGGAGGAGGGGGAATCCCGCTCTGCCCTCCCCAACGCCACCTCCCCTGGAGTCCTCTGGCACCGAACGAGGCGAGAGAGCGCGCGCGAGCTTCCCAGCCGGAGAGGGTTATTTTTAACCTGCCCCCCTTTCTATATCTGCCTCTCGGGTTTGCGCGCCCGCCCGCCCGCTCCACCAGCCGAGGACGCGGGCTCCTCACCTCGCTCGGCGGCTCCGGACTCTGAGCGCCTCCCCTGGCCCGCGGCCCCCGCCCCTGCGCGGGCATCGCACGGCTAAATCTCAGCCTGGAAAAGACCGATTAGGAGCCGCGTGCCTTTCTGCGAAATATTGGAACCGGGTGGGATGGGGGCGGGGAGCCCGGCGCTGTCGTCCCTTCGCCTCCCTCTCTCCCTCCCACCCCGCGCGCAGAGTGGCTGCGAGAGGCGGCTCCTGCTCTCCCCCCGCAAAAAGGGGGCGGCCGGCCCGGGGCCCCGAGCCCTCCGTTGGTTTTCGGCCTTCCCTCCTCAACGCCCACCCTTCTTCGGTCATTTACGAAGCTGGGGCTTCTAACACGCAGACCCTCCGGCAGCGGTGGCGCCAAGTGGGGCGCTGCCCCCGCCCCCCATTTCCAGTTCCCTCCCTAAGCCGCTCTAAACAAACACACCATTTAAACAGCAGCGGGCTGGCCGTACCAACAACTTTGAGGCAGACCCCACCCGTGCCTGCGACCGCGCCAGGGGACTGGGAAAGTGCCAGGGGCGCACAGTGGGGACTCCCCGAAGGCAGTTTAGTGCTGCCGTCCCCTTTTCAGGCTCACCCTCCCTTAGACTCACCCAGACCCCTCCCTCCCAGCCCCTTCCCCTGCGGCCAAGCACCCCAGGCCAGCAGCTCAGACTACCCTCCGCCCCCAGTCAGGGAATGAGGCCGCAGGAAGTTCAAGTAGGCTCCCATTACTCTGCTCTCCAAAAGGCCACCCATGCAAACCCCAGCCTGTCCTTCCCCCAAGAGGTGGGGAGCAGCAGAGGAGCTGACTGAGCTCAGAGGCCCCCCTGGGGCTTTGACTGGATCTCTCCCTCACTTGACATTTTGCAGACTGCTCCGTGCCCAATCCTGGAGACCCACAGGCATAGGAACCCGTGAGCACCTCCCTCCTGAAGGAGGTGGGGTAAGACTCCCTGCTGCAGCACAGAGGACGGAAGGTTGGAGGAAGTGGTGGGCTGAGAAAGGAGCAGGGCATTCCAGCCGCCAGGAGCTGCCTAGCTTGGTGGCGGGGAAGAATACCGCCTATTTGGGAACCTGAGATGGAGTTCTCTCTGTGGTTTAGCTAGTCTGGAGGAGACAGGCCTCAAGGGCTGGGCCCCTTCCCCAAGAGGGCAGCCTCTGGTGGGGGGTGGAGATTCCAGCAGAGAGGTAAGAAGCCTGGCAGGTTCCTAGCTCCTGGGAGGGGAGGGGGTGAGGATGCCTGTGGAATACAGATTAAAGACAGCGCTGACTCTGAGTGCTGGGCCCGGGACACTCCTGGGCCTGCCCAGAAAGCAAGGCTGGCCCAGAAGGGGAGAGACAGGGACACAGCCTCCTAAGCAAATGCAGAGCCTAGCATTACAGAGTGGGGGTTCTCAAGGGGCTTCTCCCCCAGCCAGCTAGACACTGGGCATGGACTTCCCTCATATCTGGAAAGGTCTTGATAAGGCTCAGACTGCTGGAGCCGTGTAACTGCAGCACCCTCAAAGGCTGATGCCGTCTGACCCCCTCCTGTGTCCAAGGTGCCTCAATAGATTTTACTTCTCTCAAACTGCCCTTCTGGGAGGTGACATCACCTGTCATTTCACAGACATGCAAACTGAGCTCCAGAGAAGAGAAGGGGGTATTCCAAACTCCAGCCTCTGGGGGCCCTCCCTGGTCCCCCTGTCCTAGGCCCTGAGGGGTGGGACCTCAATCGGGGAGATGCCCGTGGGGCTTTGGTGAATACAGGATACAGGCACCCAGGGGTGAAAGACATGGGCGAGGAGGTCCTGGTTCCCCCTGAAAATTTCAGAAAACTGGTTTTCTTGGGAGAAAAAAAGGGTGGGTGGCCGGGTGCGATGCCTCACGCCTGTAATCCTAGCACTTTGGGAGGCCAAGGTGGGTGGATCACTTGAAGTCAGGAGTTTGAGACCAGCCTGGCAAACATGTTGAAACCCCGTCTCTACTAAAAATATAAAAATTAACTTGACATGGTAGCATGCGCCTGTAATTCCAGCTACTCGGGAGGCTGAGGCATGAGAATTGCTTGAACCTGGGAGGCGGAGGTTGCAGTGAGCCAAGATTGCGCCATTGCACTCCAGCCTGGGGACAAGAGTAAAACTCTTGTCTTAAAAAAAAGCCTGGGTGGAGTGGCTCACTCCTGTAATCCGAGCACTTTGGGAGGCCGAGGCAGGCGGATCATGAGGTCAGGAGATCGAGACCATCCTGGCTAACACGGTGAAACCCCGTCTCTACTAAAAATACAAAAAATTAGCCGGGCGAGGTGGCGGGTGCCTGCAGTCCCAGCTATGCAGGAGGCTGAGGCAGGAGAATGGCGTGAACCCCGGGGGGCGGAGCCTGCAGTGAGCCAAGATCGCGCCACTGCACTCCAGCCTGGGCAAGGGCGAGACTCCGTCTATTAAAAAAAAAAAAAAAAAAAAAGGGTGGGGAGGGGACTAGAGAGAAGTCCCAGGGCCTACCATCACTGATTTCCCGCTACCCACTTGGCCAGGCTACCTACTAAGGGTTTCCATGTGGGGATTTGGCTCCTGGGGCTGCAGAATTATGATAATGAGGCCTAAGTCCACATGGGTCTTGTTCCTTCATCTGTAGACCAAATACAAACCCTATGTAGCCATGTGCCACACTCTTCAACTGTGTGTAGCTACTGTTGTGCTGAAAAAAATTCACTCAGGGCCTAAGAGCTTTGGGCAGTTAAATCCCCCTCCCCGACAACAGACTAACAGGTCCCATTTTGATATCAAGGGCTGGGGTTTCAAGACAGGGAACTGTGGGGCCCACGCTGTCCTGGCCTCCCTGGAGGCCTGGCTGCTCTCATGCCAGGAAGGGAGCTTCCATTTACTACGGGCCTAGGATGGCCGCCCCGCTGCCCCCAGCGCTCCCTGGGTGGGTGCGGATCCTGGCCAGTCCCCCAGACACGCAGTCTGCTGACCAGAAGCAGCGACCTTCGGGGAGAGCCAGCCACCAGCCAGCCACTGCTCCAGAGGCAGGCCTGGGGCCACCCGGGAGGCTTTCCTCACCACGGAAAATATTTGCCTTTGGTTGTCGGCTGATGCCTTGTCTTGTGTCTGAATGGACAACTGGCTGATTTCTCTCTCTTTGGAACAGCCATGAAATGCGAAGGTGTTTAAGAGTAAAAACCAGGCGAGGGCAACTGGGCCTGGCGTCCAGCTGTTTTGAACAACACTCTTGTTTTTCTCCCAGAGTGAACAGAATACTTTCTGCGGTTCAGAATACTCTGTGCACTGGCCCCTCTTCCCAGGCCCCGCCCCAGCCCCCTCAGGCCTCACCTCCAGCTGCTGCAGACCATTCCAGAACTCCCTCCCTCTTGGCTTCTAGTCACTCAGCATCTGGGGGAGAGAGCCTCTTCCAGCTGTACATAGCTAGCTTGGCCTGGCCCCAGAACTGCTGTGTTCTGGAAAGTTGTAGGAGAATCCCTCTTGGCGGGCTCTCCAGCATGGAGAATCGCAGGCCTCTGCTCCGGAAAGGGAGGCTTTTGAGAGGTCAGATTCACCACAGCCAGACCAATGAACTGTGAGGGCTCATAGGGGCTGGGGCTCCGGTTTCAGGGGTGAGAGGAGCCACCATCTGCCCCCATGCCCACTCTGATTGTAAATGGCTAGACTCTGGTGCCGGGGTCAGCTCTGGATTCATATCCCAGCTCCTGCATATGTATATGCTGGGTGACCTTGGGCAGTTTACTTAACCTCTCTGTGCTTTGTGTGCCTAAGCTGCAAGATACTCTAAATTAAACAGCAAACTTTCAGTGCTGTTGTGGGACGAAATGGGATAATGTGCTTGGTAGCTGGCAGGGGCTCAATAAAAGGTAGCAACTTCCAGGGCCACCAGTTCATGGGGAGCCAGGTCCAAGTCTTGTACTTTCTATGCCTCCCAGGGAGCCACGTATGTCTGCGACAGAGCTGGGGAGGACATTCTGGGGCTGAGGGTTGAGGTCTGCCCATAGAGCAGCGGCCTGTACCTGCAGGCAGGTAGAGTATCATCCTGGCTGAGTCTCAGTGCTCCTCAAACATTAAAGTGTACATCCTGGTGAGACGCAGATTTTGATGCAGCGGGTCAGGTGGGACAGGGGTTCTGCAGCTGTAAGGAACTCCCAGGTCAAGCCAGTGTGGCAGGTCTGTGACCGCAGCTGGTACGGCAAGATCTCAGCCCTGGAAGACTCTGGGTTCTGCTGAGGCTGGGCTCAGAGAGAGAATACAAGTTTTGTCCTGTCCAAGGAGCACCCTCCAGGATTTCAGGACAAGGCTCTGGCTCTGTGTCCCCAAGCCCTCAGTCTCAGAGCTTGGGTCCTGCAGTGGCCTGGGCAACCCTCCGGACTCTCCATTCAGCATTTGTTCCTGACAGCAGTGCACGGATAAAGAGCAGTTTCATGCTGCTGAACTTGCAATCACTTCAAGGCCTGGGCCCCTCTGGGCCTCAGTTTCCCCACTGGCACAGTGGGAAGCTGGGATAAGCTAATCCCACCCTTTCCCCTTGGTAATTCCCCACATTGCTCTTCCCTTCCCTTCATCCCTTCCCAAAACACAGGTCTGAGGCCTGAGCATCCATCCTAGGGGCTGGGCCCCCATCCCCATGACTGCAGTCATGGGGTACAAGACTCATGCAGACTCGTAAGAACAGCCACTTCTGACCTGGGGCCTCGATGTTCCAGGCACTGTCCTAGGCATTTGCATCTACAAACTTCTCACCATAATCCAATCACCACTGTTTTACAGATGAGGAAACTGAGCCCCACGGGGTGAAGCCTATTGCCTGAGATCTTGCAGTTGGTAACGGGTGCAGGCTGGACTCAGGCCCCCACACATGCCCAGGCCCTTGAGTATTTGTAAGGGAAGCAGCTGTTTGGTTTTCTTGGCACAGAGCATCTGCCTAGCTGGTGAGGGCATGGGGAAAGAGGTGCCCAATCTAGTTGGGGATGGGAGGGTAAAATGGTACTACCTCTTTGGAGAGCTTTCTGGCAATATGGACCCAAATGCAAATTACATGTGCCCTCTAACCTGGGCCCGAAGTCATCTGCACAAGGCTACCAACTGCAATGTCCTTTGCAGCAGCAAAACACGGGATCCCCTAGCTGTCCATCCAAGGGGGATGAGGGAGATACATCTGGGAGGTTCTATTGGCTGAGTACTCAGAGAATGGAAGCACCACATGGATTAATTGGAGCAGTCTTCAAGTTGGTGAAAAAAAGTGCAGTGTAGAAAGTGTGTACAGGGCCGGGTGCAGTGGCTCACACTGTAATGCCAGCACTTTGGGAGGCTAAGGCAGGAGGATTGCTTGAGCATAGGAGTTTGAGACCAGCCTGGGTAACATGGGGAGATCCTACCTCTACAAGAAAAAAAATGAACTAGGCAGGTGAGGTGGTGTTTGCCTGCGGTCCCAGCTACTTGGGAAGCTGAGGTAGGAGGATTGCTTGAGCCCATGAAGTCAGGCTGCAGTGAGCTGTGACTGCACCACTGCACAGTCTGGGCGACAGAGCAAGACCCTCTCTCAAAAAAAAAAAAAAAAAAAAAAAAAAAGTGAGCCAGGCACGGTGGCTCATGCCTATAATCCCAGCACTTTGGGAGGCCAAGGTGGGATGATCACTTGAGGCCAGGATGGCCAACATGGTGGAACTCCATCTGTATAAAAATACAAAAATTAACTGGGCATGGTGATACACACCTGTAATCCCAGCTACTCAGGAGGCTGAGGCACAAGAATCGCTGGAACTCAGGAGGTGGAGGCTGCAGTAAGCTGAGATCGCGCCACTGGACTCCAGCCTGGGCAACAGAGTGAGACTTTGTCTCAAAAAAAAAAGTGTGTACAAAACATTTGTATAAAAAGGAAATTGCATTTGAATTTTTCTACCATGAGCATGTGATAACTCCTAAAAGATTTAAAAACTTCTATGAATGGCTAGGCAAGGTGACTGAAAAAATAACCTGGTTTCAGGCTCAAATCTGGCACTGCCACTTTCCAGCTGTTTGACTCTAGGCTGGTGGGTTGACCTCAGTTTCCCCCTCAGTAGGATGGGACAAGACCCAGCTGCCAAGAGGAGTCAGCTCCCCTGCGTCCTGCAATGCGCAAGATAGGGATCAGCCTCCCATTTTACGGATGAGGAAACAGCCCCCAAGAGGGGAAGGAGAACCAAACCTGAATTCCTGTACAGGCTGCGTCCTCCTCAGTGGGTACACAGCTTTGGGGGACGCAGCAGCCAGGACTGGCTCAAGCGCTAAGCTGTGTGGGGACCTGCTGCTGCCAGGGCCAGGTATGACTGACCCTTGAACAACACAGTCTACTTATATGTGGATGTTTTTCTCAGAATCAATGAAAATTAGATGTGATTAGCATACTCAGCATCGGAATAACTGAGCCAAGATCCCAAGATAGTTTTTTCAAAAGGTTACACCGAGTGTGCCTGCCTCTCCTGCCTCCCCCTCCACCACCCGAGACAGCAAGACCCTCCCTTTCTCCTGGCCCCAGTCTACTCAATACAAAGACGGCGAGGATGAAGACCTTCACGATGATCCGCTTTTACTTCATGACTAGTAAATAGATTCGATTGTCTCCTCCTTAGGATTTTAATAACATTTTCTTTTCTTTAGTTTACTGTATTGTAAGACTACAGTAAATAATACATATAACATGCAAAATGTGTGTTAATTGACTGGGGAGTCGAAAGTTACACATGAGGCCAGGCATGGTGGCTCACACCTATAATTCCAGCACTTTGGGAGGTGGAGGCGGGCAGACTGCATGAGCCCAGGAGTTTGTGACTAGCCTGGGTGACATGATGAGACCCCATTTCTACTAAAAATACAAAAATTAGCTGGGCATGGTGATGCATGCCTGTAGTCTCAGCTACTTGGGAGGCTGAGCTGGGAGGATCACCTGAGCCTGGGAGGTCCAGGCTGCAGTGAGCAGAGATTGTGCCACCGCACTCCAACTCAGGCAATAGAGCAAGACCCTGTCTCAAAAAAAAAAAAAAAAAAAATTACACATGAATTTTCAGCTGTGTGGGGGTCAGCGTCCCTAACCCCCACATTGTTCAAGGGTCAGCTGCACACAAAGGCACTCCTGGTTTCATGTGTTACAATGTTTTCATTCTATTTCTACCTGCAATATGCTTTCCTTCAATCATCTGAACAAAGGAACACGTTATAAAATTTAAAACCAGAAGCTGGGCTGGGCTTTTCTGGGCCCCAAGACTCTGCCCTGAAGGCCTGATTGGTAGGGAGGCTCCCTGTCTAGGTCCAAATCCCCACCCAGACACTGCCTTGCTGTGGGGGCTTGGGCAGGCAACTCAAGTTCCCTGTGCCTCAGTTTCCTCATCTGCAAACAGGCACAAGATTATGCACCTCAGACGATGGTGCGCAGATGCCAGGAGACAACGTACATGCAGCTGCCAGACCAATGCTGGGCAGAGGAGGGCGCAACTAAGTTAGCTGTTACTTTTAAAAGGTAAATGTTTATATACTCTTTTATAACAGAGGGAAAGTTCAGGAAAATCCCTGACTGGTCCTTGCTGGCTGTGGAGGTGCGGCCGGGAAGACAGGAGCTCCTTGAAGTGACAGAAACCTGGCTCCAGCCCACAGCCTCAGGAACAGCTGGTCACTGCCCGGGTGGGCGGACACGCTGTCCTGGCACAGGGGCCTGGCGGGGCAGTGGCCAGAGCGGGGTCCGGCTGTCTGTGTTCCCTGGCTGGCATGTTGGGAGGAAAAGACTTGGCTGACGGGCCGGAGGCCCCTGCGGCCCCAGGCCCCTGAAAGGAAGGTTCAGAAAGGCCCCTGTGTTCCGGCCTGGTCCAGAGCTGGCTTTTTCCAGACCAGGGCCTCAGGAGTCTTTGGAAAGAACACCGAGTACCTGACGCCCACTGCTGACTCGCTGTGTGACCTCAGGTGAGTCACCCCAACTTGCTGGGCTTCCGCTTCCTCACCCATAAAATAGGGATAGTGATTAAATGCCCACCTTGCAGGGTTGAGCAAAGAACCCATGAGCAAAACAGATACAGAAATGCTTTGTCATCAGCATCCTCGGGGCTAATTCCCACACCTACCAGACATGTGTTGGGCCCTGTTCTGAGAAGCAGTCTACACATTTTAACTCATAGAGGAGGCAGCAGAGGCACAGAGAGGTTAGGGCACTTATCCAAAGTCACACAGCTTGTAAGTGGCAGAAGCACTATAGTAGGTAAGTAATTACTTACCTGATGTAATTTTAAATTATAGATTATAGATGCAGTTAAATAAATTATATATAAATATACAAATTATAAATAATATAGACATTATAATTACGTGATTATTAATTATGTGCCTATTATAACTCATGGCTATGGGGTCTGGGATAAGGTTTGGAAACTTCGAACTCAGTTTCCAGAGGTAGCTTTGGCCAGGGGAAGAAGGGCTAGGAGGGAGCACTGTGGCCAGTGTGGCGCCTGTGGCAGGGGCTGCAGCAGAAGCTGCTCTTTCAGGTGTTGAGATTCTAAGCCCCATATTTCCTGGGTACCCTCTGTGTGCTGGGCATCAGGAGAGGTGCCATCTTCCCTGTCACATTGCATTTTTTCTCTCTGCCTCCCTTCGTCACATTGTTTTGATCCCCAGAGAAACTGCAAAGAACATGAATACACGAGCACCCCCATTTTATAGATGTGCCATTAAGGCCTAGGAGGCAAAGGGAATTTCCTGGTGAGCAGCAACGTTTAGATTTGAACTCTATGGGTCTGGTTCCCAGTCTGCTACCTGGGCAAGGATCCTGGGAGCAAGCAGGGATGGAGGAGGGCATCGGTGTCCCCCTGAAGAAGGGAGCCCTTGGGCTGCAGGGACGCCAAGCAACCTTGTTCTGTCCCATGCACTGTCTGTGGAGCGCCTGATGTGCTGCCTGCTGAAGCCTCCACCTTCTCTCCAGCTCATCCTGAGCCTCCACGCTGGGCACAGGAGCTGAGCTGACCATTTTACAGACAGAGAAATTGGGGCCCATGGAAAGCCAAAGGCTTAGAACTCCATTTTCTAATGCCTCTGGACTCACCTCATAGACCACCTGGCCTCTCCATCCACCCACACAACAGTCCACCCATCTATTATTCACCTACCCACCCACCCATCCATCCATCCATCCATCCACCCACCCACCCACCCATCAGTCTATCCATGCATCCATGCACACACACCCATCTATCCATCCACCCATCCACTCACTCACCTGTATACCTCACAATCACCCACCCATCCATCCACTCACCAGCCTACCTTCTTTCTATCCATGCATCCATGCACACATACCCACCTGCCCATCCACCCTTGCACATACCCATCTGTCCATCTCAGAAGCAGTTACTAAGTGCTTACTGTATGCCATACACCTGCTAGAGACTGAGCACCCAGAGACAGCTGTGGGCTCAGAGCCTCGTGGAGAAGGCAAGTAAGTGCCAGCGCATGGGAAAGGGCCCTACGTCATACCTGAGTGGGAACAGGAGGGCAGAGGGGCTTCCCAGGGGAGTGACACTTCACCTGAGACCTAGGGGATGTGCCGGAGTTAGCAAGGGAAAGAGGAAAAGCCTGGAAGGCAGGAGAGAGTGAGAGATAGTAGTGAGAATGCAGGCTGGCTCTCGAGTGGAAGTGAGAGGCAAGAAATGAGAGATGGGCAGGGTCCACGTGGTGTGTGGCCCTCTGGGCCACAGTGGAGAGCACAGATGTTGTGGTGAGGGCCACGGGGAGCCCCAGAGAGTGAGCAACAGTGAGCATCACACATGTGTGTTGGGGAGTCTGCAGTGGCTGCAGTGAGGCAGGATGGATTGGTGATGGGGGTGAGAGGGGAGGCCAGGAGGCCAGTGAACAGGAAGCTGGGACTGTCCCCCAGAGAGCAATAATGGGGCCAGACCAAAGTGGTGGCAGGGGCTGGAAATGCAGGGAGAAATTCTAGAAATGTCAGGAACAGAGCATTGGCAGGACTCCACAGCCAATTCTAGATACTGGTGGGGAGGAATAGATTTCTCCAAAGTCCATGGTCCTAAGCACCAGTTAGGAATCCCTTCCTCCTGGACTGGAGAAGATGCCTCACCCAACCTCCCGTACATATTGCCAACCCTTGAGTCTGGCTTACATTTCCTGGTGTGCCAGAGCCTGGCAGGGTCAATACCCTTAGGTGACAGATTGCATGTCTGAGGCCCAGAGAGGACAAGGGGACACACAGCATGGTGGCCCAGAGCCATGCACCACCCTCCATCTCCAGTTAATGCCTGTGCCAGCCTGTTCTTTCCCCTAGGCTCACTGCAGGTGGGGGGTGGTGGGGACAGAGAGTGTGACATTCCAGGCCTGTATGGTGGTGGCCTCCCTCTGGCAGTGCCTCCTTGGCATCACTGTTTGGGTGTCAGTGGGAGTACTGGCTCTCAGCACAGGGATGAAAGGCGGGTGCTGGGGGCTTGGAAGGGAGCGAGATTCCCATGGGAAAGGGATGACTCTGCATACCAGCCCCCGACAGGCCGGCTTTGATGGTGGATCAACCCCAGCAGCTCCTCGGGCACCTGCCCCTTGCTGGGAAACAAAGGCGGGAGGCGGTGGCCATGGCTATGTGCACACATGAGCAGGGAGCCCCCAGCAATCCCTGCATCTCTGCCATAGCTCCATCTCTATTCCTGTCTCCTTTTCGGGCAAACACCCGCCTCATGGACTGGATGCACCCCAGGTTGATGCACTCTGTCCCCACAGCCTCTAGAGCCCCTTGGTCACTTCCCCTCCCATCCTCAGAGCCACTGCTAAAGGATTTTGTCTCCCAAACGAACTGCATTTAGAGATCACCCACTTGTTCCCTCTCATGGGCCTCAAATGAACAGCTAGTCGGGCCTTTCATGGACCTGCTCAGGCCAGGGGCTCATGGGCCACATTTGCTGAATGAATGAGTGAACGAATTTGATGGATGGATGGATGGATGGATGGAATTCTAACCCCAAGCAAAGCCACTGCTATTTTTGTTAGCCTAAGCAAAATATGATTTCCCTAAGGCTTTTAAAAACATGGCGGGTAGCTCCTAGGGCCCTTCTTCATGACACCTGGGCAGGGTCAGGGGCATGGCCCTGCCAAGGCCAAACAGTGGGGTGCCCCTGGACCCTGGGCTCCTGTCTCCCCATCCATTATCATCCCAGGGTCTCCAAAGATCCCCCTGAAGCCCCCTTTCCTGAGCCCTGCCCTTCCTTGGGCTCCCAGACACCCCCAGGAATTCTCCCGGCCTGTGAGTATCCCAGGCCCTGGGTCCTTAGGAGCCTCCTTATTGAGGGCCAGAGGACACGGGCAGAGGGAGGGCACATGCCTGCTTGGAGGCCGCCCAGCAGCTTTGCAGCCGGCGAGAGTAGGGCGTTTGTCATCTGCTGAGGACAGTGGGGATGGTTTAAGGTGAAATTTAAGCCCATTAGTGCTTGGCTAATGACAGCAGCAGCAACGGGGAAAATGAAGACGGCAGGGTGTGTGAGCACCCATAAATTGCTGGGGCTGGCGCCGCCTGCGTCCTTGGGCCTGGCTCCCCGGCCCCTCCACTAGCTTGGGCCAAGTCGCTACCCACCCCCACCCACCCCCATGGACCTCCCTGGCCGCTGGCAGGCCCTGGCCCCTGACCTGGCCAGGCCTCGCAGGCCAGGCCCCTAGGGTCAGTGTGCGACTGGGGCCTCAGCCGGGGCGTGAGAAAGGAATTGGCCGGGGAGCCCAATCATGGAAGAGGCAGTATCTTCTTAATCTCCCTCCTTTTATAACTTCTGTCTTTTTTATGCACACGCAAGGATCCCAGCTCAGCCGCCAGCATCTCTTACCCAGGCTGAGCCGTCTCCCTGCAGCTAATGCCTGACAGCTCTGTTTATGTCTCCCCATAATTCTCTGGTTTTATGTTTTTTTTTCGGGGCCATTAAGCTCCCAGCCACAGGCTCCTTCCCCTGCCCCCGCCTGCCTTTGTCCTTGAGGCTCAGCCACCCCACCGCCCTTTGGGAGACAGGCTGTCTCCCTACCCCGCAGGTAGACAAGGATCCTGCACCCCGGCCAGAGGCCTCACTCAGGATGGCTGCAGTGGAGACTTCTGGTCCCAGGCCCTCCTGCCAGCAATCCCTCATCCTCCCGCCCCTCCCATCACAGGCCTTGTACCGCCTGGTTCCAGGGGAGACCCTGCCTAGGGTCCTGGAGGGCCCAGCAAAGCCCTGTCACCCTGGGCAGGGCCCCCCCGCTCACCCGCCCTGCCGTCCTCCCGTGTCGCTGCTCCTCGGTCCCATCCTCTGGCCTCTCTTCCCGGGTGACCGCATCTCCTCCCACAACCACCTCCTGAGGGCAAAGCCCATTTCCCTCCACCCGACCCATCTCTTCAGTCTCCACTGCAGCCATCCTGAGTGAGGCCTCTGGCCGGGGTGCAGGGTCCTTAATGGCTTGGCTCCAGTGCATCCATGGTGTCCTTAGGCCTCCTCGCCCCACAGGCCTTGCTTGCTGCCCCAGTCCTTCTGTAAGGCCTCTCTGAGGAGGCCCCCAAGTCCTGGGGTTCCCCTGCCTGAAGTGTGCCCATCTGGCCCCCTCCCCATCCTCACTGCCACAGGTCCTAGGTCTGGCTGTTTCACTACCCACCAGAAATTCCATGCCCAGCTGCCAGCGGGATCTCCTCGTCCCTAGCCTCTGCCCTGTGTGGCCCCTCACAAGCTTGTCATGTCGCTCCTTCATTATGACGCCATCAGTGGCTCCCTACTACTTTCTGCTCCTCCAGCCCTGACCTCAGCATGCTGCTCAGACCTCTTGAGCCCCCGTGCCTCGGGGGAGCTGGCTCCCAGCCCCACATGCTGCAGTCTGAGATCCGACCCGGGCTGTCCCAAGGAGGCCTGCGCAGAAGGCTTAAAAGGCACAGCCTCACCTTGTCTCCCTCTCCTTTTGGGGGGACACCCCCATCCATCCACTTCTACTCTGGCATCCAGCACCTCCAGCCCTGAGGGTGACCCAGCTGGCAGAGAAAGGGCTCCCCTCAGATACCCTGGCTCTTCTGTGAGGAGACCACGCCAGCAACTTTCTCCCTTGTTCGTGAAGACATGAGCCAAGAAATCATTTCTTCTTTCTAATTTCCTTTCTGCAGAGTGGCCTTTGTCAGCCAGAGGCCCACACACCGAGTCCTGGGGGCTCCTTCCCCACACATGCAGGTGGCCCCAATCCCACCTCATCTGTGAGTGCTGCTCTGGCCTCCTGGCCACCCTTTGCCACGGCTTCATCTGCCCCCCAAACTGCCTGACACTGTCACTTCAGCCTTCTGAATACCAGGTGGCCTGGGCCTTGCTCCTCTCCTCTCTCCCCCTCATGAAAGGGTGCTGGGGGGCATCCAGGCCTGCCTCCCCTAATGGGGCCCTGCCCACCCTGCCGGGAAGAAGTGCTAACACCAGCCGCAGCCGCCACCTTGGGTCTGAACCTCCTCCCCCTCCCATGCACTCCAAGGCCCAAGCTCTTGGCTTGGTTTCAATCGATTCCAACCTGAGTCGTCTTGTGTCTCCCCAGTGTGTCTGGCTGCAGGTCAGCAGGGCGCAGGCTACCCTGCCCATCCTGGCTGGCACTCCACACAGCCCACTTCCTGCCCTTGACAGACACACCGTCGCCCTGACAGCCCCTCACGTGATGGTCAGAGCACTGCCTGGCCCTATGTCTGGCGTGTAAACTGGGCAAGCCACCTGGCCTCGCTGGGGTACTGTTCTCCTCTGAACCAAGGCCCATTCAGTCCTGCCTTCACCCTCCAAATAGCTATTGAGCACCGTGGATGTGTGGGGTGCCCTGCCAGTCTGCCCTAGGGATTAATCCTCTTGTTAAGAGTGGCCTCAGAATTTGTGGGGCTCAGTGCAAAATGAAAATGTAGGGCCTCTTGCTCACAAAGTAATAAAAACTCAAGATAGCAACAGCAGAGCAGCATGCACCAAGCACAGGCCATTTCTGAGCGCCAGCCCTGGGCAGCTGCACAAGTTAAGGGCCACAAAGATAGTCCTGGCTAGACCATGGGACCAGGTGCCACCCCCTGACAGTGTCCCCTACGTCCCAGGCATTCTGCTGAATGCTGCAAGAAGGTCATGATTTAATCCTCATATTACACCTGTGACATCACAGATACCAGCAATCCTCAGGGTAGCAACAGTTCCTCTTTACTGAGCACTTATTATATGCTAAGAGTTCCACTTACATTAAGCCAATGAACCATCACAACCACCCGGTTCTGGAGCTTAAGAGATAGGGGTTCAGAGAGGCAAAGTCATTTGCCCAGGATCACGAGATGGGAAAGTGCTCAAGGCTGGAGTGAGCCCACGTTTCTGAGCTTACCGGCTCAACTACGTACTTGGTGGCAGTGCCAGCCCTGTGCCCACCCTGCCACAAACATCACCAGGCCCACCTGTGAGTAGCAAGGCTGGAATAACAAGGCCACCATTGCAAGGAAAACACTGAGACTCTTGGCGGGAGCCTGAGAAATGTCCTTCAGTCTCTCCCTGCAGAGAGGCAAAGGCTGAGGCTTAGGGAGGGCGATGACCCCTGAAGGATCACAGCACACAGCAAGCCTTCCAAACCCCAGTCCCCACAGCCCAGCTTCCAAAGACATTTTTTTTCTGACCTGCCAAATGCTCATGATCTGAAGCACAATGGAAAAGGCAGGATGCAAAAGCAGGCATTCAACACAATCCCAATTTTCTTAAACAAACTGGGTGGAAATGCACGAAAGTACTAACATCAGTGTGTTCTCAGCAGAGGGGCTGGAGCTGACTTCATTTTCTTCTTTACATTCTTTAGTATCTTTTTTTTTTTTTCAGCGAGTTTTTTTAAAAAGACCAACAGCTCTGAGTTTTCTAGAATGAATGGGAACAGGAATTTGTAGAACCAAATTCTGGTTAATGGAGAGTTGCCATAGATACGGTGTGGGGATTACACATTCCCCAAGATCCAGAGCATAACACAATAATTCTGGGCCTGCTGTGGCCTAGGCCTCTCTTCCCTTCTTTGTTGAGGATTCAGTAGGCTCCTCAGGCCCCGGGGTCCTCCCTGGGACATTTCCACCTGGCTCGTTGGGGAAGTCAGTGCTCTGGACGGTGTGCACCCCAGCAAAGGGCTGTGGGGGGTTCCTGGAGCTGGGAGTTGACTGGGCCAGGGCTCATTGGGAAGCATGTCCATGTGTGTGCTATGCCCTCCTGCCCAGTCTCCACTCTGGCCCTCACTGGTCCCTGCCCCACTCCGCCCTCCCCTCCCATCTGAGACCTCCCTCAGACTCACACCACCCCACCCTCTCCTGCTCGCAACCCATGGGCTTCCAAAGCCACAAGACCAGATTCCTGCCCTCCCCTGAGCTGGCCCCTGCCACCATCTATCTCCAGCACCCGCAGTGCTCTCCCAGGCCTCAGAGACAGTGGCTCCTTTCCTGCCTCCACACCTTTGCTGTCTGCTGCCTGGAGCACCGATTCCTGTGCCAGGCTGTGGCCATCACATGGGGCCTAACAGTGCCGCCGCCTGTGCGCCTGCCTGTCATCCCCAGCAAACCCTACCACGCTGCCTGCTGGGGTCCCCGCCCTGGGCCTCGCACAGTGCAGTGCTGGGGAATCCATCAGCAGTGCTCTCCGCCTGCCTTGGAGGTGGGGCTGGGTTGAGGCCCCAGCACGCCCCAGTGCTGACGCCCAGAGTTCGGCAGACAGAGCAGAGCCACCTCCTGCCCAGAGAGCACCCTGGGTCTCTGGCCTGAGAAGAGCTTACAGCTCCTTAATAGAAGCAGGCCTCGGACGCGCCTGAGTGACACCACGCCTGGCTGAGAGGTGGTGGCTCGCATCAAAGCCTCATTTTTCTTCTTCCTGTTAGGCGCTGAAACAATTTACATAGAGCGCCCCACATGTGTCTGCGACAAAGATGCATCTTTCTCATAACTGGCAGGCATCCTCCCTCGGCTTCCCAGACACCCCCATCAATGCCTGGCCCCCTTCCTTAGGAGTGGGGGTCTCAGAGACATGAGGCTTGGGGAGGCCAGCCAAAGTAACAACTAGGCCATATGTTTCTTAAAAACAAAACCCAACAGCCCTTAAGGGCTTGGGGGTGGGGAATGCATCCTGCAGGACCAGGACAGCTGCACGGGACACTACAATGTGAGTTCACAAGAAGGCCGCCTGGCTGCTCAGGGGCTGGCCTGGGCACCTCGGAACCAGGCCTGGACCCCAGGTCTTCCCTGTGATGAATCCAAGTTCAAAGGCACCAGCTCCAGCACCTACCGCTCAGGCTGGGAGGCTCCAGGGGCAGCTCCCAAGAAGCCCTGTCTTCTAGAACCAGAGCCTGAAGCCCCACCATTCTCCTGGCTTCATTCCAGGCAAAGGATTACCCATGCTTGGCTTCTAAGAAATGCCACACCCCAAGAGGGTAACAGGGTAAGTCTTACCACCCCTGTGAGCGATCAGCACTGGGGCCCTTCATCCTGTGTGTCCAAGAGTGGGGAACAGAGGCAGGCTGAACCCCAGCCCGAGGCCCCAGGGCAAGTGGTCCCCTCCCCTGACTTAAAAGATGGGCCGTCTTCCCTCTTGTGAAACGGGTGACTTGCAGGGAGATTCCTCACACGTGTACCTGGTGGAAGTGAGTTCAGTGCATTCAAATATTATACAACTATTCTTGCCTGTGTACTAGAATGTGCTATAACACCACCGTGTGACTCACACAGTAAGGCCTACGTCTTGCCGTTTGGGGCTGCACACTCAGCCTCATGTGTCTGGGCCTTGCTTTACACGATTTTCATCTTGTGTGTACAATACAGACCCCCAAGTCGCCTGGAAGACAAGTCCACGCTGGGGATGTTTCTGGATTCTGAGGTGGAGGAGCCCTAGGGCTGGGCCCACATACCTTCCCCTCCACCTCCTGCCTGGACTGTACCTCGGTCTCTTCTGTGTGTCCAGTAGAGGCTTCTTAAATGCAAATGAGACCATGGCAGTTCCACTTCCAAGGCACACATTGAATGGGAACTCCACATACAGGAACCAAACAATGTGTTGGAGAATGTTCACGGCAGGTATATTCACAAGATCCTCCAACTATTTTAGTTTTCAAAAAAATGTTTGAGAGATGAGGTCTTGCTATGTTGCCTGGGCTGGTCTCAAACTCTCCTCCCGTCTCAGCCTCCCAAAGTGCTGGGAATACAGGCGCAAGCCACCGAAGATCCTCCGATTATAAACAATCCAAGTGTTCATCAAAAGTAGGAGGGAGAAATAAGCTGTGGCATATGCACACAATAGAATACTACACAATAATGAAAAACCACTGCCACACACAGCACAGATAGGTCTCATAAATAGTAAAAGAAGAGGAGGCCAGGCGCGGTGGCTCATGCCTATAATCCCAGCACTTTGGGAGGCCGAGGTAAGCAGATAGCTTGAGGCCAGGAGTTCAGGACCAGCCTGGCCAACATGGCAAAACCCTAAAAATACAAAAATTAGTTAGGCGTGGTGGCAGGCACCTGTAATCCCAGCTACTTGGGAGGCCGAGGTAAGCAGATATCTTGAGGCCAGGAGTTCAGGACCAGCCTGGCCAACATGGCAAAACCCTAAAAATACAAAAATTAGTTAGGCGTGGTGGCAGGCACCTGTAATCCCAGCTACTTGTGAGGCCGAGGCACGAGAATTGCTTGAACTCGGGAGACGGAGGTTGTAGTGAGGCGAGATCGCACCACTGCACTCCAGCCTGGGTGACAGAGCAAGATTTTGTCTCAAAAAAAAAAAAAAAAAAGAGGAAAAGAAGTTGGACAGAAAAGGTTTCATGTCTGTGAAACTCAAAGGCAGACAAAAGTACTCTTGGGCAGGAAATGCCTGATGAGGGGGATAAGGGACATCTGGGGGCTGGTGATGTTCTTTTTCTTGATCTGAACTTCAGTTATACCCGAGTGTGTTTGGTTTGCAGAAATTCATCAGCTGTCCACCTATGATTCGTGCTCTTCTCTGTATGCAAGTCAATAAAAAGTTAAAAAGTAAAACTAAATGAGGCTGCAGCCTACTCTACTCAATCCCTCCCAAGGCTCCTCACCTTGCTCAGGGTAAAGTGCTGAACCTTCTTGGTCTTTGTGGTCAGTGTCGGCACCACCACCAAATATTTCCTGTCCTCCTCAGCCAAAGGCAGCAAGCGTGTCACTAGCCCATAAAGATGTCCGGAGGATGGCCATGTGGCCCACTTTGCAGTGAAATTCAAGTGGAAGTGCCACATGCTGCTTTAGGAAGCTCCATGCATCTGTACACCTGTCTCTCTCCCTCTGTGCCACGAAAATAGCCCTAATGGCTGTTGTTCTGTCTGCCCAGGTCCTGAGTGACATCAGTGAGCAGTTTCCCAGCTGTCTGGTCAGAGACCTGGCATGAGTGAGGGTCAAACC